>NC_000007.14:102203748-102506779 GCF_000001405.40 Homo sapiens | reverse complement strand
AGGTGCAGGGCGAGATCCACCTGCGGCTGGAAGTGTGGCCAGGGGCCCGGGCCTGCCGGCTACGCTGCTCTGTGCTGGAGGCCAGGTGAGACTCAGGGGCCTGGGGGCGGGCAGTGGGTCCCCTGCAACTAGAGAAACCCAATGAGGAAGCTGAGCCCCCCCTCGCCCCACCTCTACCTCCTGGTCCCAGAGCTGGCCACCTCCCATCAAAGCCTGCTCTCAAGAGAGGGTCTCGCCAGGCACCGCGTCTCACACCTGTAATCCCAGCACTTTGGGAGGCCGAGGCAGGTGGTTCACCTGAGGCCAGGAGTTCAAGACCAGCCTGACCACCATGGTGAGACCCTGTCTCTACTAAAAATACAACAATTAGCCGGGCATGGTGGCAGGCGCCTGTAATCTCAGCTACTCAGGAGGCTGAGGCAGGAGTCTTGAACCCAGGAGGCAGAGGTTGCAGTGAGCCGAGATGGCGCCACTGCACTCCAGCCTGGGTGACAAGCGAGACTGTATCTCAAAAAAAATAAAAAAGAAAGAAAAAAGAGAGGGTCTGGGGAGGTTTTCTGGACTTGAAGATGCTTCTTGGGTGATTTCCACTCAAGGGGATATGTCCCTTAAGGGACAGTCTAATGTTCTCATGGAGGAACTGGAGCCATCACAGAGGAGTGGAGTAGGGGGTACGGGTGAGGAGACCCCGAACTCTGATCACACAGCCTCAGTCCCCCAGTGCTAAGGCCGGCTTCCCAATGTTTAACGCCAGTGTGAACTTGGCCTGGTGGGAGTGTGTGTAAGTGGGTCCCTCGTGGGGCTGGGGGCGTGAAAAGAGTTGCTGAAAATCTCCCGATGGGCAAATTGAGGGTTCCCCCAAGGAGGGACAGTGGTTTGGATGGTTCCATGGGCCTGAGTCACCTGTGACAGGGCCACCCCCCAACCCCCAGGGTATTTTTAGCTGCAGGCTGCACTCCCGTCTGGGCCTGGGTCTGAGTCACACTCTGTCCGTGAGAAGCGTCTTCCCTTCCGGCTCCAAAGCCACCTCCCCAAGTCGCTCCCTGCCTGTGAGGCAGGAGGGTGGCCCCCAGCCAGGCAGCCCTATGGAGCCAGTGTTCCCCCCACCCTTGAGGGGTCAGCCTGTCTAAGAGGAAGACTTCCCTTGGGCAGAGGGGTGTGGGTCGGATGATGCCCATGTTGCTCACTCTGGCTTCCCGGGAGTTATTTTCTGTCCTGGGAAAATAGAAATGGATGGAAAATGTCTGGGCTTGGGCCGAGCCTCAGCCACACCCCCACACTCGCTCACTCTCTGGCCTCTGCCATTCATTCCCCCCCGCCCCACCCCAACTCACCCGCTTCCTCCATCCTTATCCTTTCCAGGCACCAGGCTGTCTGGGGGACAGGCATGCACACGTGTGCACCCGCTCACACACGTGGCCGGGCTCTGGGACCTCAGGGCCACTTCTCCCAGGCACCCATCGTCACCCACGGAGATGGGAGGCATGGAAGCATGTCTCCCTGGCCCTCCCCTCTCTCCAGGAATCTCCCCTGTCCCATCCTCTGGGGCCACAGTGGTTGGCCTTCTAGTGAGTCCTAGCAGGGGAGAGGAATGTCCAGGCCTCTCTCAGAGTGAGGGGACTTGTCCCCCGTTGTCCTCGGCAATGAGACTCCTGCTGCAATTCCAAGTCAGCCTAAGAAGGTCCATTTGCTGCGGAGAAAGAAAGAACATTTCCTCATTTTTTCTGGGGAGATTCTCAATATTTCAGTAAAACCTTGGGGTTTTTTTGTTTTTTGTTTTTGAGACAATCTCGCTCCATCATCCAGGCTGGAGTGCAGTGGCCCGATCTCAGCTCACTGCAACCTCCACCTTCTGGGTTCAAGCAATTCTCCTGCCTCAGCCTTCCTAGTAGCTGGGATTACAGGTGTGCACCACCACGCCCGGCTAATTTTTTGTATTTTTAGTAGAGACGGGACTTCACTATGTTGGCTAGGCTGGTCTCAAACTCCTGCCCTCAGGTGATCTGCCTGCCTCGGCCTCCCAAAGTACTGGGATTACAGGCGTGAGCCACTGCACCCGGGCTGTTTTTTTTTTTTTTGGTGGGTTTTTTTTTTTTTTTTGAGGCAGTCTGGCTCTGTCGCCCAGGCTGGAGTGCAGTGGCGTTTTCTTGGCTCACTGCAACCTCTGCCTCCCCAGGTTCAAGCAATCCTCCTGCCTCAGCCTCCTTCCCAAAGTGCTGGGATTATAGGAATGAGCCGCTGCACCCAGCCTCAATGTTGGGCTTTTATTAGACAGTCTTGAGGGGGAAGAAAGGCAGGTATGAGAGGCTTCAAATATCAAAGATGAGTGGGCTTTGGTGTTCTTCCACAAAGAGTTCTAAGTAGGGGATACTGGCAGGGTGCAGTGGCTCACTCCAGTAATCCCAATGCTTTGGGAAGCAGAGGTGGGAGGATCTCTTGAGGCCCAGATTTCGAGACCAGCCTGGGCAACAGCAAGATCCTGTCTCTACAAAAAAATTTAAAAATTAGCCAGGTGTGGTGGGGCACACCTATAGTGCCAACTACTTGGGAGGCTGACGTGGGAGGATTGCTTGAGCCCAGGAGGTGGAGGCTGCAGTGGGCTATGATTGCATCACTGTACTCCAGCCTGAGCAACAGAGCAAGACCCTGTTTAAAAAAAAAAAAGAAAAGAATAAAAGGGCCAGGCGCGGTGGCTCACGCCTGTAATCCCAGCACTTTGGGAGGCCAAGGCAGGCGGATCACCTGAGGTCAGGAGTTCGACGGCAGCCTGGCCAACCTGGTGAAACCCCATCTCTACTGAAAATACGAAAATTAGCTGGGCGTGGTGGCAGGCACCTGTAATCCCAGCTACTCAGGAGGCTGAGGCAGGAGAATTACTTGAACCCAGGAGGCGGAGGTTGCAGTGAGCTAAGATTGCACCATTACACTCCAGCCTGGGCGACAGAGCGAGACTCCGTCTCAAAAAAAAAAAAAAAAGCTGGAGGTACCGTGACTAGACTAGGGCTGTGTAAAGACCCATCTATGGAGAAAGGGCAGGGCCGCCCATCAGGGCTGCACCTCACTCCTCCACCAAGTAGAGCGACATTACTGGGGCAGACCTTCCAGAAGCACACTCTCTCCCTAAACCTGAGCCCAGTAGCGATTCACTTTTCCATTTTCCTGATGAGGAAACCGAGGCTTAGGGCAGCCCTGGGAATGGAGGGCCAGGAACATTGCCCCGGCGGTTCCCTGGCAGCACTCACACCACCCCCCTGCCACCCCCAGAGCAAGGTGCAGCCACTGGCCTGCAGCTGCCTGGTGGGAAGGACCCATGGCCTCTACCTTGGGGGGTTCTTGGCCACATGGGCGATCCTGGGGAGATGGCTATGGGAGCAGGGCCCAGAAAGGGCAGAGGCGCACTGTCCACAGTCAGCTTGCCAGGGACGGAATGTGCCCAGGCCTTTTGGCCCGCTGTGGTTACATAATGGTGGTGACAAGTGGGGGAGGGGGGGCTCAGGGACAAGTCGATGATCCAATCTTCCTCCACCCCCACCAGGGATCTGGCCCCAAAGGACCGCAATGGCACATCTGACCCCTTCGTCCGAGTGCGCTACAAGGGCCGGACACGGGAGACCTCGGTGAGGAGGCCAGAGGGCAGGGAAGGGGCAGGGGGCTCGGGGGACGTGCCAGCCACGCCCCCATTGCTCACCTCACCACCTGCTCACCATCCGCTGGTGGGACAGATTGGGGGCCACAGTCTTACAGAGGAGGCCCAGGGAAAGGGGCGACCTCTCTGAGGGGACATAATAGGTCCCAGGACCTCTGGGGCCAACTTCGCTCACTCCCGGCCATGCTTGGGGGTAAGGAGGGGATTGAGACAGCCGGAGTGGGGTTTATTTGGGAACACCCATGCTGCCTTCCCCACCCCCAGGAAATGTCCAGAGTCGAGGGCCCAGTCCTGGGCACGAAGACACCAAGGTCTGCTTTCTCAGTATAGTCGCTACTGTTTTTGTTTTGTGTTTCGTGGTGTTTTTTTTTTTTGAGGCCAAGTCCCACCCTGTCACCCAGGCTGGAGTGCAGTGGCTGGATCTCAGCTCACTGCAGGCTCTGCCTTCCCAGTTGGAGAGATTCTCCTGCCTCAGCCACACGAGTAGCTAGGATTACAGGCACACACCACCACACCAGGCTAATTTCTTGTATTTTTAGTAGAGATGGGGTTTCACCATGTTGGCCAGGCTGGTCTCGAACTCCTGGCCTCAAGTGATCCTCCCGCCTCGGCTTCCCAAAGTGCTGGGATTACAGGCATGAGCCACCACGCCCAGCCCTGTGTTTTTTGTTTGTTTTGCTCTGTTTTTAAATATTTTATTTCCATAGGTTATTGGGGAACAGGTGGTGTTTGGTTACATAAGTTCTTAGTGGTGATTTATGAGATTTTGGTTCACCCATCACCCGAGCAGTATACACTGCACCCAATTTGTAGTCTTTTATCCCTCACCCCCTTCCCGCCCTTCCCCCCCGAGTCCCCAAAGTCCACTGTGTCATTGTTATGCCTTTGCGTCCTCATAGCTTAGCTCCCACATATGAGTGAGAACATAACGATGTTTGGTTTTCCATTCCTGAGTTACTACACTTAGAATAATAGTCTCCAATCCAATCCAGGTTGCTGTGAATGCCATTAATTCATTCCTTTTTTATGGCTGAGTAGTATTCCATCGTATATATATACCACAGTTTCTTTATCCACTTGTTGATTGATGGACATTTGGGCTGGTTTCACATTTTTGCAATTGCGAATTGTGCTGCTATAAACATGCGTCTGCAAGTATCTTGGCCAGGCACAGTGGCTCACACCTGTAATCCCAGCACTGTGGGAGGCCAAGGCTGGCAGATTGCTTGAGGCCAGGAGTTTGAGACCAGCCTGGCCAACATGGTGAAACCCCGTCTCTACTAAAAATACAAAAATTAGCCGGGCGTAGCGGCAGGCCCCTGAAATCCCAGCTACTTGGGAGGCTGAGGCAGGAGAATCACTTGAACCCAGAAGGCGGAGGTTGCAGTGAGCTGAGATCGTGCCACTGCACTCCAGCCTGGGCGACAGAGCAAGACTGTTTCAAAAACAAAACAAAACAAACAAAACAAAAACATATGTGTGCAAGTATCTTTTTTGTATAATGACTTCTCCTCTGGGTAGATACCCAGTAGTGGGATTGCTGAATCAAATGGTAGTTCTACTTTTAGTTAGTTAAGGAATCTCTGCTGTTTTCCATAGTGGTTGTACTAGTTCACATTCCCACCAGCAGTGTAGAGGTATTCCCTGTTCACCACATCCTCATAGTCAGTACTGTTTTGCTGTGTGGCCTTGGATACATCTTTTCCCCACCCTGGGCCTCAGTTCTCCCTATCTCAGAAATGGGTGGGAGCTTGGACAGGACATTTTAACCTCTGCTGTGGCAGAACCTCCAAGGCGAGGAGGCTGTGGGGAACCCAGGGGAGGTGTCTAGGGCAGCTCTGCCTTTTGCCCAGCCTGGGGAGTCCAGTGGCATCAGCCTAACCCCCTCCCACCCTCCTCTGGGCAGATCGTGAAGAAGTCATGCTACCCACGCTGGAATGAGACGTTTGAATTTGAGCTGCAGGAGGGGGCCATGGAGGCGCTGTGCGTGGAGGCCTGGGACTGGGACCTTGTCAGCCGAAACGACTTCCTGGGCAAAGTGAGCACCACCGCCCCGCCCCCCCTCCTCCCCCGGCAGGCTGCACCTGCTGTCCCCCAGCACCTGGTTCCATTGCAGCCATCCCATCCTCAGGGACCTCCCTCCGGCTTCCCCAAAGAGGGACACTCAGGAAGCCTGGGACTACCCCCCCACCTCCACCGTCTGCCAGAACCAGCAACTTCCCCCCACCACCACTGGCACTCAGGGACCCTTGGAAGGGGCCCCTCCCCACTAAGAACAGTAGTTGGCAAGGAGGAGACGTAAGTCTCCCAGCTCCAGGAAAACTGCCACTATGTCCCCAGGTGGTGATTGATGTCCAGAGACTGCGGGTGGTGCAGCAGGAGGAGGGCTGGTTCCGGCTGCAGCCCGACCAGTCCAAGAGCCGGCGGCATGACGAGTAAGTGCATGGAGCTGGGCAGCCGGCCTCAAGGGGTGGGGTGGGGGCTGACATTTGGGAATTGGCTACAGGCAGGCAGGGCAGGGGGGCTGCTCAGGGTGAGAGGTCAGGAGACACAGCTCCAGGGTCCCCTCAGCCCCTGCCCACCTAGCCAGCATCCTTCTCATCCTGGCTGGGCTCCACCTCCCCTTTATTTATTATTTATTTATTTATTTATTTATTTATTTTGAGATGGAGTCTCACTCTGTCCCCAGGCTGGAGTGCAATGGCGTGATCTCGACTCACTGCAGGCTCCGCCTCCCGGGTTCACGCCATTCTCCTGCCTCAGCCTCCCAAGTAGCTGGGACTACAGGCACCCGCCACCGCGCCTGGCTAATTTTTTGCATTTTTAGTAGAGACAGGGTTTCACCATGTTAGCCAGGATGGTCTCGATCTCCTGACCTTGTGATCCACCCGCCTCGGCCTCCCCAAGTACTGGGATTACAGGCATGAGCCACCGCGCCCGGCCCCTCCCCTTTATTTTTCCCCACAGTTCTGCATTCAGCTCAGCTCTGTCTTCTGTCTTTTTTTTGAGATGGAGTCTTGCTCTGTCACCCAGGCTGGAGTGCAGCGGCACAATCTTGGCTCACTGCAACCTCCACCTCCTGGGTTCCAGTGATTCTCCTGCCTCAACCTCCTGATTAGCTGGGATTACAACTGTGTACCACCATGCTCGGCTAATTTTTGTATTTTTAGTAGAGACAGGGTTTCACCATGTTGGCCAAGTTGGTCTCGAACACCTGACCTCAAGTGATCCACCCGCCTCAGCCTGCCAAAGTGCTAGGATTACAGGCATGGGCCACCGCACCCGGCCAGGTCTGTCTTCTTAGCTCACAGGTTGTACAGGTCTCCTGCTTTCTGCCTCTGGAAGTTTCTGAAACAAGTACTCAGACATTTTCCCTTTGAAAATTTCCCTGCAGACCTCAGACCAGGGTTCAAGTCTCCAAGGTCAGTGTCCCTGAGCCATAGCTCCAACTCCCTATGCCAGATTCTCCAGGAATAGGGTTGTGAGATAAGATAGGACACCATTGGCCAGGAGCGGTGGCTCATGCCTGTAATCCCAGCTCTTTGGGAGGCCAAGGTGGGAGGATCACTTGGGGCAAGGAGTTTGAGACCAGCCTGGGCAAGAAAGTGAGACTCCGTCTCTACAAAGAAATAAAAATTAGGCCAGGCGCGGTGGCTCACGCCTGTAATCCCAGCACTTTGGGAGGTCGAGGTGGGCGGATCACCTGAGGTCAGGAGTTTGAGACCAGCCTGGCCAGATGGCGGGCACCTGTAATCCCAGCTACTCGGGAGGCTGAGGCAGGCAGAATTGCTTGAACCCCGGAGGCAGAGGTTGTAGTGAGCCAAGATTGCGCCATTGCACTCTAGCCTGGGTGACAAAGCTAGACTCTGTCTCAAAAAAAAAAAAGAACACCCAGTTAAAACTTAATTTCAGATAAAAGTGAATATATATATATATATATTTTTTTTTTGAGCAGAATCTCACTCTGTCACCTAGGCTGGATGGAGTGCAGTGGCACGGTCTTGGCTCACTGCAACCTCCGCCTCCCAGGTTCAAGCAATTCTCATGCCTCAGCCTCCCGAGTAGCTGGGATTACAGGCATGCACCTGTACCACCAGTACAGTGGTGATCATAGCTCACTGTAGCCTCCACCTCCTGGGTGCAAGCAATCCTCCCATCTCAACGTTCCAGGTAGCTAGGACCACCTCACCTGGCTAAATTTTTGTAGTTTTAGTAGAGATGGGGTTTCACCGTGATGGCCGGGCTTGATGTTGAACTCCTGACCTGTGCCCGGCTGTGAATACATTTTTAGTATAAAAATAACCGCTGGGCGTGGTGACTCACACCTGTAATCCCAACACTTTGGGAGTTTGAGGTGGGTGGATCACTTGAGGTCACGAGTTCGAGACCAGCCTGGCCAACATGGTGAAACACCGTCTCTACTAAAAGTACAAAAAATGGTGGTGGGCACCTGTAATCCAAGCTACTGAAGCAGGATAATTGCTGGAACCCAGGAGACGGAGGTTGCAGTGAGCCGAGATCCCACCACTGCACTCCAGCCTCGGTGACAAGAGCGAAACTCCGTCTCAAGAAAACAGCCGGGTGCGGTGGCTCATGCCTGTAATCTCAGCACTTGGGTGGCCGAGGCGGGTGGATCATGAGATCAGGAGTTCAAGACCAGCCTGGCCAACATGGTGAAATCCCGTCTGTACTAAAAATACAAAAATTACCCGGATGTGGTGGCGGGCACCTCTAATCTCAGCTACTTGGGAGGCTGAGGATGGAGAATTGCTTGAACCTGGGAGGTGGAGGTTGCAGTGAGCCGAGATCGCGCCACTGCACTCCAGCCTGGGTGACAGAGCAGGACTCCATCTCAGCAAAAAAAAAAAATAAATAAAGAAGAAGAATGACCATGCACTATTTGAGACATACCTATACTAAAAATATTCAAATTTAGGCCGGGTATGGTGGCGCATGCCTGTAATCTCAGCACTTTGGGAGGCCAAGGCAGGAGGATCACTTGAGCCCAGGAGTTCAAGACCAGCCTGGGCAACATAGCAAGACCCCATCTCTAAAAAAAATAGTTAATAAGTAAATAAAATATTCACATTTAACTGGGTGTCTTGGGTCGTTTTGCTAAATCTGGCAGCCTGTCTAGGAAGCCCTCTGGCTTGTTTGCTGTGGCCCACAGCCCTCAGTGGTTCAGCTTTGTGTCTCTGTGGAAGGCCCCAGACCCCCATTCCCCCAGTTCCCATCCTTAACAGGGTAGGAGCAGGTGGACGGCTGTGTGTCCAGCACAAGGTGTTTCCATAGAACCAGCCAAGGCCCATCTTGCCATCTTATTTTTTATTTATTTATTTTTTTTGAGACAGAGTCAGGCTGGAGTGCAGTGGTGCAATCCTGGCTCACTGCAACCTCTGCTTCCTGGGTTGAAGCGCTTCTCCTGCCTCAGTCTCCCGAGTAGCTGCGATTACAGGCACCTGCCACAATGCCTGGCTAATTTTTATATATATATTTTAATAGAGATGGGGTTTTGCCGTGTCAGCCAGGCTGGTCTTGAACTCATGACCTCAAGTGATCTGCCTGCCTTGGCCTCCCAAAGTGCTGAGATTACAGGCATGAGCCACTGCGCCAGGCCCAGGGGCCCATCTTAACACTGCTCTGTGCATGAGGCTTGTGCTGAGCAGGGGCAGTGGGAGCCTTAGAGGTTCCCACTTGGTCCACACCCTCCTCTGTTCTGAACTTCCCTATCAGAACAGGGAAGCTGGGAAGCTCAATCTAATGTGGCAAGTTGCTGAACTGGCTCGGGTCTCAGTTTCCCTATTAGGTTGTTATGAGGGTTGGGGATTTGCTTCTGCTGTAAAGTGTACCCATGATGGTGCCATTATCTGGGAGTTGATCGATTCAAGGCTGGCAGCTCCACATACCCAAGCTTGGAGGTGGCAGGGAGCCAGACCTCGAAGACAGATAGAGGTGCCTTGAGTGCAGAGACAGGAAGGGCTTTCCAAAAACAGAAAATAAATAGCCCGGGCAGAGCCTGGGAGGCAGAGCTATGCAGGGCACCCGAATGGAGGGCATGAGCAGAGAGATGGGAAGCCGGCCCCAAGGGAAAAAACTGGAGGCCATGGGAGTGGTGTGGTCCAGGGTGGCCTGAGTCCCTGGTGGAGAGGTCACAGGCTGCCCATTCCAGGGGCAACCTGGGCTCCTTGCAGCTGGAGGTGCGGCTGCGGGACGAGACGGTGCTGCCCTCCAGCTACTACCAGCCACTGGTGCACCTGCTGTGCCACGAGGTCAAGCTGGGCATGCAGGTGAGGGGGCCTGGGCAGGGTGGGAGGGTCCAGTGGCAGTAGGCCTGTGCGCCTGTCCTTCTAAACCCATTCTGCAGAGCAGAAACCTGAGGTCTGGGGATGTGAGGAGCTGGCCAGTGTCCAGGGCCCCGTCCCCAGCCACCCCTTGGGAAACTGTCCTCTTTCCCTGGGATGCTCTGAGGTCCTCAGAGGGAAAGGTTCGGGATCCCCCGTGCCTCTCCCTGCAGGGCCCAGGGCAGCTGATCCCACTCATCGAGGAGACAACCAGCACCGAGTGTCGCCAGGACGTGGCCACGAACCTGCTCAAGCTCTTCCTGGGGCAGGGGCTGGCCAAGGACTTCCTGGACCTGCTCTTCCAGCTGGAGCTGAGTCGCACCAGTGAGGCCTGGGAAGGAGCTGGGCCCAGAACACTGGGAGGTGTTTGGGGGTGGGTGGGCTCCTCCTGTAGGAGGCAGATGGGGTCAGAGAGGAGGGAGGCAAGGAACAGAGCCAAGGGCAGAGGTGGGACAGTGGGCTGGGAGGTGGCGAGGAGGCCCTTTATTGAGGGGCCAGCTTAGATCCCCCAGCCCCAAGGTCCTCTGTCCTCCCCCTCCCCCAAAAGCTTTGTGCCAGCCCCCTACCCACTGGGACCTCTGTTTGTAGGTGAGACCAACACCCTGTTCCGGAGCAACTCTCTGGCCTCAAAGTCCGTGGAGTCTTTTCTGAAGGTGAGGTTGCATGCTATATTGTCCTCATCTTGCAAACGACAACACTGAGCTTCAGAGAGAGCGACAGAGGGGGCTGGGACTTCGACTCCAGTGTTCTATCTCCATATTCAGAGCCCTTTAAGGTTAAGAATGTGGCTGGGCATAGTGGCTCATGCCTGTAATTGCAGCACTTTGGGAGGCTGAGGCGGGCGGATCACTTAAGGTCAGGAGTTCGAGACCAGCCTGGCCAACATGGCGAAACCCCATCTCTACTAAAAATACAAAAATTAGCCTGGCATGGTGGTGGGCACCTGTAATCCCAGCTACTGGGGAGGCTGAGGCAGGAGACTCACTTGAACCAGGAGCCAGAGGTTGTAGTGAGCTCACGCCACTGCACTCTAGCCTGGGCCCCGTGCTAGACTCCGTGCCCCGCACCCCCCCCCCCCCCAAAGAGAATGTGTGTGTGATTAAAATTTAAGTTAGAGACAGTCTCACTATGTTGCCCAGGCTGGTCTCAAACTCCTGGCCTCAAGTGATCCTCCTGCCTTGGCCTCCCAAAGTGCTAGGATTACAAGGGCTAAGAATTCTAGTCATTCATTCACTCACTCATTCATTCATTCATGAATAAACAGTTTGCCCTGCATGTGTACCTGGCCCCCTCCTGGGCGGATACGGCAGGCAAACGGTGCAAGGGCGGCTGCCGGGAGAAGGTGGGCAGCTGGAGTGGGACTGGGGGAGACAGGATCAATGTGACCTGCGGTGGTCCCCAGGTGGCCGGGATGCAGTACCTGCACGGCGTCCTGGGCCCCATCATCAACAAGGTGTTTGAGGAGAAGAAGTACGTGGAGCTGGACCCCAGCAAAGTGGAAGTTAAGGATGTAGGGTGAGGCCGGGGGTAACTCCGGGGGTTGCGGGGTGCAGCGGCAGCGGGTTGGGATCAGGCCCTGTCAGCATGTGTGTTTGTGCTTCTGCCCACCCGTGTATTGTCCCCTGTGTCCGTGTCCTGGCTGCTGTGAGAGCCACTGTTCCTGTCGTGGCCCTGGCGCTGACCGCGACCTCCTCTGCCAACCCGCCCCGTTCCACGCAGGTGCTCCGGGCTGCACCGCCCGCAGACCGAGGCCGAGGTGCTGGAGCAGAGCGCGCAGACGCTGCGCGCCCACCTGGGGGCCCTGCTGAGCGCGCTCAGCCGCTCGGTTCGCGCGTGCCCCGCCGTGGTGCGCGCCACCTTCCGCCAGCTCTTCCGGCGCGTGCGCGAGCGCTTCCCCGGCGCCCAGCACGAGGTGCGCCCTCCACCCGCTGGGCTAGGCTGGGCCGGGTTGGACTGGGCTGGGGCGAGGGGTGAAGAGCGGTGGGGAACCAGGGAGCGCTGGGGAGGACCAGGGAGGCTGTGTCCCAGCGAGGGTCAGGGACGGAGCCTAAGGGGAGGGGGCTGCCAGGAGCCCTGGTCTGGGGGACTCCAGCCCGCGCTCTTCCGCACCCCTCCAGAATGTACCGTTCATCGCCGTCACCAGCTTCCTGTGCCTGCGCTTCTTCTCTCCCGCCATCATGTCGCCCAAGCTCTTCCACCTGCGGGAGCGCCACGCGGACGCCCGCACCAGCCGCACCCTGCTCCTGTTGGCCAAGGTGCGGGCCTTGCGGCCACGGGCGGGATGCACAGCTGGGTGTCCTACCGGGGCCCTGGCCTGGACTGCAGAGTGTTCCCTACCGGCTCCGGCGAGGCCACTGGCACGCCCACGTAGGCACTGCACTTCACAGTTTGCAAAGCCTTCCTGTGGCCACCTTGTCCGAGCTCCATCTCATGGATAAGGGAACAGGCCTGCGAGGGGTCGGGGGTTGCCAAGGCCGCCCATCCTGTCGGTGGTGAATCGCGGGACCTTCCAACCCGGGTCTGCTTACTCTCAGGCTGCACCTATGTGCCCGGCACCGGGGTGGGGTATCCGGTGCAGCAGCGTCAGTTAAACCTACAGAGGAAGGCCCAAGTGGTCTCAGTTATCATAAGGCATCAAACTTCATGATCCTCTCCTCCCTGATCCCTAGTGGGGCTGGAGGGGGCCCGTGGGCATGGCCTCTGTCGCCTCTGCCTCCATCGCTACAGCTGAGTAGCAAAGACTTGGGGAGGGGGGGTGGGAGGGGGTGCAGTGGCTAGGCCCCTAACCTAGCAGAACCTGGTCCTTCCTGCTGTCACCTCCAGGCAGTCCAGAACGTGGGCAACATGGACACGCCGGCTTCCAGGGCCAAGGAGGCTTGGATGGAGCCGCTGCAGCCCACCGTGCACCAGGGCGTGGCGCAGCTGAAGGACTTCATCACCAAGCTCGTGGACATCGAGGAGAAGGACGGTGAGCGCCGCCCTGCACAGACCCGCCCACAGCCTACTGCTGACGTTTGCTCCGCCCTTGAGCCCCACGGCCCCACCCATCGCTGTTTGTTCCTCTCGTGGCCCCACCCACCGCCTGCTGTTGGCATTTGCCAGGCCCCTAGGCCATAGACCCACGCACCACTGTTTGTGCTTCCTGTGACCCTGCCCACTGCCTGCCGTTGACGTTTGCCCCAGCCCTAGACCCATGGCCTCACCCCCCCATCATCTGCGCCTGTTGACATTTGCTCCATCCTTGAGCTCCATAGCCCCGCCGCCACCTGCTACTGACGCGTGTCCCGCCTCCAAGCCCATGGCCCTGCCTTCCTCAGTCCACCTGTCACCCCGCTCACCACCAGCTGTTGATGTTTGCTCCGCCCTTGAGCCCCATGACTACGTCCACTGCCTGCTGTTCAGATTTGCTCAGCCCTTGAGCCCCATGGCCCCTCCCACTGCTCCGCTCCCCCCAGTCCCGCCCTCATTCACTGGGCTCTCTATTCCCCTCCCTCCCTGGCCTGGCAGAGCTGGACCTGCAGCGGACGCTGAGTTTGCAGGCGCCACCTGTGAAGGAGGGGCCACTCTTCATCCACAGGACCAAGGGCAAGGGCCCCCTCATGTCCTCCTCCTTCAAGAAGCTCTACTTCTCCCTCACTACCGAGGCCCTCAGCTTCGCGAAGACGCCCAGCTCCAAGGTGGGTAAGGAGGGAGGCCGGCAAGTGGGGCTCTGAGAGGCCGGCAAGTGGGGCACCTGTCCCCTTCCTTGGAGCCCACTTGAGGTACCCCCGGGGTCAGAGAAGAAAGCCAGGTGTGTGGCATCTGTACTGCTTGTCAGAACCTAGGAGGGCCGGGCACGGTGGCTCACGCCTGTAATCCCAGGACTTTGGGAGGCCAAGGCGGGTGGATCACTTGAGGTTAGGAGTTTGAGACCAGCCTGGCCAACGTGGAGAAACCCCGTCTCTACTAAAAATACAAAAAATCAGCCGGGTGTGGTGGTGGGTGCCTGTAGTCCCAGCTACTCGGGAGGCTGAGGCACGGGAATCGCTTGAACCTGGGAGGCGGAGGTTGCAGTGAGCCGAGATCGTGCCACTGCACTCCAACCTGGGCAACAGAGCAAGACTCCGTCTCAAAAAAAAAAAAAAATGAATATGGAGGAAGTTGATCCGACCTTACCAGGTTGTTGAGGATTAAATGAGATGATCTCCCTAAGGGTCCTGACCCAGGGCCTGGCAGGTAGTACTATTTAGGCAAATGATATTATTAAAGATAGTATATCACCTGGGCTGCTAGATGAGTAGGAGGCTAGGGCAAACAGGGGAGGCTTCCTGGAAGAGGCAGGAATATAGAAGCACGGAATCTTGGCGTGGGAAGGGATCTCAAAGATCACCTTGTACAGCCCTCTCTGAGTCATGGGTCACCTCTCCTGCAAGCTCTCTTCTCCCAGGAAGGGCTGAGGACATACTTCCTCCATGGACCTGGTGACTGCTTGCTGTACACCTGCCCCCAGTCATGCAGGCTATGGGGATGATCTTCCAGGAGTACCCAGCCTAGCCCTGGGCAGGTGAGAGCGGGCTAGGAGTAGGTGAAGGAGCTCATCACCCACCCTGTTCTCAACCAGCTCAGGGGTCCCACCAGATGAGGGGCCCGCCCCTTCCGACCAAAGACCCCTCAGATGATGATAATTATTTTTTGAGACAGGGTCTTGCTCTGTCACCCAGGCTGTAGTGCAGTGGTGCGATCATAGCTGACCGCAGCCTCAAACTCCTGGGCTCAAGCAATCTTCCTACCTCAGCCTCCCGAGTAGCTGGGACTACAGGCACGTGCCACCAAGCCCAGCTAATTTTCTTTAACTTTTTTTTTTGCGGAGATGGGGTCTTGCTATGCTGCCCAGGCTGTTCTCAAACTCCTGGCCTCAGGCAATCCTCCTGCCCCAGCCTCCCAAAGCACTCAGATGATTATTATACATCTTCCTTGCCAGGGTTGAAAGATTTGACTACATGGGCATTATTTAATTCTGGTCCCATTTTTTTTTTTTTTTTTTTTGAGATGGAGTTTCGCTTTTGTTGCCCAGGCCAGAGTGCAATGGTGCGATCTTGGCTCACCGCAACCTCCGCCTCCCGGGTTCAAGCGATTCTCCTGCCTCAGCCTCCCAAGTAGCTGGGATTACAGGCATGCGCCACCATGCCCGGCTAATTTTGTATTTTTAGTAGACACGGAGTTCCTCCATGTTTGTCAGGCTGGTCTCGAACTCCCAACCTCAGGTGATCCGCCTTCCTCGGCCTCCCAAAATGCTGGGATTACATGTGTGAGCCACTGCGCCCGGTCAGGATATGACTATTAGAGCCTGGGACTACAAAAGCAAGTTGGAAAATTAATAAATGCAAAGTCACAAAGCCTTGGCCACGGCCGGATTGACTTTGTAGCCCAGGGAATGCTGGCTGTCCCGACACTACCCCAAAGCTCACACCTCCGAGGCCTTCTGGGAGTGCCCCCCAGAGAGGCCAGGTCCTCCTCTCCCAGTTGCTGGGCACTTGGTCACCATCAGTCTGTGCTCTGCCCTGGCTGAGGTCACTCTAGGTCTCCCATGCCTACCCCTGGTGCTGCAGAAGGGGAGACTGAGGCCCAGAGATGGGGAATGGAATGCCCCTGGCTAGGTCCCTGAGCCTCCTCCTCCCTGCCTGCCCCAGAAAAGCGCCCTCATCAAGTTAGCCAACATCCGGGCAGCGGAAAAGGTTGAGGAAAAGAGCTTTGGCGGCTCGCACGTCATGCAGGTCATCTACACGGACGACGCCGGCAGGCCCCAGACTGCCTACCTGCAGTGCAAGGTGCGGGGAGGGGAGCGGGTGCTGTGGGAGTGGCCTGAACACTGTGGGAGTGGCTTGGGTGCTGTGGGAGAGGCCTGGGTACTGTGGGAGTGGCATGAGTCCTGTGGGAGTGGCCTGGGTATTGTGGGAGAGGCCTGAGCTCTATGGGAGTGGCCTGGGTGCTGTGGGAGTGCCCTGGATGCTATGGGAATGCCCTGGGTGCTGTGGGAATGGCCTGGGTGCTATGGGAGTGGCCTGAGCTCTGTGGGAGTGGCCTGGCTGCTGTGGGAGGGGCCTGAGTGGACTGGATGAGAAAAGAGTTGATTGAGCCTCTCGCCCCGCTACCAGCTACATCAGGCACCGCAGGGTGTGTCTAATCTGGGAGGTGTCAGGGACAGGTGTGTGTGTGTTGTCCAGGGGCCTGAGCCCCCAGGAGGCCATGGCCCATGTCTTTCCCTGGGCATCCATGTGTAGGTCTGTGTGTGGGCCAGTGCACAGACAGGTGCATCCCCGTGATGTGAAATTTGCACGTTGCACCCGTTTGTTGGAAACTATTTCCAGATAACTGAGATGGGGGCCAGGCACGCTGGTTCACACGGATAATCCCAGCATTCTAGCCAGGGCAACAGAGCAAGACCCTTTCTCTAAAACAGAAAGTCTGAGCTGGCACCTGTGTGGTTCTGTGTCTGTATCAATGCCTAATAATCAAACATTATGCTGTGTGTGGCTCTGGGTGCATGTTCTCAAGTAACCTTCTCATCTGTTCCTTCATTAACTCATTCATTCATTTATTTAAAAAATACTTACTGAGCACCTCCTAGGTTCCAGGCATGATTCTAGGTGAGGGGATACAGTGGCAGATGAGGCAGAGTCCTGCCCTCATGGAGCTGATATCCCTGGGAGAAGATGGGCCAATAAATACATGTTTCAAATGTCGGCTCATGCCTGTAGTCCCAGTACTTTGGGAGGCTGAGGTGGGAGGATCACTGGAGGCCAGGAGTTTGAGAACAGCCTGGCCAATGTAGCAAGACCCCATCTCTACAAAAAGAAAATTAGCCAGCCATGATGGCATGCACCTGTGATTCCAGCTACTTGGGAGGCTGAGGCAGGAAGATAGCCTGAACCCAGGAGTTGGAGGCTGCAGTGAACTATGATCACACCACTGCACTCCAGCCTGGGCTACAGAGTGAGACCCTGTCTCTTAAAAAAAAAAAAAAAAAAAAAAAGCAAATTGTGATAGTGACTTGAAGGGAACCAGAAGGGACTAAGGGAGCAAGGGAGGGAAGAGAGTGGGGTATAGCAGGGAGCGGTCTGTCCTATTAAGAGTGGTCAGGGAGAGTACAAAAAGTAGCCGGGTGTGGTGGTGGGTGCCTGTAGTCCCAGCTACTTGGGGGGCTGAGGCAGGAGAATCGCTTGAACCTGGGAGGTGGAGGTTGCAGTGAGCTGAGATCGAGCCACTGCACTCCAGCCTGGTGACAGAGCAAGACTCCATCTCAAAATAAATAAATAAATTAATTAGTAAATTAATTAAAGAGTGGTCAGGGAGGACCTCTGATGGGTGGCATTCGAGCAGGGACCTTGTAGGAGGGTGACCCAGATGTGTATCTAGGGCAGGGACATGTGGGACAAGTAAGAAGCCTGCAGCTGGAGGGGGGTTGGTTTCTTCCGGGCTTGACCGTCCTGGCCTGTGGGGAGGAAGTCACAGACCTGTCCCTCTGTGCCCTTCCCTCTAGGAGTTCCCTTTTGTGTCAGGGTCCAGAGCCACTGGGAAAAGTAGTGATATCAGGGCCACCAAATATATTTGGCGGGTTCTGGAATACCTACGAGCGTGGCCAAGGGGCCAGCGGCGGCTGAAATCCAGCCCACACCAGCCTCCTGGGCTCCTACCATCCCGGTGCCTTCCGTGGGGACAAGTGGAGCTGCTGCCACCAAAAAGACGAGACAGGTGGGAGAGGAGAGGATGAAGTCTTGCTGTGTTGCCCAGGCTGGTCTTGAATTCCTGGGCTCAAGCGATCCTCCCACCTCGGCCCCCTATAATCCCAGCTGTAGTCCCAGCACTTTGGGAGGCTGAGGTGGGAGGATCACTGGAGGCCAGGAGTTTGAGAACAGCCTGGCCAATGTAGCAAGACCCCATCTCTAAAAAAAAGAAATTAGCCAGCCATGATGGCATTATAGGAGTGAGCCACTGGGATTATAGGAGTGAGCCACTGCACCTGCTCTCCAGGCCATGCGCCCGGGCATGGGTCATGTTCCACTGGAGGAAGGGCAGCTTCTCCTAATTCACTCAAAGCTGCTGGGTTGGTATGGTGGGGAACATGGCGTCTGGCGTGGTACAGGAGCTCCGGGTTAGGAGGGCTTCCTGGAGGAGGTGACGTCTGAACAGGCCTCCCCCTCCGTGTCCCCTGCAGTGTGTGAATGAGCTTAACCAGTGGCTGTCTGCGCTGCGGAAGGTGAGCATCAACAACACCGGACTGCTGGGCTCCTACCACCCTGGCGTCTTCCGTGGGGACAAGTGGAGCTGCTGCCACCAAAAAGAGAAGACAGGTGGGAGAGGAGGCCTGGGTCCCGGGCTCTGCATCCGTCCACTGCGAGATCGGGCCTCTGGCTGAACGATGGGACCCTGAGCCCTGCTGTGCACCTGCAGGGACCTAACCCAAGGAATGCTGGCCCCTCCAGGAGCTCTGGGCAGAAAGGGTCCCGTGGACCAGGTGGTTTGGGAAATGCCACGTGATGTGTGTGATGCATATGAGTGAATTCGCTGAAGGCTCTAAGGAGGCCCGAAAACACGTTAGAATCCCATTTCTTTTTATTTCTTCTTCTTCTTTTTTTTTTTTTTTTTCAGACACAGACTTTCACTCTGTCCCCCAGACTGGAGTGCAATGGCACGATCTCAGCTCGCTGCAATCTCCACCTCCCAGGGTCAAGCAATTCTCCTGCCTCAACCTCCCCAGTAGCTGGGATGACCGGCACTCGCCACCAAGCCTAGCTAATTTTTTTGTATTTTGACTAGAGATGGGGTTTCACCATGTTAGTCAAGCTGCTCTTGTTTTGTTGTTGTTGTTGTTGTTGTTGTTGTTGTTGTTTGATACTGAGTCTCGCTCTATCATCCAGGCTGGAGTGCAGTGGTGCAATCTCGGCTCACTGCAATCTCCGTTTCCCAGGCTCAAGTGATTCTCCTGCCTCAGCCTCCCAAGTACTACAGGCGCAAGCCACTGCACCCAGCTAAGTTTTGTATTTTCAGTAAAGACGGGGTTTTACCATGTTGGCCAGGCTGGTCTTGAACTCCCGACCTCGTGATCTGCCCTCCTCGGCCTCCCAAAGTGCTGGGATTACAGGTGTGAGCCACCACGCCCGGCCTAGAATTCCATTTCTAACGTGGTTTAACCCAGCACTTCCCAAACTCTTTTGACAGGGAACCCTTCTCTTCCCCAAGGAGCTTCTTACAGAACAGGTGTTCTCAGGAACACATTCGAGGAGCCCCCTGCTAATGAGAGCCAGAGAGCCCCTGGGTTCGCACACTCCAATGCTGGCCATCTGAATCCGGAGCTGTGGGTGGGAGGGGACCCTGAGCCTTGGGCACTAGAGGGATGGCATAGAGGAGCTTCTAGAAGGACTCCATACTGTGTAGTACTCTAGGTTCTAGCACCTGTGGTTCTTGAGCACTTGAAATGTGGCTTGAGGAGCTGAGGGGTTTTTTTTGTTTAATTTTTTAAAACAGGGTCTTGCTCTGTTGCCCAGGCTGGAGTGCAGTGGCACGGCACGATCATAGCTCACTGCAGCCTCCAACTCCTGGGCTCAAGCAATCCTCCTGCCTCAGCCTCTGAGTAGGCTGGCACTACCGGCATGCATCACCACACCTGGCTCATTTAAAAAAAATTGTTTTAGAGGTGGGGTCTTGCTATGTTGTTCAGGCTGGTCTTGAATTCCCAGGCTCAAGCAATCCTCCTGCCTCGGCCTCCCAAAGTGCTGAGATTGTAGGAGTGAGCCACCACATCTGGCCTGAGTTTCACATTTTTAAAAATGTTGTTTTGGCCGGGTGTGGTGGCTCACGCCTGTAATCCTAGCACTTTGGGAGGCCAAGGTAGGCGGATTGCCTGAGCTCAGGAGTTAGAGACGAGCCTAGGCAACATGGTGAAACCCCATCTCTGCTAAAATACAAAAAAAAAATTAGCCAGGCATGGCGGCGTGGGCCTGTAGTCCCAGCTACTCAGGAGGCTGAGGCAGGAGAACTGCTTGAACCTGGGAGGCAGAGGTCGCAGTAAGCCAAGATGGTGCCACTGCACTCCAGCCTGGCGACAGAGCGAGACTCCATCTCAAAAAAAAAAAAACAAAAAAACAAAAAAAAAAACAGAAAAGAAACAAAAAACGTTGTTTTAATTTTAATTAACTCAAATAGCTTCATGTGGCTAGCTGCCGCCCTGTAGAACAGCACAGTTCTAGAACTTTCGAGACCTTCTCCCTGTTATCCACACTTACTTTACAGAGTAGACTCAGCACTTCGAGTCCCCTGTCCTTCAGGCCAGGCCAAATCTTGGTCCCCAGAGCCCAGTGTGGCAGAGGCCATCGAAAACTGACCCACGCACTCTAGCCCAGCCCTGGATTTACAGCCAAGCACTGTATAGGGATGGGTGACTCTTTTGTTTTTGTTTTTGTTTTGAGTTGGGTCTCTCACTCTCTCACCCAGGCTGGAGTGCAGTGGCATAATCATAGCTCACTGTAGCCTTGACCTCCTGGGCTCAAGCCATCCTCCTGCCTCAGCCTCCTGCAGAACTGGGACTACAGGCACATGCCACCACACCCAGCTATTTTTTATTTTATTTTTTTGTAGAGTCAGGGTCTCACTATGTTGCCCAGACTGGTCTTGAACTCCTGGCCTCAAGCTATCTTCCTGCCTCAGCCTCCCAAAGTGCTGGGATTACAGGTGTGAGCCACTGTGCCTGGCCTCTTGGTGACTCTTTGCAAGGGCATTGCTGGCTGGCTGATATGGCCTGCAGCCTCTGCCTGTAACCATCAGAGCGATACTCTCATTATCGGCAAGGTGGGACCCACCCTGGCCCAAGAGACAGGGCCTGTTATTCCACTGTATGGAGGAGAAGCTGAGGCTTAGGGAAGGCAGATGACTTGGCAAGGTCATAAAGACAGCAAGCTGCAGGACCAGCTCATTCTAAGGCATGAACCCCCTGTGGCCCACCTCACCATGATGTTAACATTTCAGCCTGCTCCCTTCCAGGCAGACAGTCTTCCAGAAAGTTACCCGGCTCCCTGGCTGGGCGCGGTGGCTCACGCCTGTAATCTCAGCACTTTGGGAGGCCGAGACGGGCAAATCACGAGGTCAGGAGATCGAGACCATCCTGGCTAACACAATGAAACCCCGTCTCTACTAAAAATATAAAAAATTAGCTGGGCGTGGTGGCGGGCATCTGCAGTCCCAGCTACTCAGGAGGCTGAAACAGGAGAATGGCGTGAACCTGGGAGGCAGAGCTCGCAGTGAGCCAAGATCGCGCCACTGCACTGCAGCCTGCACGACAGAGCGAGACTCCGTCTCAAAAAAAACCAAAAGTTACCCAGCAACCCGAGTCATATCCTGATGATATCCATGCTCCTCAGTCACGCATCCCGTGGTGCAGGGGCTGACCCCAAGAGGAGCTGCTGCCCCCAGAGGGTGGGGAGCCGAGGCAGGGCCTGGGTCAGACTTACCAGGCTATGCTCCCAGCCCAGCCCTCACTAGGGACCCCCGAGTGCATCTCTCTCCTCTCCAGGCCTCTGTTTCTCCATCTGTGCAACCACAGTGTTGGACATGGTAGTCCCAAGTGTCTGCTCGTAACTTTGCCCTCTCTGTGCCCCCAGGTCAGGGCTGCGATAAGACCCGGTCACGGGTGACCCTGCAGGAGTGGAATGACCCTCTTGACCATGACCTTGAGGCCCAGCTCATCTACCGGCACCTGCTGGGCGTGGAGGCCATGCTGTGGTGAGTCCCACCCAGGAGAGCCTGTGCAGCCTGGGGAACGTGCCAGGCTTGGGGCTGCTCCATGGTGGCTGGTCACCTCTCTTGTAATTGGCCACATCTGGGGAGGGCACCAGGAGTACCTCTCTGCAGCACGAGGCCAGCTCAGGTTAGGACAGAGGCCCCAAGGGTCAGGGCCATGCCTGCTTCATGCCATGTGCTGACTGAGCCCACCTTGCAACCTGCCCAGCTGTTCCCCTGGGCCCTTGGAGTACAGGCACAGCCTCAGCCAATTCCCTGAGTTCCCTGGCCATCTTGCTTCGTCCAGTGGTTCTCAGCCTTGGCAGAAGCTTAGGAAAAACAGGATGCTTTTAAAGATCAGCTTTAAAAAACAGGATGCCAAGGCCCCATCACTCAGGGTCTCTGGAGATGTGGCTGGTGCCAGGATACTTCAAGGTGATCCAGTGCTTCCCATGCGCTCAGCTTCCCCTGAGCCAACTGGAGCTGGAGCTCATTCATCTGTCACACCCCTACACTCTGCAAGGAGGAAGGGTGTGGTCCTCCCCATTCCTCATCGACTCTTCCAGGGTTTATCTCTGCCCTCAAAACCCACGAAGGTGGGGTGCGGTGACTCATGCCTGTTATCCCAGCTCTTTGGGAGGTGGAGGCAGGCAGATTGTTGGAGATCAGGAGTTTGAAACCAGCCTGGCCAACATGGCGAAACCTCTTCTCTACTAAAAATACAAAAATTAACTGATGTGGTGGAGGGTGCCTGTAATCCCAGCTACTCAGGAGGCTGAGGCAGGAGAATTGCTTGAACCCAGGAGGTGGAAGTTGCAGTGAGCTTAGATTGCGCCACTGCACTCCAGCCTGGACCGCAGAACAAGACTCTGTCTCAAAAACAAAACAAAACAAATGCAAAGGGCCTTCTGGTCAACCCACAGTGGGATGGGGAGGAGGAGGAGACACGGGGAGGGAGAAGGTGGAAGGTGCCCTGGTGGGCCTTGGCCCAGCCTCTTCACAGACTGAAAGAGTCAGCCCTGCCATCACCCCCAGAGCCACCTCTAGCCCAGGAGGCCCATGCTGGGCCACCCCCAGCCTTCCCACAAGGACACCAGAAGGTCTGGCAGGGAGAGTGGAGGCTGCTGGCCCTCACTCTGACCTCCCCCACAGGGAGAGGCACCGGGAGCTGAGCGGGGGCGCAGAGGCAGGCACGGTGCCCACGAGCCCTGGCAAAGGTAGGTCTTGCCCACCTGGGACTTGCTCGTGGCCCGAGCCCCCTCCAGAGATGCACGGGTGGGGTCCTCGGGCTCACTCCCAGGGGCCCTCACGGCTGCCTCTGCCCACAGTCCCCGAGGACTCATTGGCCCGGCTGCTCCGGGTGCTGCAGGACCTCCGCGAGGCCCATAGCTCCAGCCCGGCCGGCTCCCCACCCTCAGAGCCCAACTGCCTCCTGGAGCTGCAGACGTGAGGCCCGCCCTACGCTCCCCTTGCTGAGTCCCCTGCCAAGCGCTCGGAGCCCCCCCAGGACACTCTGCACCCCCTCACCCCGGTCCTCCTCATTAGGGTGCAGGGCCTAGGTCTCTTCCAGGTGGGGGAGGGGGGAGAGTCAGGAATAAGGGGATCCCCAGAAGTGCAGAGCTGAGCAGGCTTGGGCCTGTCATGGCTGGCCGGAAGTGTCCCCAGCTCCCTACAGACGCTGTAGCCATCACTGCCTCTCCAGGGACCCTCCTCTCCTGCCCAGGACAGACCCAGCCAGAACCACTGCTAGGATGGGCCGCACCCAGGGGTCTGGCCTCCAGGGACCTAGAGAATGGGAGGGAGAACGGGGCCCCAGGAGACCCGGCCGCCACCCCACCCGCTACCCTTGGGTGCCACAGGGCTGTGCTGTTGCCAACAGTAAACCTGCTCTTACTGTCCAGGCTCTGGGGTCTTGTGATGAGGGTCTGGGGAGAAAGTGGGCCCGGGGGGACCCCGGAGGCTGTCGGTGGATGTGCCGATGATGGGGCTGACAGTATGGGCTCTGGGCATCCCTGTTCCCCCCTCTTTCTTCCCCCCACTCTTCTGGGGTCGGGGGTTCCTTTCCCTTCCCAGTTGCTGTCCCTGGGTCCCCTCTTTCATGTCCCACAGGCCACAGAGCCCAGTGTGTCCAACCAGCTGTTCTCTCCTCAAAGCAGCCCCCAAGCAAGTCCCTTCTCTAGGGTGTCCCTGAGGACAGCACAGAGGCGGGACTCAGAGACCCCATTCCTCTTCACGCAGCCCTTACCCCAAGCCCTCTAGCTGTGTGGCTGGCAGTGTTGGCCACGTAGGGGCTCCCATCCCCCCACCATTGTGTCACATGGGCTGCCAGGCTCAGCTCCCAGCTGCGTCCACAGTGACCTGGATCAGGGTGGGGACAAGGACTGGACCCTCCTTCTCCAGAAGGCCTTCAGCTCTTGCCTTGCCATGCAGTCACCTCCTTCCCCCTCTGACCCCAGATCCCAAAGGTGCACCGTTGCCCCAGCCCCTTTCTGGCCCCATGGGGTTTCTCTGATGCCTTCATCATAGAGGCCCGGGGCTGGTCCGATGGTTGGCAAAACTTGACTCCGGCCCAGTCCCCACTCTTGGGGACTTAGAACCCCTGCTGTCCTGGGATCTGGCCTGCCTTTCTTTGGTCAGTCCCTGTGGTCCCCCACCAGCTCCCCCTCCCATAGGGCTGCCCACCAAGCCCTGCCCCCAGCCCAAGAGGAGCCCCCACTGCCTGCGGGGCAGTGATGTCTGGCCACCGGCTCACACCAATGACTTGGTCCTGGGGTGGCAGAAGCAGCAGGTGACAGGAGCAGGGCCCCTGTCCCTCTCTTCTGGCCCTGTGGTACCCAGGCCACACGTTGTGCCCGCTCTTGGGGCTGACCGGCTGCAGGGACCACCAGCCGCTGCTACTGTGGGCCGCCCCGGGGCAGGGTGGGCAGGGCTTTTGTGGGTTATGAGGACACAGAAGTCCCTGAGGCCCCCAGACCTGGCTCAGCCAACCTCCTTCCTCCCCCGGTTGCCCCCCACTCTAAAGCCTCCTCCCTCCCAGCGTCCACTGGCTCCAGGCTCCTCACAACAGCAGCTCATAGACACGGGGCATCTCCAGGTGGTCCTAGCCCTCCAGATGTTTCTAGCTCTCCAGGTGGGCGCTGTTTTCACGTCTGCCTGCATCCATTCATTCCTTCATTCCTCACCTTTATCCTGTTATCTCTATTTTTTTAAGCTACCAGGAAGGAAAGGGAAGAAGAGATCACGAAACTGGGACCCCCAGAAGGGAGGAGTGGGCTTTGAACTTAGACATCTACCTCAGAGCTCAAATAGGTTGTTTAAAATCACATTCAATTTTCAGATGAAGGGGAACTTTATAATTTTTTTTTTTTTTTTTTTTGAGACAGAGTCTCACTGTGTTGCCCAGGCTGGAGTGCAAATGGCTTGATCTTGGTTCACTGCAACCTCTGCCTCCCAGGTTCAAGCAATTCTCTTGCCTCAGCCTCCCGAGTAGCTGGGACTAAAGGCGTGTGCCACCATGCCCAGCTAATTCTTGTATTTTTAGTAGAGACGGAGTTTCTCCATGTTGGCCAGACTGGTCTCGAACTCCTGACCTCAGGTGATCTGACCGCCTTGGCCTCCGAAAGTGCTGAGATTACAGTTGCGAGCCACTGTGCGTGGCCAGAACTTTATAATAAGAGACTTGAAGCTGGGTGTGACGGTGCACACCTCTAGTCCCAGCTACTCGGGAGGCCAAGACAGAAGGATCACCTTGAGGCCAGGAGTTTAAGGCCAGCCTGGGCAACATAGCAAAACCTAGTCCCTAAAATTAAAAAAAAAAAAAAAAAAAAGGGAAAATAAAGGAGACTTGAAATTTTTGAACTAAATAGTGGTGATGGCTACACATTGTGAATGTAATTAACACCACTGAGTTAAACACTTAAAATGGTTAAAATGGCAAATTGTATGTTATACCTATTTTACTACAATAAAAAGTATAAAAAAGAGAAGATATTTAACCAATTGCAACAAAACAAAATGTTAAGAAATGATCTTTTTATGAGGCAATTGGAAATTTGAACACTAATCAACTATAGGATGATTGGAATTATTAATTTTGTAAAGGTGTGATAAGATACTGCACTTGGCTGGGCACAGTGGCACATGCCTGTAATCCCAGCTACTTGGCAGGCTGAGGTGGGAGAATCGCTTGAGCTCAGGAGTTCGAGACCAGCCTGGGCAACGTGGCGAAATCCCCGTCTTTACAAAAACAAACAAACAAACAAAAAAGATATTGCAGTTGTGTTGTAAGCGTCCTTATCTTTCAGAGCTACATAGTGGAATGTTTATGGAATATTTAGGATAAATGATATAGGCATTTGGGATTTGCTGCAAAATGACCCAGAGGCAGGGGTCAGGGGGAGAGGTAGAGATGAGACAAGAGGTAGAGGGGAGAGGTAGAGGTAGCCACGAGCTGATAATTACAGACAAGAGATGCGGAGTATGTGGGGGCTCATTATCCTGCATAGTCTATCTTTGTATATCTTTGAACTTTTCAAGAATAAAAAAGCTTAAAAAGTATACATGGCCTGGTCCTACCAGAGACTCACCCAATGCCAGCCTCCAGCCAGGGAGAGCCAAGTTTGCATTTTCACACGCATCTCACACTCCTCTGCACTCTCAACTTGGAGAGCTCCAAACAGGGAAACCCCAAGCCTTGCTGGCTTCTGCCAACCCCCTGAGCAGAAGCATGGGTCCCCCTGATCACCACCTCACCACCCTCATCCTGATCTCACTGTACACTCCCTTTCCTGGTCTGCTAAGTAGCGGGTGTTTTTCCTTGACACTAACGCTACAGCTAGACCACGGTGGGCTTGGCAACAGGTGTCTTCCCAGATGCTGGCGTTACCGCTAGACCAAGGAGCCCTCTGGTGGCCCTGTCCGGGCATAACAGAAAGCTCGCACTCTTGTCTTCTGGTCACTCCTCATTGTCCCCTCAGCTCCTATCTCTGTATGGCCTGGTGTTTCCTAGGTTATGATTGTAGAGCGAGGATTATTATAATATTGGAATAAAGAATAATTACTACAAACTAATGATTAATGATTCATATATAATCATATCTAAGATCTATATCTAGTATAACTATTCTTATTTTATATATTTTATTATACTGGAACAGCTCGTGCCCTCGGTCTCTTGCCTCGGCACCTGGGTGGCTTGCTGCCCACATCCACCAAGTGCACTTTGGGAGGCTGAGGCTGGAGGACTGCTGGAGGCCAGGAGTTCAATACCAGCCTGGGCAACATAGGGAGACCCCCCCCCCCACCATCTCCAAAAATAAAAAAAAAAAATAGCTAGGTGTGATGGCACATGGCTGCAGTCCTAACTATCGGGAGGCTGAGGCAGGAGGATCTCTGGAGCCCAGGAGTTGGAGGCTGCATGATGGCGCCACTGTACTTCAGCCTGGGCGACAGAGGGAGACGCTGTCTCTAAATAATAATAATAATATATAAAAAGATATACGTAACCCTACGGGCTCCCCTCTCACTGCTGTATACACCTGCCTCCTTCTGCATCCCTCACCCAATTGTCCCTCCCGGCTAACAAGCCAGCTGCACCCCCCAGGCAGAGGTCCTGCAGCAGTCGGTATAGGCAGCCTGGGCAGGGGGCTTGTCATAGATCTGCCTCTGGCCACGAGATCTTCTGCTCCCCCTACGGCTGCTAGCCGCAGCTGTCCACTACCCCTTAGCTTTATTCTCTCTATTCAGGGGCCTCCTGCTGCGCACTCCAAGGGGGTGCACGTTTCCAAAGAAAGATCAAGGGACATGGGGAAAGGAGAAAGGTACAGCTTGAGGTTCCCGCTCAGCCAGGACTAGGAGGCCTCTGTAGGGGCAGAACAGCCCTGCCGGCGCTCTGAGCATGCGCCGAAAAGCGCCCACGGGGAAAGCCATGCCGGGGGGCGGGGTGCGGGGTGGCGGGGGCGGGGGGGGGGGCGGTGCGCTCGCCACTGACGCATGCGCAGAGGCACTGGTCTCTCTCGGGGTTTTCTCGCGCCTGCGCAAGATCCTCCAGCCCAACAGGGGGCGATGAGCCGATCCTTGAGCGGGTTTGCCCCGCCGGAGTAATCCGGAAGAGGCCTCTTATTAGGGCTCTGGTGGCGGCGGCGGCGGACCCTTGGGGTCTGGACGCAACGGCGGCGGGAGCATGAACGCCCCTCCAGCCTTCGAGTCGTTCTTGCTCTTCGAGGGCGAGAAGAAGTAAGTGACGCCGGCTGCGGCGGGCCGAGGTGCGCGGGCCTGCGGCTGTCGCATTCTGGGGTGTCTCCTGCCCATCTCTTGCCCCGGGAGGGAAACAGCTTTTGCTTGATCGTCTGCTCGGCCTGTGTCAGCCAAATTTAAGGCCGTTCCGCGAGGCAGTCGCGAGTGTGTCCATGTTGCAGATGAGGACACTGAGGCTTGGAGGCGAGCAAGTTGCCCCGGACACAGGAAGTGGCGGCGCTTGTATTCGAACCCAGAGTGTCTGGTTCTCCATAGCCCTTTTCCTCTGGGATCTGGCAGCTTCCTCTTTTGTCTCTCGCCCGCCACCTCCATCCTTCATCCCCTCCGATCTGTCAGCGGCCTGCGTAAAAGCCGCAGTGGCTCCTCGCTGCCTGCGGGTTGAAGGAGTCCAGGGGAGAGAGCTTGGGCTCACTCTGTATCTGTGGGCGAGTGGCTTGATCTGTCGGAGGCCCTGTTTCCTCATCTGGAAAATGAGTTTATTACTGTACTTAAACGTGGGATTCAGGCCGGGTGCGGTGGCTGACACCTGTAATCCCAGCACTTTGGGAGCCCGAGGCGGGCGGATCACCTGAGGTCGGGAGTTCAAGACCAGCCTGACCAACATGGAGAAACCCTGTCTCTACTAAAAATACAAAATTAGCCGGGCGTGGTGGCAGATGCCTGTAATCCCAGCTACTCAGAAGGCTGAGGCAGGAGAATCACTTGAACCTGGGAAGTGGAGGTTGAGGTGAGCGGAGATCACGCCATTGCACTCCAGCCTGAGCAACAAGAGCGAAACTCCGTTTCAAAAAACAAAAAAAGGGATCTGGCCAGGTGCGCTGGTTCACGCTTTTAATCCCGGCACTTTGGGAGGCTCAGGTGGGAGGATTGCTTGAGCACAGGAGTTCCAGGCTGCAGTGAGCTTTGATCGCATCACTGCACTCCAGCCTGGGCGACTGAGCGCAATCCTGTGTCAAAATAAAAAGAATTGGATGAGGTAATTTGTGTAAAACTCTTGGTCCAAAGCTCAGCCCCTGGAAAACCTCGTAACCATTGGCTCTTATTGTTCCCAGGTTGGCGTGCAGAGGTCTTGGTCTGGCCCTTGCCAGCCACTTCGGCCTCCTTTAGAGCAGACTCTCAACTGGGGACCATTTGGCCCCACAAGGGACATGTGGCAATAACAGAACATTATTGGTTGTCAAAGGGGGTTATGACTGGAATCTACTGGGTAGAGGTCAGGGATGCTGCTGATGTCCTACAATGTCCACAAGACAGCACCCCACAGGAAAGAATGATGCACCCTAAAATGTGTGTGGTGTCAGCCTGGAGAAACCACCTTAGAAAAAAGGATATTCAACTTGATACCTCTCACCTGTGTGAGATTTTACTGTCAGCATAGTTGCCCTCAAATTGAGTGTGCATTAGAATCACCTGAAGGGCTTCTTAAACCATAGATCCCTGTGCCCCACCTCCAGAGTTCTGGGTCCAGTAAGTGGGAGGTGGGAGACTCTTAACAAGTTCCCAGGGGATTCTGATGCTGCTTATCTGGGAACTGCACTCTGAAAACCCCTTGTCTTGGAAAATCCAATGGAAGTTTCCTGTCTTTGTCCATCTAAGCGTTCACTAAAATCATAGTAAATGCCAGAGCATGACTTGTTTTGGGGAATGGATGGAAGGACTGCACACTCCAGCCAGGGGGATGGTTGCTTTCGGAACTCACAGGGTCAGGACCAGCCTCACCGTGTAACTTCAGGGCCTCTCTTCTTCACCTTTTGGTTGTTTCATTATGTTGGCGTAAGAAAAAAGGAACAGGCCAGGCATGATGACGTGCGCCTGTGGTCCCAGCTACTCAGGAGGCTAAGGCGGGAGGATCACTTTAGCCGAGGAGTTGGAGGCTACAGTGAGCTATGATCACACCACTGCACTCCAGCCTGGGCAGCAGGAGAGATCATTTGAGGCGAGGAGTTCAAGACCAGCGAGGACAACAAGGCAAAACCCCATCTCTACCGGAAAAAAAAAAGGAGGAATTCAGAAAAGGCCAAGGTTCCATAGACCTGGGGTAGCAGGAAGTAGGGGACCGGGTTGGCGAGGCCTTTATGGGATGAAGAGATTGAGAAAGGCCTTCAGGAAGAGGCAGAGCTTATTTTTCCTTTTTATTTTTATATTTTTGATACAGAGTTCCACTCTGTTGCCCAGGCTGGAGTGCAGTGGCATGATCTCGGCTCACTGCAACTCCACCTCCCAGGTTCAAGTGATTCTCCTGCCTCAGTCTCCCAAGTAGCTAGGACTACAGGCATGGATCACCACACTCAGCTAATTTTTTTTTTCTTTGTATTTTTAGTACAGGCAGGGTTTTGCCATGTTGGGCAGGCTGGTCTTGAACTTCTGACCTCAGGTCATCCATCCACCTCAGCCTCCCAAAGTGTTGGGATTACAGGCACGAGCCACCACACCTGGCCGGGAGGAGACAGGGTTTAGACTCAGGGTGGGAGGAGGGGAGCCCCTGCTCCTCATCTGTGGCCTCTGTGTCTTCCTAGGATCACCATTAACAAGGACACCAAGGTACCCAATGCCTGTTTATTCACCATCAACAAAGAAGACCACACACTGGGAAACATCATTAAATCGTAAGTTTCCCGTCACAGGCTCTCAGGGGCTGTGTTTAATGGGCCCCCCTGGGCAAAGCACAAGTTCCAAGTCTTCCTCAGTCTCTCTGAGCTACAGGAAGTCCTTCTGGGGGCTTGCTCTGGGCATTTTATAATCTTGGTACCTTTTTATCAAAATGACACCGACCTCCATGTCTTCACATAAGCCACACTTCTGTAGTGGCTTATTCTGTAGATGAACATGTGCATTTACATTCACTGTTTGTTTGTTTGTTTTTGAGATGGAATTTTCTCTCTTTGTTGCCCAGGCTGGAGTGCAATGGCACGATCTTGCTCACTGCAACCTCCGCCTCCCGGGTTCAAGTGATTCTCCTGCTTCAGCCTTCCTAGTAGCTGGGACTACAGGCCCACGCCACGATGCCCGGCTAATTTTTGTGTTTTTAGTAGAGATGGGGATTCACTGTGTTGGCCAGGCTGGTCTCGAACTCCTGACCTCAGGTGATCCACCTGCCGGCTTCCCAAAGTGCTGGGATTAGAGACGTGAGCTACTGCGCCCGGCCTTACATTCACCATTAAGTGCACATTCTGTAAATGAACGAGCAGCAGATTCCAGCACAGTAGGCCTGTGTGTTATTCATGCTGAGGGGCATTGAAAAGCAGTCAAGATTAGCTCCCCTCATGCCACCCGTTTGTGACCTCAGTGCCACCTGGGCCTCTAAGATGTATGTGGCAGAGACTAGAACTTCTATTTAACAAGAGAAAGAAGTAGGAGTTCTGTGGCTATCCAGTGCCCCTAATGGGCACCCTGCATTGGTTGGTGGGTGTTTGTTTATACCAGTGAGGTCCTAGCCAGGTGGTTGGTCAGGGATGTGTCTGCCATTCTGGCCCAGGGACTTGTCATTTTACTGTAGACTTGGCTCTTCCCTCTGGTGCCACCAGCGAAGCCAGGCTTTTCCCCGTCTGTGAGTGGGGTCTGCCCAGTCTCCTGGTGTGGGCAGGCGCAGGGATGGAGGACTCCTGCCCGGAGCCCAGCCAGTGGGGCACCCAAGCTCTCCTGGGGCCCTGCTGCTCCCCTGCTCTTGAGCTCAGTGTTGCCACCTATGCACGGGTCCCCCTTGTGGTGCTCACGCCACTCTGAGCCGCTCTAGAGGAGACCCCTGCGTGCCCAGGGCACAGTACGCGACGCAGCCCCATGGCACAAGGCCCAGTGTGCGTGGCCAGCCGCTGGCAGCTGTGCTGCTCGGAGGGCAGAGTTCCATTTGCATTCCACTCACTGCCGGCAGCTGGCCCTCCTCTCCTGCTGCCTTTATTTGCTGCGTGGAGGCTCTTTGTGGGCTTTTTGGGTCTGAGTCACTGAACACTGGCTGGACATTCACTGCCTGGGAGATCTCTTTGCCAGCACTGCGGTGCCCGGTGGGAAGAGGTTGCTGGAATCTGTTTCCAGCTCGGGTCCTTCAACCTCATGGATGCAGAGTGTGTGTGTGTGGCGGGGATAGGGTGTCCCCACATGAGGTATCTTCCTAAAAGTGTTACTTTCCTTGAAGACTTTTTGGGAAAAAAGTTGGGGGGGATTTTTGGCTAGAAAGTCTGTTCTTCTGCTCTGAGCTGGCTGCTACCCAGCTTGGGCATGAGGCTAGACCCTCACACTGTCTGTCCCTGACCTCAGACAACTCCTAAAAGACCCGCAAGTGCTATTTGCTGGCTACAAAGTCCCCCACCCCTTGGAGCACAAGATCATCATCCGAGTGCAGACCACGCCGGACTACAGCCCCCAGGAAGCCTTTACCAACGCCATCACCGACCTCATCAGTGAGCTGTCCCTGCTGGAGGAGCGCTTTCGGGTGAGGGCGGGGCCTGGAGGGGCAGACGGGGTGGGCTGGACACTGGCCCGTGTGCCCAGGCCTGGGACAGCCCTGGCCTGTTTCTTCGGAGGTCCTGGGGGAGAGGCGGCAGTGATGGAAGAGCAGGGACTTCCACCACAGGCTCCAGGACATGTGGACTGAGGGGCTGTGGAGTCTGGGCCTGTGGCTCCCGTCTGCCCCATGGGACTTCTGTAGTGCTGCAGGGTCCCTCGGGTGCTGTGGGCCAGATCGGGGCGGGGACCTACTGTCCTTTGGGGGTGCTCTTCTACGTCCCTTGTTGGTGATTGGCAAGGCCTGGTCCTTCCAGGTCTCTGGGAGGCAGCTCACCCCCGGGTGGCCCACACCTGTTCCTGGCAGGGCGCATGGGAATCTAGAACAGTTTAGAGGGGAAAGAGCCACAGCTTGGGGGATTTCAACGTCTGAGTCGTCTGCTCACCAGGAAGCCTCTGGGGCCTCTGACTCCTGCCGGGGCTGCCATAGAGAATGGCTGGATTGGGCCAGCTGGGAGGGCCCTTTGGCTGCTCCACTGTCCTGGGGAGTGTGGCCCATGGCTGCCCTCCAGGAAGGGCCTGGCGGGGGGGATGCTGGGCATGTGTTTCCAGCGTCCTTGCCCCAGCTGTTCCAGCTCAGTCTCCACCACCTTCTTCTCTCCCAGGTGGCCATAAAAGACAAGCAGGAAGGAATTGAGTAGGGGCCAGAGGGGGCTCTGCTCGGCCTGTGAGCCCCGTTCCTACCTGTGCCTGACCCTCCGCTCCAGGTACCACACCGAGGAGAGCGGCCGGTCCCAGCCATGGCCCGCCTTGTGGCCACCCCTCACCCTGACACCGACGTGTCCTGTACATAGATTAGGTTTTATATTCCTAATAAAGTATAGCGGGAGAGACCTGGATGTGGACTTGAGCAGCGGTGACTTCGCAAGCAAATGGATTGTCAGGCTTGATGCAGGCAGATGACCTGTTTCAGGGGCGTCCGGCTGGCAGGGATGAATTCATTCTGGACCAAAGATCCGGGGTCCAGGGGCTGCTGCGGGGGCTGTGCTGAGCCGGAGAGAAGTGTGCAAACCCATGAGCTCCCAAGAGTCTCTGCTCTAGAAGCCTCAACTCCTGGGCCTGCCTGTCAGTCAAAGCAGGAACACTTCTTCCTGCATAACTCGAAACACCTTTCCACAGGCTTCTTGTCCACAGTAGAGTTTAATAAAAATATTCACTGAAAGACCCCCCCCCACCCCCATCGGCCCAAAGCTGAATAAGTTAGTTAGCTGTGTCCCTGGTCCTTTGCGATGGTGTGAGGCTACATCCTCCCCCAGATGGCTACGATGTTGGAGTCCGTCAGGGCGGTGAGGTAGGTGAAGGAGGCATTGGCCACCACTGTGTTCACCATGGTCTTGGTCACCACCTGGCCAAGGGCCCAGGGCTGGGGCCACTTCAGGATCTGGTGGGGAGAGAGGGGAGGGCTGGGCTGGGCTCCTGCTGACCAAAGGCAGGGCCCCTGATGCCTTGCCAGCCCAAGCCTGGGCAGGGTGAGCCGGGCAGTACCTGTGTGGGGGCCTGCAGGGCTGCCGGCAGCAGGGGTGGCTGCTTCAGGATGTTGCTGACGTCGTAGAGCCACACGTTGCCCTCCTCATCCCCACAGAGCACAATCCCCTTATCTGCCGGGACAGAGGTGGAGTCTGAGTGGGGGCAGAGCTCCCGGAAGCCCGCGGGATGGGGCGGGCAGGGGGGCAGGCTCACCAGGGCAGGCGCTGAGCGAGAAGTAGGCCAACTCGGTGGACGACCATTGCAGCCGCGCCAGGACCACCACTGCCACCGTGGACTGGCTGCCCCGGCCCCCCCACGTCTGCCTCCAGCTCCACAGGCAGATGGTGCCCAGGCCGCTCCCCTTGGAGGCTGTGGGGGAGAAGGGAGAGCTGTGCAGGGTGGCCCCTCCCAGACACCTTCTCCCACTAGAGATCCTCAGAAGCCTAGCCCAGGGACAAGCGGTCCATCTGTGTGCCCGGAGGCCAGGCTGTCCCACAAGCTGAGCTCACTCACCCACGATGTCCTCATTCACAAATGCCAGCCCATCCACTCTCCGTCCAGATGCCTCGGAGCCCTCAGAGAAGACGAATTCCACTTCACACACCCTGTGGGGCAGCACGAGATGCTAGTTGGCCATTCCTTGCAGATAGAGAGCTGCCCACTCACCCAGGCATCTGCAGCGCACCTGCTGGGGACCCTGCCCTGTGTGAAGGCTGCACAGAAGATGCCACCAAAGAGATACATTCTTGGCCCCAGGAAGGTTCAGTTTGCCCTGGAAGGGGGAGCCAGCACCTGAGTGTCCCGAGTCACAGTAGTGACCCAGAGGCACGAGGGGTGGCTCTTCCAGGACGGGGCTAGGCCAGGGGGTTGGATAAGGCTCTGAAGCGAGCCAGTGCCTCTGGGACCGAGTGTGAGATGAACAGGGGCCTCCTGGCAGCCAAGTAGAGCAGGTGTTTCCAGGCCATGGCCCAGGGGGCTGTTGGGGGCATCTGCTCTGACTCAAAAGACGGGGGAATGGGGGGCCATGGCCCAGGGGGCTGTTGGGGGCATCTGCTCTGACTCAAAAGACGGGGGAATGGGGGAATGAGGGAATGGCTGCTGCATGGTTCAGAGCTGAGAGTGTGTGGGAGTGTCTGCTTGGAGAAGTGTCCCGGCAGCTACCTGACTCTCGGAGGCTAGCCTGGAGCCAGGAGAGTGGCCCAGCAGCTAACCATGGGCCAGGCCTGAGCCAGTTGGGCAGAGGGTAAGAGAAGAAGCATCTTAGACACAGGGACCAGACATACGGGCAGGGAGGGAGGCGGCGGCCCAGGGGCTGCTGGTGAGAAAGAGAAGCCCATAACTACCGCCGCCACCACCTCTGCCGCCAAGGCCCCTGCTGCTCCTTTCAACACAGCAGCTGCTGTGTCGAAGCTCCTCCTGGGCTGTTTGTTGTAGGTAAGCTAAAAATCCAAATCTTGGCCCAGGGCAGTGGCTCACACCTGTAATCCCAGCACTTTGGGAGGCTGAGGTGGGTGGATCACCTGAAGTCAGGAGCTCGAGACCAGCCTGGCCAACACGGTGAAACCCCGTCTCTATTAAAAAGACAAAAGTCAGCTGGGTGCAATGGCTCACATCTGTAATCCTGGCACTTTGGGAGGCTGAGGCGGGTGGATCACCTGAGGTCAGGAGTTCGAGACCAGCCTGGCCAACATGGTGAAACCCCATCTCTATTAAAATACAAAAATAAGCCAGGCGTGTTGGCGTGCACCTGTAATTCCAGCTACTTGGGAGGCTGAGGCAGAAGAATTGCTTGAACCCGGTGGGGGGGTGGAAATTGCAGTGAGCCGAGATCGTGTCATTGCACTCCAGCCTGGGCAACAAGAGTGAAACTCCATCTCAAAGAAAAGAAAATTAGCCGGGCATGGTGGCGTGCGCCTGTAATCCCAGCTACTCGGGAGGCTGAGGCAGGAGGATCACTTGGAACCTGGCGGCAGAGGTTGCAGTGAGCCGAGATCGAGCCACTGTACTCCAGCCTGGGTGACAAGAGGGAGACTCTATCTCAAATAAAAAGTAAATAAATAGAAATGCAAAGCTTACCGTGGCTGACGAAGCCCGGCGTGCCCCGCCCAGGCACCCTTGCCACCTTGTTCTGGGCTGGGTCCACCCAGCTGTGGCCACATGGTGGAGCAGGCCAGCTGGCTCCCCTGCCACTGACCTTTGCACGTACCATTTCCTCCATGCAAGCACCTCCCCACCCTCCGCCCGCTGACTCCCTCACCAGGCTCCCAGGGAGGAAAGCGTGAGCCCCAGAATATCCATCTGCCGCTGGTCACCTCAGCAGAGTCCCCTGAGGCCCCCACGCTAGTGTCCCTCTGCCCGTTACTCTTTTTCCGTCTCCTTCGTAGCTGGCATCACACTGTGGGATTTTGATTGGCCACCTTTGCTGAGCATCTGTCTTCCCCAGTAGGCTGGGGGCCCCAAGAGGACAGGGACCCCTTGCCAAGCCCTGTCTCAGAGGCCTTCCAGGTGGGACAGATGAGCCAGAAAGCCTCAACGTGGCACTTCCAAAGCCTGCCTGCCCAGACACCACCTCACCTGCCCTCCGCTAGCCATCGGCCCCTCTTTACAGATGAGGACATTATGCCAGCACAGAGGACCATCACACTGCTGATGAGTGGCAGGAGTGGGCTGGATCACGTGGGCACAGCATGGTGCTGAAGCCCCAGGTGAAGGGGAGGTCATCATGGCCCAGTCCCACAGCTGAACCCAGGGTGAGAGCAGGGTCAGAGTCCTTTCCTCCAGAGCCTGGCAGAAAGGTGGGACAAGCCAGCTCTGCGAAGAGGCCTCTAAAAACAACCCTTATGGTTACCCGGGTGTGCCCAGGCTGCTGTGAGCCCATCTGGGCCAACAGCCACCCTCTGCAGAGGCCTGGCTTCCAAGGCGCCCCCTGCCCAGCCTCACCTCCTCTTTTGGGGCTGGTCCAGCCGCACGTCCCAGCAGCAGCAGCCGCCCTCGCAGCCGGCCAGCAGGCGGGCGTCCGGGCAGGAGGCGACAGGGCAGAGGCGCAGGGGGATAGAGGTGGTGTCCAGTGTGAGCAGCTGGCTGCCAGTGGGCAAGGGGGAACAGAGCATCAGACCCAGACCGAGGTGTCCCTGCCCCAGCAGCTGGCCACTCCCCAGCCTCACCCGAAGCATCACCTGGCCTGGAATTCGTAGTCCTGGTTGGGCACCCCGATGTCCCAGAGGATGATCCGCTTGTCATAGGAGGCCGCTGAAGAGGGGGTGGGGTAGGGGAGAAGTGGCCCTGAGATGACCCTGCTCCCTCCTGCTGGCTGCATCCCAGGCTGAGCCCACGGTCCCAAGGCCAGCCCCTCCGAGGCGGGGAGGGCGGGCCGAGGCTAGGAGACAGGAACACTCCTGGGCCCCCAATCCCTGTTTCCTCCATCTAACCTGATGCGGTGGCTCCAGCGGCCACTTCCTGTGGCTCATCCATCCCCCTTGACAGGGGCGCCACACCCGGGGGCAGGGGCATCCCCCCAGGTCACTGACAGGGGACAGAGTGGCCCAGGCTGTTGGAAAACTCCGAGGCCACAGAGCAGGCTGTGGATAAAGCCAGGGTTGAAGCGACATGGCTTCCTGCCAAAGCTAGAGTCGGAGCGGTGCAGACTGGGGCCCGGCAGGCGCCCGAGCTCACAGCCATCCCAGGGAGGGGAGCGTGGAGGCTACTGGGGCAGCAGGACAGGGGTGCTTGGGGGTCCCAGGGGTGAAGGGGAGGGGCTTACTGAAGAGATGGGTCTCGTGGGCGGGGCTGAAGCACAGGGTGGCGATGGCCTTCTTGTGGGCTCGGATGACCCCGCAGCAGAAGCCGGCACGCACGTGCAGCAGCCGGACCAGGCCCCGTAGGCCTGCAGCCGCCAGCACACTCCAGCGCTTCTTGTGGCCAGCCTGTGTGACCACCATCAGAGCGGTCCAGGCCACAGAAAAGAACTCCTGGGCGGGGGTTAGAGTAAACAGTCACTGGGGCAGAGCTATTGGTGTGAACACGCGGGTAGCCCGGGCCTGGGGGAGGGAGCCCCAGCATGAAAGAAAAAGGCCATGGGGCAGGGGGCCGAGCCTGCATCCATCCCCATGCTGCTGTTCAGGAGTCAGTCGGGCACCCTTGCCCAGCAGGGACAGGGCCTTGCACTCACCTCGCCGGGTGCCTTGTACTTGTGGAGCACGATGCCCGTCTGGCAATCAATTACGCACACAGCCTCCCCGCCGCACGTGGCCACGGTCTGGGATGTGGCCCCTGAGTGCCCGGTTTTGAGAGGTCGGATGAGCAGAGACATTTCCCATCTAGGTCCTCCCTGCAGCCTCCTCCTCCCAGCCTTGATGGCGCCTTTTAAGCTCTGTCTCCTGATCCCCCACCCATCCAGGCGGCCCTATTTCCAGCGGCCCTTGCCCCGCCTGCCCGCCACCATGTACCCTCCTCCCAGGCCGGCTCGAAGGCACAGGCCCACAGCTGGGTCTCGAGGTCCTGGGGGCTGTTGTTCTTGCTGTGGCACTGCAGGAAGTGCAGGGGCTCCAGCTTCACAGCAGGCTGTGGGGGGAGAGAAGGGTCACAGCTGCCCAGCCCCGACTCATCTGCCACCTGCTCCTTGCCACCTCAGCTCACCTGGCTGCCATCGGAGCCTGCCACAGGGCTGCCCTCCACCTGGGCCGACGGGGAGGCACACGCCCGCTTGCTGGGAGAGAGGCTGAGTGGGACGTCGTCTGGCCGTTTCAAGGCCGCCAGTCTGGCCTGTGGAGGGGGCCTTGTGACCATGGGCCTGTCTGCCTGGGGCTTCCTTCCTCCCCATCACAGGCTGGACCCCACCTCACTGCGGATGCAGGAGGCCCAGGCTGGCCCGGGGTCACCTAGGGAGTGAGCCAGGACCTGGGGTGCTTCCTGGGCACATGCCCAGGACGCCTTGGTCTCCTGAAGCTTCTCCAGGGAGGAGGGACTGGGCTGGCCTCAGAGCCCTGGGAGCTGCACTCACCCTGGGCTTGTGGGCAGCTCCAGCTTCTGGGGGCTTCTCTGGGCTGTTAGCCTTTTGCACCTGGGTCCTACTGGCGGCCACCAGCTCCTCAGAGATCATCCGCACCTGGGTGGGGCCAGGCCATCAGGAAGCTGGGCAGAGTCCCAGGTGCCCCCAGCCCTGCCGATGCATAGTCAGGGGGAGCTTATGCTTCCAGAGTTGGGGAAGGGCCTCTCCAGCCAACAGGGCTGCCCACCCTGACTCACCCCACTCCCACAGCCCCTCAGCCCTTCATGGCCAGGGACCTCCAGGCAGCTAGAGATACGAGAGCCAGTGACTCCCTGCACATTGGGACAGGGACATACCCGCCACTGGGTGAACTCGCTGAGGGACTCGGGCCCGTAGCGGACATCCCTGACAGCCGACTTCACAAAGTCCGCCTGGGCCTTCTCAGCCTCCTCTTCAGGACCCAGTGTGGCCATGAACTTCTCCCAGTGAGCTGTGACCTGGTGCAAGAGGGACCAGATCCAGGCCCGGCCCACCCCAGCTCCTCCGGACCCAGCCCTCCATCTCAGGGAATCTCAATCCCGCCACCTGCTGGAAGCCTCCTGGAATCACAGCCTCATAAAACACACACACACACACACACACACACACACACACACACACACACCCCACACACACCCCAGCAACAACCCAGGTGCCTACACACACACACACACACACCCCAGCAACAACCCAGGTGCCTACACACACACACACACACACACACACCAGCAACAACCCAGGTGCCTATAGTCCCAGCCACTGGGAGGCTGAGGAAGAAGCATCGCTTGAGGCCAGGAGTTGGAGCCTGGGGAACAGAGCAAGATCCCATCTCTACAAAAAATTTTAAAATGATCCAGACGTGGTGGCATGCGCCTAAAGCCCCAGCTATTCAGAAGGCTAAGGCGGGAAGATCGCTTGAGCCCAGGAGTTGGAGGCTGCAGTGAGATACGATCACACCACTGCACTTCAACATGGGCAGCAGAGCGAGACCCTGTCTCTAAAAAAAAAAAAAAAAAAAAAAAAAAAAAAAAAAAAAGGTAAAAAAGAAACACCCCAGAAAAAGCTACTTAGAAGAGTCAGGCCGGGTGTGGTGACTCATACCTGTAATCCCGACACTTTGGGAGGCCAAGGCGGGCAGATCACCTAAGGCCAGGAGTTTGAGGCCAGCCTGGCCAACATGGTGAAACCCTGTCTCTACTAAAAATACAAAAAAAATTAGCTGGGCATGGTGGCAGGTGCTTGTAATCCTAGTTACTCGGGAGGCTGAGGCAGGAAAATCACTTGAACCTGGGAGGCAGAGGTTGCAATGAGCCAAGATCGCATCACTGCACTCCAGCCTGGGCGACGGAGTGAGACTCCATCTCAAAAAATAAATAAATAAATAAAGTAGCACATCAGGCTAGGGGCTGTTGGGGCAAAGAGCCTCTATCAGTCACCCTCCTCAACATCCTCCTGATGTCCAATTCTATCATTCTCCCAATGCCCCCACAGCTCCTAAGCACACAATAATCCTCTCATCCCCTTACCCTGCTGGTCAGCTCCCGATTCAGGTTCTCCACCTGAGAGTAAGTTGAGGACGCATCCTTGCCATTGACCTTACGGAGCGTGGGCAGGAGAAAGGAGACTTTCAGGTTGTCATTGACCTGGGGAAGAGAGGGTGAAGAGCAGTGGCTCAGGAGATGCTGAGCCTGAGCCCAACAGAGTCCTGGCCCCAGGTATGAAGCTGGTGGGAGGCTCCCACTTACCGTCAGGAAGGGGTTGCCCTCCAGGCTGAGTTCCTCGAGCTTGGGGAACTGGCACAAGGCAGTAACATCCCCCAGCTGGTTGTTGGCGCAGCGGAGGACACGCAGGTGGGACAGGCCCAGGTTGTCCGGCAGCGTCTCCAGGTGGTTGTTAGACAGGTCAAGCTCCTGCAGCTGCGTCAGGCGGCACAGGAGTTTGGGGTCCAGGTGCTCGGAAAGCAGCTCCAATCCTGACAGGCTGGAGTTGGGGGCAGAAGGCTTAGGGGGCGGGCAGGCTTTGCACCCTACACCAATCTGCCCCGGGTACCTCAGAAGGCTTTTTCACCTGACATTTCTCGTACAAGTGTAGCCGCCCCGCCCATCCCCCCGTTACTTTATTTTTAGAGACGGGGTGTCACTCAGTCGCCTAGGCGCGATCATAGCTCACAGCTGCCTCCAACTCCTGGGCTGAGGGATCCTCCCGCCTCAGCCTCTCGAGTAGCTGGGACTAGAAGCGCGCGCCACTACTCCCGACTCCACACCACTTAACAAAAAAAAAAAAAAAAAAAAAAAAAAAAAAAAAAAAGCTGCAACTACTTTAGGACTCGGGGGCATCCTAGCCCCCTCTAGGATGCTCTTCCTGATCCTTCGGGGGCTCGTCTGTGCTTCCCAGGCCCTCTAACGATAGCGGCAGGCTGTGCCCCTAACTGTCCGGGCTCCCTTCAGGGGATGAGGCCCCTCGGGGCTCCCGGCGAGCGGGTGGGGCCACGATCTCCCAACAAGAAGACATTTGGACCACTCTGCCGAACCCAGAGGGCGATAACGGGGACAAGCGGGCCGTTGGGGAGGGTCCCCGCTCTTCTCCCCGACCGCCCGGCCCCGAGGACACAGCCTCACCCGCTGCCCGGCTCTTACTCCAGACTCCGGATCTTCCCCAGCCGGTCGCTCTTGGGGCGCCCGCGCTGCATTAGCAGCCGCGCCGAGAGGGGGCCCATGGCGAGGAGGCGCAGCCCGCGCTGACCCAGTCGGCCACCCCGGCGTGTGGCGTCGCCCTGCGTCTCCTGGAGCCCGGCACTGGCGTCCGCGGTAACTGAGCCCAGGAGGCGGCGCCGCGCGAGCCCGTGGGCGTTAACGACCGGAAGGAAGCGGAACCCAGGCCTCGTGCCCCCGCCCGGCGCGGACTACAACTCCCAGCGGCCCCCACGGCCGCGCCTGCGCACTGGCCACGCGGACGGCGCGATGGCGGCGGCTGCCGCCGAGACCCCCGAAGTCCTTCGGGAATGCGGTTGCAAGGGCATCCGGACCTGTCTGATCTGCGAGCGGCAGCGCGGCAGTGACCCGCCCTGGGAGCTGCCCCCAGCGGTAAGGGGTGGGAGAGGGGCCGCGCCCACAAACGTCGCTCTGCATCTGGGGAAACTGAGGTCCAGCTTGGCCATGATAGGGGCCGGGATCGAAGCCTGTGAGGGACCCTTACGGTAGGGGTGATGCAGGGTGAGGAGATGAGGGCTTTAAGGAGCGGGCTTGGGAGTGGGGAAGGAGCTGGAACGTGGGTGGGTTCGATTACAGGTCACCTCGGGGACTCTGGGGGGATCTGCCTGTAAACCTCGACGTAGCCTCTCGGGTCTGGCGCTGGGAGCTTCACGGGCCTGCAGGGAGATGACACGGAAAGGGTCGATCGAGGGTGCTGAATACCAGTCCAACGGTGCCTGAAGGCCGTGGACTGCAATGGGCAAGGAGACAGTGAATTCCAGTTAACTAACGAAAAGGAACTCAAGGATCGCTGCAACCCAGGAGCTGGAGGCTGCAGTGAGCTATGATCGAGCCACCTCACTTCAGCCTGGGCGACAGAGCGAGACTCTGTCTCACAAAAAGAAAATAAATAAAAAAAGAAAAAGAACTCAGCGCCTTTGGGCTGGCATGGAAGGACTGTGGTTGGTTGCAAGGGCATTCCAACCCAGAAAACTGCGTGGGGTAGGAAGGTGGATTGGTGATGCCTCAGGTGAGAGAGATGAGGCTGGAGAGGTTGTGGGGGGGGGGAGGTCTGATCACAGATGCTCCCCGGTGCATCAGCTGAGCAGGCTGGACTTGTCCCAAAGGCCCTGGAGAGCTCTTGAAGGGTTTTAAAGGAGTGATGAAGTCAAATGTGAATTTTAGAAAGATCCTGGGAAGGGAACGGGCAGATATGAAGGTGTGGAGGCTGGTAAGCCAGTGAAGACTGCCCCAACGTCCATGGTAAAAGTGCCCAAGGTCCTATGGAAACAGCATGGCATGCCTCATGAATTAAACATAGAATTACCCATGATCCGCAATCCTGCTTCTGGGTATATATCCAAAGGAACTAAAAGCAGGGTCTGGAAGAGATATTTGCACACCCATGTTCATATTCACGACATTATTCATGACAGCCCAAAGATGGAAGCAAACCAAGCATCTATCAAGATACCTGGGCCGGGTTCAGTGGCTCACGCCTGTAATCCCAGCACTTTGGGAGGCTGAGGTGGGCAGATCACCTGAGGTCAGGAGTTTGAGACCTGCCTGGCTAACATGGCGAAACCCTGCCTCTACTAAAATTACAAAAACTTGCCGGGCTTGGTGAGGCACATCTGTAATCCCAGCTACTCGGGAGGCTGAGGCAGGAGAATCGCTTGAACCCAGGAGGCAGAGGTTGCAGTGAGCCAAGATCGCACCACTGCACTCCAGCTCAGGTGACAGAGCAAGACTCCTTCTCAAAAAAAAAAAAAAAAAAAAAAAAAGAGATGACTTGATCCACAAAATGTGGTGCATACACATAGTAGAATACTATTCAGCCTTAAAAAGGAAGGACAGGCCGGGCACAGTGGCTCACACCTGTAATTCCAGCACTTTGGGAGACCGAGGCAGGCAGATTGCCAGAGCCCAGGAGTTTGAGACCAGCATGGGCAACATGGTGAAATCCCACCTCTACAAAAAAATTAACCATACATGGTGACACGTACCTGTAGTCCCAGCTACCCAGGAGGCTGAGGTGGGAGGGTTGCTTGAGCCTGGGAGGTCAAGGCTGCAGTGAGCTGTGATCACGCCACTGCACTCCAGCTTGGGCAACATAGTGAGACCCTGTCTCAAAAAAAAAAAAAAAAAAAAGGACATTTTGACATATGTTACAGCATGGACGAACCTTGGGGACACGATGCTAAGTTAAGGAAGCAGTCACAGAAGACAAATACTGCATGATTCCTGTTGTGTGAGCTACGTAGGGTAGTCACAGGGACAGAAAGTAGAAGGGTTGTTGCCAAGGGCTCAGGAAGGGGAGATGGGGACCTGTTGTTTAATAGGGAAAGAGTTTCAGTTTTGCAAGATGAAAAAGTTCTGAATGGTGGTGACGGCTGTACAACAATATGAATGAACTTAAGAGTTTTAATTTGTGGAAGGGGCCAGGTGCGGTGGCTCATGCCTATAATCCCAGCCCTTTGGGAGGCTGAGGCAGGAGGCTCGCCTGAGTCTAGGAGTTTGAGACCAGCTTGGACAACATAGCAAGACCCTGTCTCTACAAAAAATTTAAAAATTAGCTAGGTGTGGTGGTGTGTGCTTGTAGTCCCAGTTACTTGGGAGGCTGAGGTGGGAGGATTGCCTGAGCCCAGGAGGTCAAGGCTGCAGTGAGCTGTGAGCGCCACTACACTCCAGCCTGAGTGACAGAGCGAGACCCTGCCTCAAACAAAAAAAAAGAAAAGAAAAAAATTGCGGAAAGTCTGACCCGTTCCAGTGGCCATGTGGAGGTGACATCTTCCCAACCCGATGGCTATGGAACAAGGAGAGTGAGGTATCCAGGATCTCAGGGCACTGGGGCAGTTCCTCACTGGCTTTCCAGCCTCCACCCTTCATATCTGCCCCTCCCCCCTCCAGATCTTTCTAAAATTCACATTTGACCTCGTCACTCCTTTAAAACCCTTCAAGAGCGCTCCATGGCCTTTCGGACAAGTCCAGCCTGCTCAGCCGACACACGGGGGACTCCCAGTTTTAATGTTTCCCGTGGGAGGGCCCCAGGAGCAGGAGGAGATAGTGCCAATCTCAGGAGGGGTCTGAGCTGGAGTCGGTGGCTGGAAGTAAAGCATTGGAAGGGGCTGAGGTCCCTGGAGGGAAGAACAGAGAAAGACAGCGGCCCACAGTGAGTGGCAGCCCAGGGTGTGAGGAGCCTGGAGATGGAAGAGGAAGAGGAGACAGGCCACAGAGCCCAGGGCTGAGTTCTGGTGGCCTCCGAAGTCCTCACTGGGTGACTCCGGCCAGAACCTCCACACCTCCTGCCCATGATAGTTATGGTACCTTCCTCTTGGGGCTGTCCTGGGGATGAAACTAGATAATCCATGTAAAATGTTCAGTGCCACAGATGCAAATACTGGCTATTTCATTGGCGAAACTCTTTTTTAAAAATTTACTATTGGCTGGGCATGGTGGTTCACGCCTGTAATCCCAGCACTTTGGGAGGCCAAGGCGGGAGGATCACAAGGTCAGGAGTTCAAGACCATCCTGGTCAACATGGTGAAACCTCGTCTCTACTAAAATACAAGAAAAAAATTAGCTGGGCATGGTGGCGCGCACCTGTAGTCCCAGCTACTCGGGAGGTTGAGGCAGGAGAATCGCTTGAACCCAGGAGGTAGAGGTTGCAGTGAGCCGAGATCGTGCCACTGCACTCCAGTTCTGGTGACAGAGCGAGACTCCATCTCAAACAAACAAACAAACAAACAAAAAGTATTATTATTATTTTCAAGATGGGGTCTCACTGTGTCACCCAGGCTGGTGTCCACTAGCACGATCTTGGCTCACTGCAATCTCCACCTCCCGGGTTCAAGGGATTCTCCTGCCTCAGCCACCTGAGTAGCTGGGATTACAGGCATGCACCACGACGCCCGGCTAGTTTTTGTATTTTTAATAGAGACGGGGTTTTGCCATGTTGGCCAGGCTGGTCTTGAACTCCTGACCCCAGGTGATCAGTCCACCTTGGCCTCCCAAAGTGTTGGGATTACAGGTGTGAGCCACCGTGCCTGGCCTGGTTTCTAGACTTTCTTTAGCATGGGGGAACCCTTAGAGTACCGCCAGGCCTCGGGGTTGGTGGCAGAGCAGAGAGGGACATGGGGTGGGAGTTGAGTGACAGCCCAGGGTATGAGGATTGAGGGGTGATGCTGGGTCTGGAAAGGTGCCCTGAGGACAAGAGTGAGGAGAAGGGAGGTTGGGACACTGAGGAGCTCAACTGAACGCTCAGCTCTGTAGGGAAGTTGGCTGCCCTCCTAGGTGACCCTCACGCTGGTGATAGGCACGGGCCAACCCCTGGGACACCGGGGTGGCATCAGCAAAGACCTAAAGAGATTAGGGTGCACAGATTCAAGGTAGTCAGGCAGTTTGGGGCCTCCTGGAAGCAGCTGAGGAGATGGGAGTGCAGGAGGTGCTGTCCAGCCTCGGGCTGGTTCCTTAACTTTGCTGAGCCTCCTTTGTAAAATGGAGAAGGAAAAACATGTTGTACAAACCCTTCTCTTTTACAGGGGAGGAAAGTGAGAAAGGAAACCAATCAAATTCGTGTTAGCTCAAGAGGGCTGCGGGCCTTCCCCGGTCAGCCTGGGGCAGAGGCTCTGCCTGCACCTCCCCCTAGACTCCAGCTGCCTTCCACAGTGTCCTGAGGGGAGGAATGAGCCATCAGAGGGTCTCCTGAGGGCACACAAGTGCCAGGGGCTGCCATGGCTCCAGGATGTGTCTTTCCTTTTTTTTTTTTCTTTTTTTTTTTTTGAGACAGGGTCTTGCTTTGTTGTCCAGGCTGGAGTGCAGTAGCGCGACCATGGCTCACTGTAGCCTCAACCTCCTGGGCTCAAATGATCCTCCCGCCTCAGCCTCCTGAGTAGCTGAAATGACAAGTGCGCTCTGCCACACCCGGCTAATTTTTATTTAAACTTTTTTTTTTTTTTTGAGTCTCACTCTGTCGCCCAGGCTGGAGTGCAGTGGTGCCATCTTGGCTCACTGCAACCTCTGCCTTCTGGGTTTAAGCAATTCTCCAGCTTCAGCCTCCTGAGTAGCTGGGATTACAGGCACCTGCCACCATGCCTGGCTAATTTTTGTATTTTTAGTAGAGATGGGGTTTCACCATGTTGGCCAGGCTGGTCTTGAACTCCTGACCTCAGGTGATCCACCCACCTCGGCCTCCCAAAGTGCTGGAATTACAGGCGTGAGCCACCGCACCTGGCCTGTTTTAACTTTTCGTAGGGACCGGGTCTCGCTGTGTTGCCCAGCCTGTGGACTTGTGTTTCTTTTGCAGAAAACATACCGTTTCATTTACTGCTCCGACACCGGCTGGGCCGTGGGCACAGAGGAGTCTGACTTTGAGGGCTGGGCCTTCCCCTTCCCAGGAGTGATGCTGATCGAGGACTTTGTGACCCGGGAGGAAGAAGCCGAGTTGGTGCGGCTCATGGACCGTGACCCCTGGAAGCTCTCCCAGTCTGGACGGAGGAAGCAGGTAGACCGGCCCTGAGCTCATGGGGGTTGCTGGGCTGCGCTGAGGAGACAGCCCTACTGCTGGGGGCCATCCCCCTCCTTGCAGCCACACCCCTCAAACCTCCAGGGTTGGTAGTGGGCGAGTTCCCCAGACCTTGGGGCTGTGGGCAGCCAGACTCGCTGCAGGACGTGTGTCCGATGGGCAGAGGTGCACCTGGGCACCCCATCTCCCTGTGATATGCGCTCCTGGGCTCTCTGCCCCTCTGTAGCTGGCTTGGTGGTGGTGAAGGCACCCCATTCTCCCAAGCTGCAGGCGCCCCCACCTCCCATTGTCACCATCCGTGTCCTGTCTCCTCACACGCATTCCCACCTTCCCCCTCCCCGGGCCCGCCGCTCCCTCCAACTCCTTCCCCACCTGTGTCCAAACATCCCCGGGTGCCCCCTCTCCCTTCATTGTAGGTTTTTTTTTTTTTTTTTTTTGAGACAGAGTCTCGCTCTGCCACCCAGGCTGGAGTACAGTGGCATGACCTGAACTCACTGCAACCTCTGCTTCCCGGGTTCAAGCCATTCTTCTGGCTCAGCCTCCCAAGTAGCTGGGACTACAGGTGCCCACCACCATGCCCAGCTAATTCTTGTACTGTTAGTGGAGACGGGGTTTCACCATGTTGACCAGGCTGGTCTCGAACTCCTGACAAGTGATCCGCCCGCCTCAGCCTCCCAAAGTGCTGGGATTACAGGCGTGAGCCACCGCGCCCAGCCCCATTCTTTTGTGACATCCTGTTGGATGTTGGTACATTTCATTTCCTCATTCATCTGTCGATGGACATTGGCGTTGTTGTCACTTTTTGGCTGTTGTGAACATTTGTGTACAGGTTTTTTTTTTTTTTTTGAGACAGGGTCTCGCTCTGTCGCCCAGACTGGAGTGCAATATGTGATATTGGCTCACCGCAGCCTTGACCCCCCAGGCTCTAGCGATCCTCCTACCTCAGCCTCCTGAGTAGCTGAAACTAAGGCATGTGCCACCAAGCCCAGATAATTATTATTATTATTATTTTGAGACAGGGTGTCTCATTCTGTCTCCCAAGCTGGAGTACGGTGGCTCAGTCTCCACTCACCGCAGCCTCAACCTCCTGAGCTCCAACAGTCCTCTCACCTCAGCCTCCTAAGTAGCTGGAACTAAGGCCTGTGCCACCACATCTGTCTAATTTTTGTTTTGTTACTAGAGACAGAGTTTTGCTGTGTTGCCCAGGCTGGTCTGGAACTCCTGGGCTCAAACGATCCACCTGCCTGGGCCTCCCAAAGTGTTAGGATGATAGGCGTGAGCCACCATGCCCAGCCTAATTTTTAAATTTCTTGTAGAGAGGAGGTCTCACTTTGTTGCCCAGACTGGTCTCAAACTCCTGGCCTCAAGAGCTCCCTCCGCCTCAGCCTTCCAAAGCGCTGGGATTACAGGCATGCACCACCATGCCCGGCCATTTGCTGTCACTTCTGTCTCCTTGAGTCTGCCTCCTCCTGCTTCACCTCCATGAAGCCAGGGGGCTTTTGCTTGCCTGGGTCACTATGACTGAATTCTTCCCACCTAGTCTGTGGTAGACATCTTCGTAAACTCAGACACCTCATGTCCTCTTTGTCTTCATCCTTCAGGACTATGGCCCCAAAGTCAACTTTCGGAAACAGAAGCTAAAGACCGAGGGCTTCTGCGGCCTCCCCAGCTTCAGCCGGGAGGTGGTGCGGAGGATGGGCCTCTACCCGGGGCTGGAGGGCTTCCGGCCCGTCGAGCAGTGCAACCTGGACTACTGCCCCGAGCGGGGCTCTGCCATTGACCCCCACCTGGACGACGCCTGGCTGTGGGGGGAGCGGCTGGTCAGCCTCAACCTCCTGTCCCCCACCGTGCTGTCCATGTGTCGGGAGGCGCCCGGGAGCCTGCTCCTCTGCTCGGCCCCGTCGGCTGCCCCGGAGGCCTTGGTGGACAGCGTGATAGCACCCAGCCGGTCGGTGCTATGCCAGGAGGTGGAGGTGGCCATCCCCTTACCCGCCCGCTCCCTGCTGGTCCTCACCGGGGCGGCACGGCACCAGTGGAAGCATGCCATCCACCGCAGACACATCGAGGCCCGCCGCGTCTGCGTCACTTTCCGGGAGCTGTCGGCTGAGTTTGGCCCTGGAGGGAGGCAGCAAGAGCTGGGCCAGGAACTGCTGCGGATCGCCCTCTCCTTCCAGGGAAGACCCGTGTGAACCGCCTCCTTGGCTCCAGACTTGACTGATCCCGGGATTGAAATGAGGAGCACAGAACAGGGCCTCCTGCAACTCACGGGGTTTCAAGAGAAGATGGCTGACCCCTGATGCTGTGAGCAGTGTGAGCCCTGCCCAGGAGCAGGTTTTGATGGGAACGTACCTCCAGGCAGCCCCCTTCCACCTGGACCGTGGCCACACTTTTTTGGTTATTTAGTTTGTCACAGTCTTGGGGACATGGGATCATTTGAGCTTAAAAAATACTGGGGGCCGGGCACAGTGGCTCACACCTGTAATCCTAACACTTTGGGAGGCTGAGGTGGGCGGATCACTTGATGCCAGGAGTTCGAGACCAGCCTGGCCAACACGGTGAAAACCCGTCTCTACAAAAACTACAAAAATTAGCCGGGTGTGGTGACTCACAGCCGTAATCCCAGCTACTCGGGAGGCTAAGGTGGGAGAATTGCTTGAACCTGGGAGGCGGAGGTTGCAGTGAGCCAAGATCACGCCACTGCACTCCAGCCTCGGTGACAGAGCAAGACTGTTTTGAAAAAAAAAAAAAATGGGAACATTTTAAATGATTTTCACCTTTATTATGCATCTATTTTCATGGGGTTTCCCGATATCTCACTGTCCAGTCCCTTCATTTGGGGAATGTGTTGGATTAGGGAACAGGGTTGAAGATTTGAAGTTTAGACTAAAGAGCTGGGAACAGCTTCAGAGTCAGGCTCAGCCTGACTCATGCTTGACACCCCCACGCCCAGGGAGGGTTGGGGGATGTGAGGAGGGCAGGGAAATCTGAGAGCCTCCTTCCAGCCCCATAACGCTGTTAACAAGTAGGAAAAATTAAAGCTCCCGGCCAGGCGCGGTGACTCACACCTGTAATCCGAGTACTTTGCGGGGCTCAGGTGGGAGGATTGCTTGAGGCCAGCCTGGGCAACATAGTGAGACCCCCATCTCTACAAAAAATACAAACATTAGCTGGGCGTCTGGGCATGGTGGCACACACCTGTAGTCCCAGCTACTCGAAAGGCTGAGGCGGGAGGATGGCTTTACCACCATGTCAAGGCTGCAGTGAGCTCATGATCATACCACTGCACTTAACTTGGCAACAGAGCAAGACCCTGTCCCTAAAATAAATAAAAGGAAAACAAAAAAAGCTCCTCACCTCCCACTACACCAGGAGGCTATTCCTTTGTGATGGGGCTGTGGTGGGGGCGCTTACCTGGATGGGGGAGCTGCTCTGCTGTTCCTGTGGCTGGGTGCGGGGCAGGCTGTGGAGGCTGAGGGGGTGGCCTGGACCCATGTGGCCAGCCCTCTCTCCCACCACTATGGGACAAAATGTTCAGTTCCTCACCACCTGCTGGGAACTAAATCCAGGGGAACAGGAAAGGTTCGGGGCCAGCACCACTCTTTACAGTCACCCCCAGAACCCTCTGGGAGCTGTCAGATGGCAGAGCCGTGCACTGTCTGTAAAGCAGCATCCCAGCCACTGAGCTCCCAGGAGGGCTGAAGAGCCCCGCATAGACCCAGGGGAAAGGCTGATGGGTTTCTAGTGGCTGTGAGAGCCCAGCCGCTAGGTGGGAGGACGTGGCTCCCAGGCCACCTTAACTTCGGCTCCCTGGTCAACTCACTTGGAGCAAGAGCACAGAGCCCGGCTTCCTCCCAGTATCACGGCCCCAACGGGCCCCTCACTGCGCATCCAGATGTGAGTCAGGTCGGAGCTCCAGCTGATCCTCACTGCACTGGAGCAGATAAGCCAGCCCAGGGGTCCACTCTCGAGGGGGCCAGTGCAGGGTCTCTGCCCCTGACAGGCTGGGCTGGCCCCTGCAGGATGCTCCAACATCTGGAGAACGATGCACATAGAGACTTGGAGGGGAGAGGCCTCGTGAGGCTTGGGGATGCTGTGGAGCAAAGAAATCTCCCTCCCTGGGGTCCTTCCATGCTGGCCCTTCCAGCACTCCTGCAGAGCACACTTTAGGAAACTCCATTACCTGTTAAGTTTGTGATACCAGAGTTGGGTCTGTCCTTGAAGCTGTGACACGAAGACCCACGGCGACACCTTACCCAACCAGGATGGGGCTGGAGAAGGCCACGCCAGGATGCTTCTGCCACAGCCTGGCCCCCGTACACGGCCCCATAGCCTCGTATGTTTCCTTTTTCTTTTCCTTTCTTTCTCTTCCTTTCTCTTTCTTTTTTCTTTCTTTCAGGCGGCGGGGCAGGGTCTTGCTCTGTTGCCCAGGCTGGAGTGCAGTGGCGCAATCATGGCTCACTGCAGCCTTGAACTCCTGGGCTCAAGTGATCCTCCCCCTCAGCCTCCCCAGTAGCTGGAACTACAGGCGTGTGCCACCATACCCAGCTAATTGTTTTGTTTTGATTTTTAGTGGAGATAGAGTCTTGCTATGTTGCCCAGGCTGGTCTCAAACTCCTGGGCTCAAGCGATCCTCCCGCCTCAGCCTCCCAAAGCGCTGGGAATAACGGGTGTGAGCCCCTCTGCCCAGCCTGCCCCATGTGTTTCTGCAGGGCTGGGCCCCAGGAGCCACCGCCTGCAGGGTAACATCTGCTTACCGGTGTTTGGGGTGGCCATTTCCGCATCCATCAGACACTTTCCTCAGCAGACCAGGCTGCCCACTCTCATGCTCTTGGAGCTTCAAGCAAGGGGATGGTGAGGCATGGGACTGGGACACGCCCAAATAGGGAAGTGCCCGCTCCAAGGGCGGCTTCTGGAGACATCCCGCTCCAGAGCAGGCCCAGCGGGGGCTCAGCTGACATCCCTCAGCCGCTTCAGAAAGATGTTCAGGAAACACCGTTGCCTGTTTGCTCAGAGTGGCAGGTGGTGAGGCCGAGTCTGGTCCTCCCTCACAGGCAGGGACAGGAGCCAAGCTCCATGCAAAGCCCATTCTCTGGGGTTATTCCTGCCTCGATTTGTGTTAAGCCAGCCTGTCCCCCATCCCACAGTACCCATGGGTGGGTGGGCCGCAGACGGGCTGTGAAAGGGGTTGAGACGTGGTCTCACTCATTTTACCCAGGCTGGAGTGCAGTGGCACAATCTTGGCTCACTGCAGTCTCAACCTCCCTGGGCTCAGATGATTCTCCCACCTCAGCCTCCCCAGTAGCTGGGACTATAGGCACGAGCCACCAAGCCCGGGTAATTTTTGTATTTTTGTAGAGACAGGGTCTCGTAATGTTGCCCAGGCTGGTCTCGAACTCCTTGGCTCAAGCGATCCGCCCACCTCAGCCTCCCAAAGTGCTGGGATTATAGGTGTGAGCTACAGGTTGGCAGGTTCTACATGGGTTTCGGCTCCTGTGTGGGCCTTGCCCTCCTGGGCCCCACCAGGGCTCTGCAGCATCTGAGGCAAAAAGTCTTGGGCCGGACGAGGTGGCTCACGCCTATAATCCCAGCACTTTGGGAGGCTGAGGCAGGAGGATCACTTGAGGTCAGGAGTTCAAGACCAGCCTGGCCAACATGGCAAAACCCCGTCTCTACTAAAAATACAAAAATTAGCCAGGCGTGATGGTGGGCGCCTGTAATCCTAGCTACTCAGGAGGCTGAGGCAGGAGAATCACTTGAGCCCGGGAGGCGGAGGTTACAGTGAGCCAAGATCACACCATTGCAGTCCAGCCTGGACGACAGAGTGAGACTCTATCTGGGAAAAAAAAAGTCTGCGTCGATGATCTGCTGGGTGTGGAGTGGGTCCTTCAATGCCAGTGACTTGTGTCCTGCCCTTGACAGGGGTGGGGCAGATTTTCCCTTTAAGGAAACTGCAGCCTCCACCGGAAGTGCAGTCTTTCTCGAGGCTTGTGGGCTTGCTGGCCTGGGGCTCGGTACTGAGGCCACTGCCCAGCCCAAGGGGCAGCCTGGCTTCTCAGGATTGGCAGAACCAAGGCACTGCCCTAGACGCTTTCCATGGAGTGGTGCCAGTTGCTTGGCACACCTGATTCCTAGCAGCCTCTAGGGTGAAGTGCCAGAGTTAAAAATATTAACAAGGCCTGGCACGGTGGCTCATGCCTGTAATCCAGCACTTTAGGAGGCTGAGGCCAGCGGATCACTTGAGGCCAGGAGTTCGAAACCAGCCTGGCCAGTGTGATGAAACTCAGTCTCTATTAAAAATGCAAAAAGAAAGGCTGGGTGTGGTGGCTCACACCTGTAACCCCAGCACTTTGGGAGGCTGAGGCAGGCGGATCATCTGAGGTCGGGAGTTCGAGACCAGCTTGGCTAACATGGAGAAACCCCATCTCTACTAAAAATACAAAAATAAGCCAGGTGTGGTGGCGCATGCCTGTAATCCCAGCTACTTGGGAGGCTGAGGCAAGATAATTGCTTGAACCTGGGAGGCGGAGGTTGCGGTGAGCTGAGATCGTGCCACTGCACTCCAGCCTGGGCAACAAGAGCGAAACTCTATCTCAAAAACCAACGACAACAACAAAAATTAGCAGGGCATGGTGGTGGTGCATGCCTGTAGTCCCAGCTTGGCAGAAGAATTGCTTGAACCTGGGAAGTGGAGGTTGCAGCGAGCTGAGATCACGCCACTGCACTCCAGCCTGGGAGACAGAGAGAGACTGTTTCAAAAAAACAAAACAAAACAAAACAAAACAAACAGAAATTCTTTCCTAGAAGAGGGCCTCTACCTCAGTGGCCGACAAAAAACAGAATGGGCCAGGCATGGTGGCTCGCACCTGTAATCCCAGCACTTTGGGAGGCCAAGGCAGGAGGGTCGCTTGAGGCCAGAAGTTCAAGACCAGACTGGGCAACATAGCAAGATCCCATCTCTACAAAAAAAACATTAGCTGGGCATGGTAGTGTGCGCCCGTAGTCTCCCAAGTGTAGCTACTTGGGAGACTGAGGTGGGAGGATTGCTTGCGCCCAGAAGCTGGAGCCTGCAGAGAGCTATGATTGCACCACTGCACTCCAGCTCTGGCCTGGGCAATAGAGCCCAACCCTGTCTCTAAAATAAATCTATAAACATAAGCTGGGCAAGCTGGCTCACACCTGTAATCCCAGCACTTTGGGAGGCCGAGGTGGGCAGATCACGAGGTCATGAGTTGGAGACCAGCCTGGCCAACATGGTGAAACCCCCGTCTCTACTAAAAATACAAAAATTAGCCAAGCATGGTGGTGCGTGCCTGTAATCCCAGCTACTTGGGAGGCTGAGGCACAAGATCGCTTGAACCTGGGAGGAGGAGGTTGCAGTGAGCCAAGATCATGCCACCGCATTCCAGCTTGGGTGACAGAGCGACTCTGTCTCAAAAAAAAAAAAAAGGCTGTCTGGTGCTTCCTTAGCAGTGCCACCAGCCCGCAGGAGGGACCCACCTGTTCCTGCTGCCCCACAGGGACTTGGGGCTGGAGAATGTCCTGAGGTGACCAGTGCTCTGGTAGCTCCTCTCCTCAAGGGACTGGGGGGAACGCCAAGCTGACCCTGTCCAGGTGGGCTCTGTTGTCGCTCAGCCACCCTCTGGGGCTGCCCCTTCTTTTGTTTCTGGAAAGAGAGGGCCCTGTCTGGGAGGGGAAGCGCCAGGCAGAGGCACCCTGCGCTCTCGGGGCGGAGCCCCATGGCGGCGTGTCTGGACATGAGTACCCTGCCTCCATTCTAGAGATGTCCACGCCCCCTTGCCGGGGCAGCCTGGGAGGACACTGGCCAGTGACCAGCGACAGGAGGCCAGAGGGCGCTCCAGGAGTTTTTCAGGCCACGATGTGGGTCCCCCAGTCAGCAGATGCCACGGGAGGGCCAGGGGCTGCAATTTATCCCCTCTGCCCACAGCATCCCCCAAGAACAGAAAGACTTTGAATAGCATCACTGGTTTATTCCGTTTCATCCAGGGCAGCTGTTTTAAAAACCCGCACACAGGACAGTGGCTGTCTCTGCCGCACGTGATCTACATAACGCCATGCATAGATCATCAGCACGAGGCAGGTAAGGGCTGCAGCTGAGTCAGGATCCACTCAGGCTTACGTGGTCTGGTCCTCAGCAGACCCTTCCTAGAAGACACGAAAACACATTCCGCCTTCCAAGTTTCTAAACCAGAAACACCTGCGTTTTGAAACAGGTGGTCAGGTACTAAACGGAGAGGGTGTACCACGTGGGAGGGGCCTTGGCATGTCTAGGCACCAGGAAGACTGTGCTCCAAATTAGGATGGGCCCTGGCTGGCTCCCGGGCAAACTGAGGCAGAGGCCCCTGTTCTTTTTTTTTTTTTTTTGAGACAGAGTCTTGCTCTGTTACCCAGGCTGGAGTGCAGTGGCGTGATCTCGGCTCACTGCAACCTCCGCCTCCCGGGTTCACGCCATTCTCCTGCCTCTGCCTCCCGAGCAGCTGGGATTACAGGCGTGTGTCACTACGCCCGGCTAATTTTTGTATTTTTAGTAGAGACAGGGTTTCACCATGTGGGCCAGGCTGGTCTCGAACTCCTGATCTCAGGCGATCCGCCCACCTCTGCCTCCCAAAGTGCTGGGATTACAGATGTGAGCCACCACACCTGGTCTGGAGCCCTCTGTTCTTAAATACTCTTCAAAATCAGGCTAAACCTCCAGAAACCGAATTTCTAGGCTGCAATGGCATTCCTCATCGCCCATGCTGCCCTTCAAGGCGTTTCTGCAGCTCCAACAACAGCTCACCCTCCGTCTCCCCACAGGCTCTGGGGTGACCCTGAGGTTTCCTCTCCCGGCCACCATGGCCCTACCAATGGTCACTGCTATTCCCACAGCAATGGTTTGCCTCATGCCTCGAAACTAGAAAGGCTGGAGCTGGGAGAACGAGAACCCTAGGAGAAAGAGAACAAGAAATTCCAAGACTGTCATCCTCCTAATCAGAGGGCTAGACTTGGATGTGGCTCCGTCCCCACCCATGTGCCACCATCACTGGGCACTTAATACCTGCCTGGATGCTGCCAGGCCAAGAGCTCTGCCTGGGGACCAGGTACAGTAACTGGCCCCCAGATGGCACTGGAGATGCGTTCCACAGTCTGGGGAGTGTGGTACTGCGTGGGCAGGGGCACAGATGGTCCAGGAAGGTAGGTGGCAGGAGAAGGCCCAGCAGGGCCCCTCCCAAAAGACTCAGGCCAGAGTAAGGGCCTGCTGCCTCTCCCAGCCGTGGGGAGCCGTTTGTTTAGGAGAGCCAGCCTGTCTTCTTGACCCAAAGCCACTCCTTGGAGGAACGCTGACATGCTGACATTCTTTTTTCTTTATTTTCTTTTTTTTTTTTTTAGAGACAGGGTCTCACTCTGTCACCCAGGCTGGAGTGCAGTGGTACAATCATATTTTAGCTATTTTTCTTTTTTTTGAGGAGTCACCCTCTGTCGCCCAGGCTGGAGTGCAGTGGCACCATCTTGGCTCACTGCTACCTCTGCCTTCTGGGTTCAAGTGATTCTCCTGCCTCAGCCTCCCAAGTAGCTGGGACTACAGGCGAGCGCCACCACACCCAGCTAATTTTTTGTATTTTTAGTAGACACAGAGTTTCACCATGTTGGCCAGGCTGGTCTCGAACTCCTGACCTCAAGTGATCCACCTGCTTTGGCCTCCCAAAGTGCTGGGATTATAGGCGTGAGCCACTGCGCCCGGCCACTAGCACAGTTATAGTTCACTGCAGCCTCTACTTCCCAGGCTCAAGCAATCCTCCCACCTCAGCCTCCCAAGTAGCTGGAACTACAGGCATGCACCACCACGCCCAGCTAATTTATTTTTATTTATTATTTTTTGAGACAGAGTTTTGCTCTGTTGTCCAGGCTGGAGTGCAGTGGCACGATCTCAGCTCACTGCAACCTCTGCCTCCTGCGTTCAAGCGATTCTCTTGCCTCAGCCTCCTGAGTAGCTGGGATTACAGGTACCCGCCACCATACCCGGCTAATTTTTTGTATTTTTGCTAGAGATGGTTTCACCATGTTGTTGCCGAGGCTGGTCTTAAAGTCCTGATCTCAAGTGATCTGCCTGCCTCGGCCTCCCAGAGTGCTAAGATTACGGGCGCGAGCCATTGCACCCGGCCTGGCTAATTTAAAATAATTTTTTTAGACATGGGGTCTCGCTATGTTGCCCAGGCTGGTCTTGCACCCCTGGGCCCAAGTGATCCTCCCACCTCAGCCTCCCAAAGTGCTGGGATGACAGGCGTGCCCCACCTCGCCTGGCCGATGTTGATATTCTTTAGCAAAGCGAACACATATTAAACCGTAAGAGGCGTTTCTACAGGCTGCAGGAAAGTACATACATGCTGGAGGGCAAAGGTCGCAGACAAATGTCTGCAGGGGACACAAAGGACGAACCCCTCAGAAGACACGGGGCTCTTCTCCGGCCCCCGGGGATGCCACAACTTTCTCGTGGGGACCCTTGGTGTGACTCCCCTAGGGCCCCTCAGCACGGAAAACTGCATGTCAGGGTCTCTGTTCTCTGCTGCAGCCACATTTCCAGAGACCCCAGCCAGGCCACCCAGAATTCCACGGCACGGCCAACCCGGACCCCGGAGAGAGCTTAAGCTTTTACGAGAGATGTGATCAGAGCATGAAGAAGCCCAGTGATTTTTTTTTTTTTTTAGACAAAGTTTCGCTCTTGTTGCCCAGGCTGTAGTGCAATGGCGTGATCTCAGCTCACTGCAACCTCTGCCTCCTGGGTTCAAGTGATTCTCTTGCCTCAGCCTCCTGAGTAGCTGGGACTACAGGTGCCCGCCATCACGCCCGGCTAATTTTTTTTTTTTTTTTGAGATGGAGTCTGGCTCTGTCGCCCAGGCTGGAGTGCAGTGGCGCCATCTCAGCTCACTGCAAGCTCTGCCTCCCGGGTTCACGCCATTGCCATTCTCCCGCCTCAGCCTCCCAAGTAGCTGGGGCTACAGGCGCCCGCCACCACGCCCAGCTAATTTTCTGTATTTTTTTAGTAGAGACAGGGTTTCACCATGTTGGCCAGGCTGGTCTCGAACTCCTGACCTCAAGTGATCCGCCCACCTAGGCCTCCCAAAGTGCTGGGATTACAGGCGTGAGTCACTGCGCCCGGCCCCAGTGACTATTTATGAGAACAAAAGACAAGGCATGGCTGACTCTCCAGGTTACAGCTGGAGAAGAGGGGAAAGGTGTTTGGTTGTACAAGCAGCTCAGGGCAGCTGGTGCTGCGGCGTGCATGTGCGGCCCGAGAGCGTGGCTTCGGGTCTACCAGATGCCTTCAAGGAAAAGGCCAGAACCTGCACTGCACGGCACAGTCACTGTGTGTGGTGGGACCCAGTGTCGGCTGAGAGGCCTGGAGGGGTCTTGCCTCCCTTGTAGTCACTTGGTGTCATAACAAGGAGGGCACTCATTTGGCCTGGGCCGGCCCCTGGCCCCACTATCCACAGGCCAGGCCCGGCCAATGACCTTGCCTAGGCAGGAAGTCCCCCAGGCTGTCCCCTCGCTGCCTAGGGCCATGGGCAAGCTGCACAGGCTCCGGGGCCTGAGCCAGAGCCCCCGCCTCCTGCTGCCACAGCCCAAGGGAGTGGCTGAGTCAGCCTTAGAGGCCATTCTGTGGCCGAGAGCTGGAGGCCAGTGGCTGCGGGGGGTGGGGGAGGGGTCCTTTCCCCACCCCGGTGGCCCCTCTGAGTCCGTGTGGCCAGGGCTCTGGCTGGGAAAAGAGAATTTGAGCCTAGCGTACTTTGCAGCAGCCCTCAAATAACTCAGCCTCCTCAAGGGGGCATCTGATAGATGCCCGTGAACATGTCTTCTCCGGCCTGGCCAGGCTGCCCACCATTGGAAACATCCCCCAGGGCCTGACCCCACTGCCGAGGGCTGCAGCACCCCCCACACCTGCTGGGCTGACGTGTGTCCTGGCTCCTGTCTTCCCCTGAAGCCAGGCCACCCAGCTCCCTCCAGGGCCAGGCAGGGAAGCACCAAGCCCTGGCGTGCACCTGCACCCACTCAAACGCCGAAGCCTTCGTGTCATCACTGTCACACGGGCCACTCAGCACCCATGAAGTCCACCACGGGTCTCTGGGGCAATCCTTCTCTGAACGCAAAACCCTGCCCTGGCTCTCCCAGGTCTGCCAGCCACGCATGCCGGGTCTGAGACTCCCCCGGACCGCTGGGTGCTGCTTGGAGCCCCTCCTGGCCCAGGACTGATGGGCAGGTCCCGCTGGAGCCTCTTCACCGTGTCCCCGACCCAGGAAACCCCGAGGCCAAGGAACCAGCCTGGCTTTGCCCCCAACGCTCTTAGCAACACAGTCCCTCATTGAACCAAACGGTTCTATCTCAGGAGAAGTCATCCAGTCCTTATGGTATTAAGACAAGAGGAAAACTTTGGTCTTGAACTACCCGGCAGCCTTGCAAAATGTCTGCATCTGACAAATCCCCGCCTCTGCGGACTCCCGGGCACAGGGCCGCTCCCAGCCCCGGCCCTCGGCCCCTCACAAGACCTGCAGGCTGCGCTCATGCCCGTCCAGCTGGACCTTGAGCTTGTGGAGCTCCTCGATCTCGCGGTTGTGGCGCTCCGTTTTGTGGCGCACCAGGGAGCGGTAGAAGTGGATGGTGAAGACCACGAAGATGAGGCCCACGGGCACCATGATGATGGTGGACACCAGGGCGGCCTGCCAGCCCGTGTGACTCCCAGGGCCAGGTGGGGGGCCAGGCTGGCGCCGGGCATCCACGGGGAGGAACTTGATCCAGCAGAGCAGCACCACCTCGGCCAGGAAGAGTAGGATGCCAAGCACGGTGGAGAAGCCCCAGGCCAGCTCGATGTAGGGGTGCATGCGCTCATGCGGGGACTCGCTGATGGAGTTCAGGTTGTGGATGTTGCTCACGGCCTCCACATTGGGCAGGATGCAGGTGCTGATGAGGAGGGCGAACAGGTGCACGGCCACCAGCACCGTGGTGCAGGCGCTGAAGGCAATCAGCAGCGGCCGCGGGTACTGGTACTGCGTCTCCAGCTGCACCTCCACCATGGCCACCTGCGGGGACAGCAGACGAGTGGTGCTGGGTGTGGAGAGGGCAAGGTATGGCCCCACCAGGGCCACCTGCCAGGCAGAGCAGGGGCTGGGCCAGGTTCGGGGGACAGGGTAGCCATGGGCTTGCCTGCTGGCAGGACTCACCCATGTTCTGGGCCCTGGAAGACCAGAGGGCAACCTCCTCACTGATCAAATGTTTCACATTTTCCTTTGTTCTAATTATCTAAAGAAGACTGCACTGAGAAAAACATCTCAACAGTACAGAAGAGGCCAGCGTGGTCGCTCACGCCTATAATCCCAGCACTTTGAGAGGCCAAGGCTGGTGGATCACTTGAGGCCAGGAGCTGGAGACCAGCCTGGCCAACATGGTGAAACCCTGTCTCTACTAAAAATACAAAAAGCAGCCGGGCGTGGTGGCAGGCACCTGTAATCCCAGCTACTCGGGAGGCTGAGGCAGGAGAATCACTTGAACCTGGGAGGTGGAGGTTGCAGTGAGGCAAGATTTCACCACTGCACTCCAGCCTGGGTGACACAGTGAGACTCTGTCTCAAAAGAAAACAAGCCACGAAAGTTAAAGAAAGAAAAGAAAGGAAAGAAAGAAAGAGAGAGAAAGAGAAAGAGAGAAAGAAAGAGAGAGAAAGAAAAGAAAAAGAAAGAAGGAAAAGAAAGAAAAGAAAGAGAAAAGGGAGGGAGGGAGGAAGGAAGGAAGGAAACAAAAGAAAGAAGTGAAAAACTGGCTGGGTACAATGGTTCATGCCTGTAATCCCAGTGGTTTGGGAGGTTGAGGCAGGAAGATCACTTGAGGCCAGGAATTCCAGGCTGCTGGGAGCCCCGATTGCACCACTGCACTCCAGCCTGGGGGACAGAAGGAGACCCTGTCTCTATAAAAAATACAAAATTAGCCGGGCATGGTGGCACATGCCTGTAGTCCCAGCTACTGAGGAGACTGAGGTGGGAGGATCGCTTGAACCCGGGAGATAACAGGCTGCAGTGAGCTATGATCACACCACTACACTTCAGCCCGGGTGACAGAGTGAGACCTCGTCTCTACAAAAAAAGGAAACTGACCTTTCAAAAGGTAAAAACTGACCAGGCACGATGATTCATGCCTGTAATCCCAGCACTTTGGGAGGCAGAGGCAGGAGGATCGCTTGAGCCCAGGAGTTTGAGACCAGCCTAGGCAACATAGTGACAGCCCATCTTGACAAAAAAAAAAAACAAAAAACGGAAACTGACCTTTTAAAACAGAACAACTGAAAGTGCGGAGAGTCCCCAGACTCAGAGCTGCACACCTGGATGGCCTCAGACAGACCACATGGTGCCTCCTCAGCAGAGGCCAAAAGCCCAGTGAGAGCCGGCATCTCTAAAGCTCGGGAAAGGTGACGGAAGTGAGGCCGAGGGTGAGGAGGGAAGCTGTGGAAAGGAGGCATGGCTGGGTCTGCTAAGGAAGCAAAATCATCAACCGTAGTCGGAGGCTACAGCAGGTAGAGTCTAAAACGAACAAACCAAGGAACGGCAGGCTCTGCTTGGTGTCTTGAAATGTGAGGTCAGCCAGGCGCGGTGGCTCACACCTATAATCCCAGCACTTTGGGAGGCCGAGGTGGGTGGATCACTTGAGGTCAGGAGTTCAAGACCAGCCTGGCCCGCATGGTGAAACCCCGTCTTTACTAAAAATACAAAAAATTAGCTGGACGTGGTGGTGGGCATCTGTAATCCCAGCTACTCAGGAAGCGGAGGCAGGAGAATCACTTGAACCTAGGAAGCAGAGGTTGCAGTGAATGGAGATCATGCCACTGCACTCCAGCCTAAGTGACAGAGCAGGACTTTGTCTCAAAAAAAAAAAAAAAAAAGAAGAAGCCTGGGGAAGGTTCTTCTACCCACTGTTTCCACTGTTTCCCTCCTAGACCTAAGCCATCCCTGTTTAAAGAAAAAAAAACAACAAAACTCAGGCCAGGTGCGGTGGCTCATGCCTGTAATCCCAGCACTTTAAGAGGCTGGAGGGTGGGGGGCGGGGGGGGGCGGATCACTTGAGGTCAGGAGTTGGAGACCAGCCTGGCCAATATGGCAAAACTCTTTCTCTGTGAAAAATACAAAAATGAACCGGGCATGGTGGCTCGTGCCTGTAATCCCAGCTACTTGGGAGGCTGAGGCAGGAGAATCGCTTGAATCTGGCGGGCAGGGGTTTCAGTGAGCTGAGATCATGCCACTGCACTCCAGCCTGGGAGACAGAGTGAGACCCTGCCACAAAAAAATAAATAAATAAAATAAAATAAAATAAAAAAATAACTCACAAGGCTGGGCCCCGGAGTTAGAGGCTGCAGTGAGCTATGAATGTACCACTGCACCCCAGCCTGGGCAATGGAGCGATATCCTGTCTGGGGAAAAAATAAAGTAAAAGATAAAATAAAATAATATATATGAAGATTTCATAATGTCCTTCAGCAACTGCCACCTCTTAGCAGCTCATTTCTTCACCTCGCTTTCAGTGGTGAGGGAACACTTCCTAGATAAAAGAAGATATGGCCGGGTGCCTGTAATCCCAGCACTTTGGGAGGCCGAGGTGGGCGGATCACCTGAGGTCAGGAGTTCGAGACCAGCCTGACCAACATGGTAAAACCCCATCTCTACTAAAAATACAAAAATTAGCTGGGCGTGGTGGTGGGTGCCTGTAATCCCAACTACTCGGGAGGCTGAGGCAGGAGAATCTCTTGAACCCGGGACGCAAAGGTTGCAGTGAGCCAAGATCGTGCCATTGTGCTCCAGCCTGGGAGACAGAGCGAGACTACATCTCAAAAAAGAAAAAAGAAGACATGGCAGTCCTAGTGGACCAGAGCCGAAAAACAACTCAGCAGTAATACAGTTGGGGCCCTTGTGAAACGTATCCAAAAACCAGTAGCCACGGAACATGGGCTGAGGGGTGGTTTTTCTCAGTGTGGCCCTGGGTTGGCTATGGTCACCTCAAAGGAAATGGCCCAAGTGACAAATATTACAAACCACAGAGGCCTCCAAGACAGGAAATAAAGATGATTATGAGGTAGGGGCAGGGCTTGCAAAAAGTGGTTTTGTTCCACCTTAAAAGGAGAAAAGCGGGCGCCTGTAGTCCCAGCTACTTGGGAGGCTGAGGCAGGAGAATGGCGTGAACCCGGAAGGTGGAGTTTGCAGTGAGCCGAGATCGCGCCACTGCACTCCAGCCTGGGCGACAGACAGCGCAAGATTCCGTCTCAAAAAAAAAAAAAAAAAAGGAGAAAAGGGGCTGAGTGAGGTGGCTCACACCTGTGATCTCAGCACTTTGGGAAGCTGAGGCGGGAGATCACTTAAGCCCAGGAGTTCAAGACCAGCCCAGGCAACAAAACGAGACCCCATCTCTATTAAAAAAAAAAAAAAGAAGAAGAAGAAGAAGAAGAAGAAGAAGAAGAAGAAGAAGAAAAGAGAAGGCAATTTTTCACTGTGTTTATGCAGCATTTTTTAAATTTAAATTAATTTTTTTTTTTTTATTGAGACAGAGTCTTGCTCTGTTGCCCAGGCTGGAGTGCAGTGGCGCTGTCTCGGCTCACTGCAACCTCTGCTTCCCGGGTTCAAGTGATTCTCCTTCCTCAGTCTCCCCAATAGCTGGGACTACAGGCATGCGCCACCACGGCTAATGTTTTTTTTTTTTTTTGAGACGGAGTCTCCCTCTCTGTTGCCCAGGGTGGAGTGCAGTGGCATGTTCTCGGCTCACTCCAACTTCCCCTTTCCGGATTCAAGTGATCCTCCCACTTCAGCCTCCCGAGAAGCTGGGGTTACAGGTGCCAGCCACCACGCCTGGCTAATTTTTGTTTTTTTGTTTTTTGAGACGGAGTCCTGCTCTGCCACCGAGGCTGGAGTGCAGTAGAGCGATCTTGGCTCACTGCAACCTTTGCCTCCCGGGTTCAAGTGATTCTCGTGCCTCAGCCTCCCGAGTAGCTGGGACTACAGGCGTGTGCCACCACGCATGGCTGATCTTTGTATTTTTAGTAGAGATGGGGTTTCACTGTGTTAGCCAGGATGGTCTCCATTTCCTGACCTCGTGATCTGCCCGCCTCGGCCTCCCAAAGTGCTCAGATTACAGGTGTGAGCCACTGCGCCCAGCCTAATTCTTGTATTTTTAGTAGAGACAGTGTTTCACCAGATCGGCCAGGCTGGTCTCCAACTCCTGACCTCAAGTGATCTGCTCACCGTGGCCTCCCAAAGTGCTGGGATTATAGGCATGAACCATGGCGCCCGGCCCTCCTTTTCATATTTTTAGTAGGGACAGGGTTTCCCCATGTTGGCCAGGCTGATCTGGAACTCCTGACCTCAAGTGATCCGCCCACCTCAGCCTCCCAAAGTGCTGGGATTACAGGCGTGAGCCACCCCGCCTGGCCTATGCAGAGGTTTTATGAGGTGGGGCCTTGGATCACTGGTTCTCTGTGTTGGGGGAAGAATACGCATCAAGAACTAAGCTTCAGGTTAGGCATAAGCACGTGTTGCTAGACAAAGGAACAGCTTTGCAATTCTAATGAGGGAAGACACACTATAAAGGGCGAACTCTACCCAGCAATCTGTACCTTTGCCTGTTCCCAGGGCCCTGCCCCGACTCAGCTACAGTTTCTGATGATTTGTATTTGTCACTTATTTTTCCCAGGCTGCCCTGCAGTGTGAAGAACGATCTGACCGGATGGCGCTATGCTAATCTAATCAAGCAGGTGCACTGCGGCTCCCCCAAGGCTCAGCTCCACGCCAGATGGTTCACTTGCTTCCCACTGCAGCTGGTGCTCTGTATCTATGAGTTCCACATCTGCAGATTCAACCAACCGCAGGTCAAAAATACTTGGGGGAAAAAAACAAAATGAAACAACAATATTTCTCCCTTGGTATAAGGTGAAGAAAAAAATAACAATAATTAAAGAAAAAAAAAACCAGCCTGGGCAACATAGCAAGAGCCACCTCTGGTTTTTTTTTTTTCTTTTTTTTTTTTTTGAGATGCAGTCTCGCTCTATGGCCCAGGCTGGAGTGCAGTGATGCAATCTCGGCTCAGTGCAACCTCCGCCTCCCGGGTTCAAGCAATTCTCCGTCTCAGCCTCTGGAGTAGCTGGGATTACAGGCATCTGCCGCCACGTCCAGCTAATTTTTGTATTTTTAGTAGAGACGGGGTGTCACCATGTTGGCCAGGCTGGTCTCGAACTCCTGACCAGGTGATCTGCCCACCTCAGCCTCCCAAAGTGCTGGGATTACAGGCGTGAGCCACCACACCCAGCCAGCTTTTTCTTTTAAATTGCACCATCAATCTAACAATTGAGGCTCCGGCCTACAGAAAAACAATAGAGGCTGGGCACGGTGGCTCCTGCCTGTAATCCCAGCACTTTGGGAGGCCGAGGGTGGCGGATCACCTGAGGTCAGGAGTTCGAGCCCAGCCTGGCCAACATGGTGAAACCCCATCTCTACTAAGAATATCAAAATTAGCTGGGCGTGGTGATGTGTGCCTGTAGTCCCAGCTACTCGAAAGGCTGAGGCAGGAGAATCGCTTGAATCCAGGAGGCAGAGGCTGCAGTGAGCTGAAATCACACCACTGCACTCCAGCCTGGGTGACAGAGCAAGACTCCATCTCAAAACAAAAACAAAAACAAACAAAAAGAAAAACAATAATTGTTTTCACATAAGGAAACAGGCTGGACAAGGTGCAATGCTAGCACTTTGGGAGGCCGAGGTGGGAAAATCACTTGAGAGTTCAAGACTGCAGTGAGCCATGATTGCACCCCCGCACTCCAGCCTAGGCAACAGAGCAGAGAACTTGTCTCTGAAAAAAGAAAAAAAAAATTAGCCAGGCATGGTGGCACGTGCCTATAATTCCAGCTACTCAGGAGACTGAGGCAGGAGGATGGCTTGAGCTCAGGAGGTAGAGGCTGCAGTGAGCCATGATCACACCACCGCCCTCTCCAGCCTGGGCAACAGAGTGGGACCCTGTCTCTAAAAACAAAACAAAAAACAAATAAATCACTTCCACCCAATAGGACCTGTGAGCATACTGTTGTGTCCTCACTGTGAGTCCTTAACCTCTGGGACAATTCCCTCCAGGGGTGTGGGTCAGCGGCTTTGGAGTCAACAGGAGATGGGCCCCTTGTCAGAGCCGCAGCTTTGTCGGAAACTGACTCTTGTCCTAGGGGATGACTCAGAAGGAAGGCGGCCGCTGGGAGCCAGGCCAAAAGCTCTCCTTTGTCACCCTGGAGGCCAGATTCCAGGAACGTCTGCATCGCTAACTGGGCTAAACTGATCCAACCCCAATCAATCTCTGAGGCCCTGCTCAGAGATCCCTGAGAGTTCCAAACTTTTGGGTGGTGCCTGAGACGGGGCAGACATGGGCGCCTTTTCTCAGGAAACCCTGTACCATGCAGCGATTTGATTTGATTTTATCTTTTTAATTAATTAATCTATTTATTTCGAGACAAAGTCTCACTCTTGACCAGCTGGAGTATAGTGGCGTGACCTTGGCTCACTGCAACCTCCGGCCTCCCAGGTTCAAGCGATTCTTGTGTCTCAGCCTCCCAAGTAGCTGGGATTACAGGCGCCTGCTACCATACCCAGCTAATTTTTTTGTACTTTTAGTAGAGACGGTGTTTCACCATGTTGGCCAGGCTGGTCTCGAACTCCTGATCTCAAGTGATCCACTCACCTCGGCCTCCCAAAGTGTTAGGATTACAGGTGTGAGCCAACACGCCTGGCCAAAATAAATAAATAAATTTTATTTTTTCTTTTTAGAGATGGGGTCTCACTCTGACGTCCAGGCTGGAGTGCAGTCGTGTGGACATAACTCATTGAGGCCTCCACCTCCTGGACTCAAGTGATCCTCCTGCCTCAGCCTCCCAAGTAGCTGGGGCTATAGGTGCACGCCACCACGTCCGGCTAATTATTTATTTTATTTTTGTAAAGACAGGGGTCTCCCTGTGTTGCCCAGGCTGGTCTCAAACTCCTGGCCTCAAGCTATCCTCCCACCTTGGCCTCCCAAAGTGCTGGGATTACAGGTGTGAGTCACAGAACCTGAGCTACTATAATTACCCCGCACCAACCTCCCTCCTTGCTAAGCAAATACTTGATGTGAACAGGACAAAGTGGGCTTTCTGAAGATTCTAGAGCTGGGAGCCCCTGGCAACTCCCAGCGCCCCCACTCGCACTGATAGAGTCGTCCTCTTAGAGCAGCTGGGACGTGGGTGGATGCTTCCTACTGGTCCATCCTGGCTGCCAGAGACTGGAGGGAAGGCTCTGGTCCCTGAGGCATCCCGGGACCTCAGTTAGCAAAGCCCATCTGACCAGTGTGCTCCTCACTTGGCGCCCACACTCACCATGGCAAAGCCGGAGAGGAGGGCGGAGGTCCTGCTGGAGGCCTTCAGCTTGGCCCTGCTCAGGTAGAGCTTCCGCCACGACAGGGCCTGTACCGAGTGGTGGTTAGAGGTGACCAGTTCCAGGTAGCTGCGGCGGACCCAGTCCCGGTAATCCATGCCCTTATGGCCGGGCTCAGGGCAGGCAGGAGCAGAGGGGTCGATAGGCACGTTAAGCTCAGCACTCATGGTGGGAGCCAGGCTAAGGGTGGGAGAGAGACATGCTCAGACATCCTAGGTTACTGCGGCCTGGAAGAGCTAGACTCCAAGCCCATTCAACCTACAGAGGCTGCCATATACAGCCCACGCCAGAGCCCAGGGGTTTAGAAAGTGCCCAGGACCTAAAGTTATGTTTCTTTGTTTGTTTGTTTTTGAGACAGTGTCTCACTCTGTCGTCCAGGCTGGAGTGCAGTGGGGCAATCTCACCTCATTGGAAACTCCAGCTCCTAGGTTCAAGCAATTCTCCTGCTTCAGTCTCCTGAGTAGCTGGGATTATGTGTCCGCCACCACGCCTGGCTAATTTTTGTATTTTTAGTAGAGACGGGGTTTCATCATGTTGGCCAGGCTGGTCTCGAACTCCTGACCTCAAGTGATCTGCCTGCCTCAGCCTCCCAAACTGCTGGGATTATAGGTATGCGCCACTGCGCCCAGCCTTCCAGGACCTAAAGTTATGAAACCTGGATTTGACTCTACTGTGTGATTCTGAGCATGACAGCTGACCTTTCTGACCTGGCTCTTTCATCGTGAGAATGGGGATATTTCCACCTGTAGGACTTTTTATTTATTTTTATTTTATTTGATTTGATATATTTTTTTGAGACAGTCTCGCCGAGTTGCCCAGGCTGGAGTGCAGTGGTGCAATCTCTGACTCCCGGCTTCAAGCGATTCTCCTGCCTCAGCCTCCCAAGTACCTGGGACTACAGACGCCCGCCACCATAGCTGGCTAATTTTTGTATTCCTAGTAGAGATGGAGTTTCACCATGTTGGCCAGGCTGGTCTCAAACTCCTGACCTCAGGTGATCCACCTGCCTCAGCCTCCCAAAGTGCTGGGATTACAGGTGTGACCCACCGCGTCCAGCCTACTTTTTTTAAAAATAGAGACAGAGTCTCATTCTGTTGCCCAGGCTGGAGTGCAGTGGTACGATCACAGCTCACTGCAGCCTCGAACTCTTAGGTTCAAGGGAAGCTTCTGCCTCAGCCTTCTGAGGAGCTAGGACCATAAGCACAGGACCATGCCTGCTAATGTTTTAATTTTTCCTAGAGACGGGAATCTCACTATATTGCCCAGGCTGGTCTTGAACTCCTAGCCTCAAGTGATCCTCCCTCTTACACCTCCCAAAGTGCTGGGATTACACGTGTGGGCCACTGCACCCGGCCTCACCTCTAGGGCTTTTGAATAAGATAATGCATCTGAAGACGAAAGACTTCTTCCAACATCCAGGTGCCAGCCATGGAATAAACATTTCCAAGTAGCTGCTAGTTTCACAGATCCAACTTACATTTTATTATTTTCTAAATTTATTTATTTTTTGAGACAGAGTCTCGCTCTGTCACCCAGGCTAGAGTGAAGTGGCGCAATTTCGGCTCACTGCAACCTCCGCCTCCTGGGTTGAAGCCGTTCTCCTGCCTCAGCCTCCCGAGTAGCTGGGATTACAGGCATGTGCCACCATGCCTGGCTAATTTTTATATTTTTAGTAGAGACAGGGTTTCGCCATGTTGGCCAGCCTGGTCTTGAACTCCAGAGCTCAGGTGATCTGCCCGTCTCAGCCTCCCAAAGTGATGGGATTACAGGTGTGAGCCACCGCACCTGGCCTTCAACTTAAATTTTGATCAGTACAGTTCACCCTAAGAAAAATATTGGACTTACATAACTAAAGCCACATCCAAGCTACAAGGCAAACTTTTAGCAAGATGAAAAATGAAATCCACCAACTCACATGACCACATTTTAAGGAGAAACAGAAGGCGGAGATGCCTGGACTCACACCTGGTAAACATCTGGTTTGACTAACACGGATTAAACATCAGAAGGACAGATCTGTCAAGATTTGTGAATTTAAACCCAAATCTCCACTAAGTAGGGGATTGGCGGTCGCGTGTGTCCCAAGGAGCTGGGCTGCTCGGCCACACGCCAGGATCCAGTTCTAATTAATCTGCAGGGCGTGCTTCAAGGGCACAGGCATCTTGTGGTTTACTTGACATCAAAAAGAGTGACTTTTCCAGCCTGGCCAACATGGTGAAACCCTGTCTCCACTAAAAATACAAAAATTAGCCAGGTGTGGTGGCGGGCTCCTGTAATCCCGGCTACTCGGGAGGCTGAGGCAAGAGAATCGCTTGAACCCAGAAGGCGGAGGTTGCAGTGAGCCAAGATTGCGCCACTGCACTCCAGCCTGGGTGACAGAGCAGGATTCCGTCTCAAAAAAAGAAAAGAAAAGAAAAAAAAGAAACGAAAAGAGTAACTTCTATGTCCAGGCCCACATAGGCCCCACGGAAAGTCTATGTCAGGCTGTTACACACAGATCCGTGTTTCTAGGTCCCAGGGAGCGTGGCTGGGGTGGACGGGTGGAGTGGGGAGTGCTTAACAGGGTCAGCAGCTGAGGAAATGCCCCAAACTTAGTCCATCCATGCCAGAGTCGAGCCCCCCATAATTGAAAATGCCCCAATTTGGAAATTACGCAGGAAGGTGCTGGAGGTGGAAAACAGTGTCGCCTTTCCCTTTGTTCTCAACAAGGCTACAAAGCCACAGCCTTCCCTGGCCAACAAGACCTCTGGGAACAGTTCTGTGCTATTTCTGCCAGGGGATGCCAATTACCAGGTCATTTATACGAATGCCAACTCAGGCTCTCCATCCCATCTCCTTGCGCACATCCGCAGCCAGCAGCACCGCATCCAAGCACTTCCATCCCTGGGACGTTCCTTCCCTTGGGGAGAATTCAGAGAAACGCTGCAATCCGTAGGTTAGCTCCACATAATAGAAAATGCTGTAATTTGGAAACTGCATTTTTCCTCTCCCCCCACCCCCATAGTTAACAGAATTGAGCATGCAGGTCTGATGACCGCAGTATACAGAGACTGGAGGGGTGAGACGCTAACCTTTGCTCCCTCCGTCCTCCCTCCTCCATCACACAGGTGCTTAGCGCACTTGGTACTTAAAGATCCAAGATGAAAGAGGCCAGAATTCATGGCCTCCCAGTAGGGGAGCAAGGTAAGGGGATGTGGGTCAGGAGCAGTAGCTCACACCTGTCATCTTTGGGAGGCTGAGGTGGGCGGATCACTAGAGGTCAGGAGTTCGAGACTAGCCTGGACAACATGGTGGAAACCTGTCTCTTCTAAAAATACAAAAAGTAACTGGGCATGGTGGTGGGCGCCTGTAATCCCAGCTACTCAGGAGGCTGAGGCAGGAGAATTGCCTGATCCCAGGAGGCGGAGGTTGCAGTGAGCTGAGATCCTACCGCGGCACTCCAGCCTGGGTGACACAGTGAGACTCTGTCTTAAAAAAAAAAAAATAGCTGGGTGTGGTGGCAGAGGTTGCAGTGAGCCAAGAGCACACCACTGCACTCCAGCCTGGGCAACAGAGCGAGACTCCATCTCAAAAAAAAAAAAAAAAAAGAGGGGGGGGCAATCCTCATCCACTGAGCTAAAGGCTTCAATGGAGGGCAGGGAGCAGAGGACTGGCTGCCTCACACCAAGGCCAGGAAAAGGTGCTTGCAGGTAACACCGGGGAGGGGACAGAGCGGCCCTTTGCATGCCAAAGTGCCTCATGCCTGTAATCCCAGTGTTTTGTGAGGCCAAGGTGGGAGGATCACCTGCGGCCAGGAGCTGGAGACCAGCCTAGGCAACAGAGTAAGACGCTGTCTCTAAAAATAATTTTTTTTGACATGGGGTCCTGCTGTGTTACCAAGGCTGGAGTGCAGTGGCACAATCTCAGCTCCCTGCAAATTCTACCTCCCAGGCTCAAGCGATCCTCCCGCCTCAACCACCCGAGTAGCTGGGACTACATGTGTGTGCCACCATACCTGGCTAATTTTTGGTATTTTTGGTAGAGACAGGGTTTTGCTATGTTGGCCAGGCTGGTCTAGAACTCCTGAGCTCAAGTGATCCGCCCACCTTGGCCTCCCAAAGTGCTGAGATTATAGGCATGAACCACTGCGCCTGGCCTCTAAAAAGAATTTTAAAAAAGAGGGACCTTTCCTCAAAGACAAGATGCTGCCTGCATGGAAGGATTCCGAGAGACGGGAAGGCCACTCCAGGTGTACATGTGGGGTGGCTCTCCTTGTCCAGGAGATATGGAGGGAAGACTGGCTGCCACCTGGGGGGTGGAGGGGGCAGGGAGATGTGGGTGGAAGACACTTGGAGCCTGGGGCTGTGGAATGAGCCAGAGGGTCTGGGCAGCATGACTGGGCGTCCAGCCACAGGAGAATGGAAGAAATTGGTGAGTGGAACGGTCTGGGCACTGCTAGATCATTCTGGTTTGGGACCACAGTTCAACCCAGGGAAATGGCTGGCCGACTGGCAGGAGTGGGACGCAAGGGAGAGCCTGGTGGCCTCCAAAGGAAGGAAGGGTGAACAAGAGGGATGCCCCATCAGTAAGGGTGGGCTGGGCTCAGGTCTGAGAGTGGAGGTGAAGAGCTCAGGGCAGTGAGGGCTGAGGGTGGCTTCCTGGGAGCCGCCAGGCCTCCCATGCCCCATCGGTGAGGCCCTGCAGATGTCCCCAGAGTGGGTGGGATTGTGGAGGAAACGATGTCTGTCTGCCTGGAGCTGGGTCTTGAGACAGGTCTCCAGGTCTCGAAGGAGCAGCCCAGGAGGGGGTTCAAATCCATCCTTTATGTTCCCAATGCCAACTGTGTGTGCCAGGCCCGGTGGCCCAGGGGGAGGGACAGAGTCTGGGCCTCACACTGGATCCCAGGCAGGGGGTGGGGTGGGGCAGGATGGAGCCCTGTACTTCTGTCAGGTGGCACAGACCCTAGAGGATGCTCCGGGACTGAACCTTGTGGGGTTGCTTTTTTTTTTTTTTTTTTTTTTTTGCTTTAATGAGCAGTCCGAGAAAACAGGTCTTGTAGAATAACGCGATCCCCTCTCTAGAGATGAGCTTTTCTTCCTGGCTGGCCTACTGGACACATTTCCAGAGGGCGGTCTTGGAGTTTGACTTCCTCTAAGCATCTGGGGCACCGGCAATGGCGAGTGTCTCTCTCCAGCAGGCGCACTGGGAGGGGGCCTCCCAGGGGCGCTAGGCTGCATCCCTGTCCCTCCCCCAGGGACGCCCCGGTGTCCGGAACCGGCTGCGCCGCCGACCCTGATCCTCTGGGCGCCGCACCCCGCCAGGGATCCCGCGGGGTGGAGGTCACCAACCCCGGATGGGTAGTGACCGCGCCCGGGCAGCCTACAGTCGTCCCCTTCCCCGCCGAGCGTCCCCGGTCCAATTCCGGCCCCCCCAGCCGCAGGGACCCCGCTCCCCGCGCCAGGCCCCCGCGCCGCCACACTCACCGGAGCTGCCCTCGCCCCGCCCGGCTCGGCTCCCGCTCGGACTGCGTGGCCGCGTGGCCTGTGGCCCAGTGGCCCGGCCGGGGCGCCGAGCGCGGCCCCCTCCCTCCTTCCGCCGGTCGCGCGGGGTCCCCCGGCCCCGCCTCCACCCCGCCCCCGCGGCCGCCGCAGCCGCTGCCAAGGCAACCAGGCGCCGCCAACACGTGACCCACCCGCGGGAGAGCCGCGGCCACGTCACCCGCCGGGCCGGGAGGGGCGGGGCTGGCGGCGCCTCCTCGGAGAGTGGGGGGGTGGGGGTCCCCGCCTCACCTGGAACCACCCCGGGATCGCGCGAGGGAGAGGAGCAGGGGAGGTGGGAAGACCCCGACCCGCGCGCATCCCTCCTGCCCCAGCTCCTGTCCCCGGCCCCAGCTCTGGGAGTCAAGGCGAGGCCCCCCACCGCCCCATCGGGGGTCCGGCTACCCACAGACCACGAGCTGGGCTTTCCCTGCCCCTGGGTCCGGGCGCAAAAGGGGAGCCCCAGGCTTGGCAGGGTGAGCCTCGGGGGGTGCCCAGCATTGGACGCTGGCTGCGTAGAGGGGCGGGGAGTGGGGACAGGGCGGGCGGGTGCAGGTGGGCAGTGGAGGGGAAAGGAAGGTGGGGAGGGGAGAATCCGTCTGGCCACGCCCGAGTTTTCACAGGATTTTTTTTTTTATTTTTTTGAGACAGGGTCTGGCTCTGTCGCCCAGGCTGGACTGCAGTGGTGCGATCACGGTTCAATGCAGCCTCGAATTCCTGAGCTCGAGTGATCCTCTGCCCTCAGTCACCCAAAGTGCTGAGGCTACATGTAGGCAGGAGCCACCACACCGTGGTAGTTTTTAAAAAATTTGTTTTTGTTTGTTTTTTGAGAGGGAGTTTTGCCCTGTCACCCAGGCTGGAGTGCAGTGGTGCCATCTTGGCTCACTGCAACCCCCGACCCCGGGGTTGAAACGATTCTCCTGTCTCAGCCTCCGAGCTACAGGTGCACGCCACTAGCCTGGCTACTTTTTTGTATGTTTAGTAGAGATGGGGTTTCACCATGTTGGCCGGACTGGTCTTGAACTCCTGACCTCAGGTGATCCTGCCTGCCTCGGCCTCCCAAAGTGCTGGGATGATACATGTGAGCCACTGTGCCCAGCCAAAAAAAAAAAAAAAAATTCTTTTTTTAGAGATAGAGTCTTCCTGTATTGCCCAGACTGGTCTTAAACTCCTGGCCTCAAGCAATCCTCTCTTAGCCTCTCAAAGCACTGGGATTACAGGCATGTGCCACAATGTCCAGCTAATTTTTAAATTTTTTAAAAAAATTGAGATGGGTCTTGCTATGTTGCCTCTGCTGGTCTCGAACTCCTGGGCTCAAGTGATCCTCCCACCTCAGCCTCCCAAAGTGCTGGGCATAGAGGCATGGGCCACCTTGCTTGGCCCCTGCCCAGGGTGTTGGATGGCACCATGAAGAGCTTGCACTGAGCTAATTGGGGGTTGCCACCCAGAGTGCACTGCCACTCACAGACCCAGCGAGACCCCTGGGGTCCCAACTTCAGTGCAGCGTGCTGTCCTTCTCATGCTGTTCGCAGACAGCAGCAAAGAGTTTCTGCTGTGCCCTGGCCCCTTCCACTCCCTACTGCAGGGAGCCTCTCACCTTTAACGGTGAATTCTCTGCGGTTTTACGAGCGAGGCAGTCAAACAGGAGCATTCTTTTCAGGAAGTGCAGCACATGAATAATTCACAGACAGACAAGATGGGTTCCTATCAGCCCGGCGGTGCCAGACGGTCCCTTGGAGTCCTTCCTCCATGCCGGGTAGGCTGCTGCGTGCCCTACATAGGATTTTTCCATCTGTCACAACAGCATTGGACCGTGACACATTTATCCAAACGAAGGAAAAATTCCACTCATGTCAGCCAGCCCACATTTTATGACAATTGGAAGAGTAGATGTTACGGACGCCAGGTTAAATCCATCTACACTTCGAGTTGTCTTTTACAGGCTACTGCTGACAGCCAGAATGAAACCAGGAGGACACTTAGTCTAATAAACCAGGTTTCCCCCTCCGGGTTACTGACCTAAAAGGCAAGTTAGGCCCTAACATGGACATAAGCAAATCCCAGGGTTCCTTACTGGCCCTCCTCCTGCCACCCCCATCAATGGCTATGGGTGAGGGAACATTTGAATTTCAGGGGTAAAGTCCTCAAAAAGCAATCATGTTATGGCTTTCCAACGTGGAGTTCTTGGTAAAATGAATCTCGGTGGCTCATGCCTGTAATCCCAGCACTTTGGGAGGCTGATCACCTGAGGCCTGGAGTTCAAGACCAGCCAGGTCAACTGGTAAAACCCCATATCTACTAAAAATACAAAAATTAGCCAGGCATGGTAGCGCACGCCTGTAGTCCCAGCTACTGGGGAGGCTGAGGCAGAAGAATCGCTTGAACCTGGGAGGCGGAGGTTGCAGTGAGCCAAGATCACACCATTGCACTCCAGCCTGGGCCAGAGAGCAAGACTCTGTCTCAAAACACACACACACACACACACACACAAAACAGGAAGAAAACACTTTGTAAACGCAGTAGTTTGCATCATAGATGAATGTGCTTTCAGCAAAGGAGTCCTTTGCTTGTTGAATTCTCACTCTTGCAGCGACTTCACTCATCCTTGAGAAAGCTTCCTGTGCCCGTTACTGATGCCGCCACCCCACAGGCATATTTATCCAGCATGCCCAGACAGAAGCAAAATGCAAGTTGTAATTGCCAGTGCTTTGCAGAGTTGGTTTCCTAACCAAACACAGAATAGCTTGCTTGCTTGCTTTTCTTTCCCTCCCTCCCTTCCTTTTCTCTTTTCTTTCTCTCCCTTCCTTCCCTCCCTCCCTCACTTCCTTCATTTCTTTCTTTCCCCTCCCTTCCTCCCTTCCCTCCCTTCTCTCCCTTCCCCCCCTTCCTTTCCTTCCTTCGTTCCTTCCTTCCCTCCCTTCTCTCCCTTCCCTCCCTTCCTTTCCTTCCTTCGTTCCTTCCTTCCCTTCCTTCCTTCCTCCCTTTTTCTTTCCTTTCTTTCTCTATCATATTTATGAGACAGAGTCTTGCTCTGTTGCCCAGGCTGGAGTGCAGTGGTGCCATCTTGGCTCACTGTAACCTCCACCTCCTGAGTTCAAGCGATTCTCATGCCTCAGCCTCCCAAGTAACTGGGATTACAGGCACGGGCCACCATGCCTGGCTAATTTTTGTATTTTTAGTAGAGACAGGGTTTCACCATGTTGGTCAGACCAGTCTCGAACTCCTGGCCTCAAGTGATCTGCCGGCCTCAGCCTCCCAAAATGTTGAGATTACTGGGGTGAGCCACCATGCCTGGCCTATAATAGCTCCTTCTTTTTGAGATGGAGTTTCGCTCGTCATTCAGGCTGGAGTGCAATGGCATGATCTTGGCTCACTGCAACCTCCACCTCCCGAGTTCAAGCAATTCTTCTGCCTCAGTCTCCCAAGTAGCTGGGATTACAGGCGCCCACCAAGTTTTTGTATATATTTTTTAGGAGAGATGGGGTGTCGCCATGTTGGCCAGGCTGGTCTCCAACTCCTGACCTCAGCTGATCTGCCTGCCTAAACCCAGAGGATGTTTCAGCTGTCAGCCCTGTCATCGGGGACCCCTCCTTCTACCAGGAAACCCTGTTCCTTGGCTCCAGTGAGTCTGCCTGCTTGTCCCCCCATTTTCTGTCCCCTCGATATGCGATTCTCAGGGTTCTGTCTGGGTCCCTCTCCTCTCTTTGCTCCTCCCTGACTGGTTTCATCTACTCCCATAGTTCCAAGGACCAGGGCAGCCTGACAACCCCATCATCACCTTCAGCCTTGATCTCTCTTCCCAGCACATATGCCTAGGGCCCTCCACTTTACCAGGCCCACAGCCGAATCTGTCATCTTCCCTCGCATTCCTGCCCCACCGCCTGGGTCAGCTGTCTCAGAAGGGTTCCCTCACCCACTCAGCTGCTGGCACCCATGAGTCCTCTCCCCATCGGGTCGTGACAATTCTCCCACCTCCACATTGCTGGACTCTCCCTTACTTCTCCCTGTCCCCACTTGCTTCTGCACTAACTCAGGCCACCATCACCTCTGGTCTGCATGGCAAGGCAGGAGCCCTGTCCCCTTCCACAAACTCAAAGGTCCCCCATGTCTCTCCATTCCAGCCCCTACCCTGTGGCCTTTGAGACTCCAGTCCCCTGATTAACAGGGTCTGAGGCCATGGCAGGGCGCCTCCTCCCTCCCCAGCTCGCTTTCTGGGCACTCTTGTTCTCCTGAGCCACCTGACTTCAGCTCAGCGCTCGCCTTCGCAGAGGCCTGGGTCAGGTGCCCACACAGCAGGCTGTGCTGCTCTCCCCAATCCTGTTCCTGCTCAGACCTGGAGCCCCCTGAAGGCAAGGACTGTGTCTTGTCCACCACCATCCCCAGTGCCTAGCAATGGGCCTTGGAATCCCTTGGATTTTGCACTTAGTTGGTGCTCAATAAACATTTGCTATTTTTTTTCATTTATTATTATATTTTTTGAGACGAAGTTTCACTCTTGTTGCCCAGGCTGGAGTGCAGTGGCATCATTTTGGCTCACTGCAACCTCTGCCTCCCAGGTTCAAGCAACTCTCCTGCCTCAGCCTCCCCAGTAGCTGGGATTACAGGCACTGGCCACCATGCCCGGCTAATTTTTGCATTTTTAGTAGAGATGGGGTTTCACCATGTTGGCCAGGCTGGTCTCGAACTCCTGACCTCAGGTGATCCACCTGCCTTGGCCTCTCAAAGTGCTGGGATTACAGGTGTGAGCCACTGCATCCAGCCTTTTACTTCTGAGACAAGGTCTTAGTGTTACCCAGGCTGGAGTGCGGCAGCACAATCATGGCTCACTGCAGCCTCAATCTCCCAGGCTCAAGTGATTCTCCCACTTCAGCCTTGGAAGTAGCTAGGACTATGCCACTAGGCCAGGTGCACTTTTCAATTTTTATTTTTTAGAGATGTGGGGCTCACTATGTTGCTCAGGCTGGTCTTGAACTCCTGGCCTTAAGTGATCCTCCTGCCTAGGCCTCCCAAAGTGCTGGGGTTACAGGCAAGAGCCACCACACCCAGTGGATTTGTGACATTCTGTGGAGTAAGAAAACAAGAAACGGCCTCCTGGAACTCGCTCCAGGTTAATTTCCAAGAGTGTTCTCTCTACTGAAATATATGTTAATATATGGTAATCGTAGCTAACTTTAGTCAAGTACACCAAATAGTAAACAGAAATTAACTTCCAAGAGGGAGAAGGAGAAAACACGTGTCTCCACCATGAATGAAAAAGAATTGGCCTGAGTTCTATTTCCAAGAGTTAGTAGAACACTCCTCTAACTCAATTTTAATTTGTTTTTTACCAAAATATAAATGTTGGAAACAGCGAAATAAATTTAAAATAGTAACAGGGCAGGGCTCGGTGGTGTACACTTATAATCCCAGCACTTTGGGAGGCTGAGGTGGGAGGGTTGTTTGAACTTAGGAGGTGGAGACCAGTGCAAGATGGCAAAACCCTGTCTCCACAAAAAATACAAAAATTAGCCAGGCATGGTGGTACGCACCTGTAGTCCCAGCTACTTGGGAGGATGAGGTGTAAGAATGGCTTGAGCCCGAGAGGTGGAGGTTGCAGTGAGCCGAGATCACGCCACTGCACCCCAGCCTGGGCAAAAGCGCCAGACCTTGTTTCAAAAACAAACAAAAATTAGGCTGGCATGGTGGTGAATGCCTGTAGTCCTAGCTACTTGGGAGGCTGAGATGGGAGGAATGCTTGAGCCCAGGAGTTGGAGGCTGCAGTGTGCAATGATGGCGCCACTGCACTGCAGCCGGGGGGACACAGCAAGCCCTTGTCTCGAAGTTAACTAATTAAAGGGGCGGGTTCTGTAGTAGAATCTCCTGTTTAAACAGTAAAATACCTGTTTAAATGTCTATTTGGGCATGAATCGTAAATGATGCAGAATTACAGGGGCATCACCAGGGAACCTAGATATATTTGTTTTTGAGACAGGGTCTCACTGTGTTACCCAAGCTGGAGTGCAGTGGAGTGATCACGGCTCACTGCAGCCTTCAACTCCTCGGCTCAAGGGATCCTCCTACCTCAGCTTCCCAAGTAGCTGGGACTATAGGTGCGCACCATCACGCCCAGATAATTTTAAAATTTTTTGTAGAGATGGGGTCTCACTGTGTTGCCAAGGCTGGTCTCAAACTCCTGGGCTCAAGCGATCCTCCTGCCTCGGCCTTCCAAAGTGCTGGGATTACAGGCGTCAGCTCACCACGCCTGGCCATAAGAATTCTTGTGTGTGAGTTTGTTTGAGACGATTCTGTTACCTACACCTCTGTGTTCAGTTCCAGACTCCTTCCCACCCATGAGCAATGAGGGACATTACTTCATGATTCTCCCCTAATGGTGGTTTTTTTTGTCGGGGGGAGGGCAGGGGCTCTCAGTATCACCCAATCCTTTCTCAATGATGACATCTGTTTGTTCTTCTTTTCCTAAATAAGTGATGCCCTGAAGAAAGAATCTCTCAACTTAAGGTCCTGATGACCTAGTACTAATGGCCAGAAATGGCTACAGGACATGTCCTGCCTAAATATCATCTCCTGCACCCCGTGGGGGTGAAGCCCACCGCAACCTGGCATCCTGCTGTGTCGCCATGTGCCCACCCACCCAACACACACCTGTGGCGACTGTCTCTCTTGGCCCAGTGAGCTGGCAGAGGCAGGAAGGGACTTGCTGACAGTCCCCTGGCTTACCAGAGGCAGGGGCAGGATTCAAAGCCAGGTCATCAGGCTCCAAGCCCCAGCACCCTCCCCAGCACTGAGGCGGCCCACAAGCTCCAGGTTGCAGACTCAGGGCAGGGGCTGTGACACATGTGGGGGTGGGGAGAGGGATGGAAACCAACAGTCCAAAGATAGGAGAACTAAAACCGAAACACAAACCAGCCAGTCCCAGACAGAGAAAAACAGGTTTCAAAATGTACAGCCAGGGCATGTGCTCATTTATTAGGGCTGACTCTCCGTGTCCGCTTCCTGGGAAAGAAAATCCCTGTGACATGAACCGATGAAGGGACAGAAGCTATCACAGATGCTACAGGGCTCAGAGAGGGGCCGGGGCAATCTACACTACAGAAGTAAAAGCAACGTAAAATGTTTCTGGGTTTCCTTTCCCTTCACTCAAAACCACTATTTCCTTAGTTCTATCAAAGTACGTAAGGGGCATAAAATAGACTCAGGAACTCGGGGCTAAATCATCCAAAAATGGAGCCAAGGCTCTAACTAGAAACTGTCTCTGTCGTCCCTGTTGGCCTCAAAACCCCGAGGTAAAAGGCTGGTCTCGGCTCCTCCCAGGCCCCCTGGCTCCCAGCACAGTGCCCCGTCCTCTGTGTTCATCATCATCGTTTTTTAAGAGACAGGGTCTCGCTCTATTGCCCAGGTTGGCCTTGAATCCCTGGACTCAAGCGGTCCTCCTGCCTTGGCCTTCCGAGTAGCTGGGATTCTAGGCGCATGCCCCTGCGCCGGGCTGCCCTGCTCTCTGCAGGTGCCTTCTCTGCATGGGCCCAGTGCCTGGATGCCAGTTTGAGGCTGCGCCACATGAGGACACAGCAGTTCCGCCTCTCTTCTCCCCGCTGGCCCCAACTGCTGTGAGCCGGCGGAAAGCCCCGACAGTTGCAGTCATGCAAGGAGGAGCTCCACCCACTTGACCCAGTCCCGCCTCTCTCAGCCTGTTCTGTTTAGACCCCCTTCCACTTCGGGATGAAATCACAGCTGTTGGTGAGAGAACCCCCGTCCGGCTGGGAATCCCTCGCCTTCTGCTCTGGCTCAGCCCAGCTTGGAGTCTCCGCCTGCTCACTCTCCGGTGACCGGCTCTTCCCCCACAGCGCTTTCCACACACCCTGTGCCCTTGTGACCCAGCCCCTGGTGAAGTCCCTGGCCCGGGCCTCCTTGTGCACACACCCAGGCCTTCCCAGAACACGAGAGCACCGGGAGCTGCAGTGGGAGCAGACCCTCTATGGCGTGGTCCCCACTTCCCACTGGAGTGAGTGGGCAACATGGACCAGCCCCACAGCTGAGGCCATCTCCTCACTGAGCCTGGGACCAGGTCCACGTAATGTGTCTTCAGTCCCCGTGGGAATGGTGGCATCTCAGCCTTCTCCAGAGTGTTTGCGACTCACGGTCCACATGTCCCAACAAAACGCAAGGGTGTTCTGCTCTTTACTAAATAAACGTTCCCTTCCCAGAAACCAGCCCCAAACTCATCACTGTTCAAATATGTGGCAAGGTGAGGCTCTCTGTCCCCCTTTACCAGGAGCACGGATGGTGTCTGCAAGGCAGTGCCTCTGAGTGTCAGGGAGATGGCCCCTCAGGCTCCCAAACCTGCCAAATACAGGACTGTGAGCGGCTCGGGAGGGGTCTCCTTTGCTCTCCATCCAGCGGGTCAGCGGGTCCTTGCGGGGGAGAAAGAGCCAAACAGCCGCCTTTCCCTTCTGGTCACAGCACGAGCCAGGTTCCAGGCAGAGGCTGTGGCAAACATTGTCATCGCCCCATGGTGAAACTGGGCACTTCCTCCTCCTCCTCTGTTCCAGATGCCTCCGCAGAGCTGCTGGACCCCTGCTCCTTGGGCTGACCGGGTCCTGTAACCACACGACATTCAAATTACAGACATGCAAAATCGTTCAGGGTCAAGGGTGCTTTCAAAGAGGAGAGCTGATGGGAAGTCAAAAGTCCCTGTTCCTAGACCGCATGGCAAGAAACCAGGGTCATGCCTCACGTCCACCAGTCCTCTGAGCCATTCCCCAGGAGTAAGGGTGGCTCACAGACCTGATCTACCACTGCTCTCACGGGTGCACCCCATCTTTACCCAAAGGCCCAGAGGCACACGCAAGACCCGACACCCCATAAACCACGCACTACTTTTACATGGCTCAAGTTGCCTCTTGGGTGGGCAACTTCCCGACCCAGCTCTTCAACACTAACGCCAGGCTGACAACACTCTCACTGAAGTCTCAAGTTCTCACTGCCGTCTGCAAAAGGATTTCCGAAACCTGTGTGGCAGAGGGCTCTGCCCCCCACACATACGCCAGCTTCCCAGCTCCTCCCAAGCATGGCCCAGGAAGCCCCTCCTGACACCTGTGAGCAGCACAGGTTCCCTGTCCCCCATCATGACTGCCAGCCAGAAGCCGAGCATGAGGACGTGTTCCCAACTCCTCCCCTCCCCCTCTTCACGCGGGAGCAGGAGGACAAGTGAGAGTTGGAAAGGCAGAGGCAGAGACCACAAGGCAGCAGATGGCCCGGCTCAGCCATGCCAGGACGCCGGCCGCAGGCACGGTGGCCTCAGCAACTCACAAATGGGTAGGCTCACCCGGGCCAGCCAATGCTCCTTGAGGCACATGTGCAGGGCTTGCCCTGGCCACCCACACGCCCACTACAGACCCTGAGCGCTGCTACTGCTGTGTCACCAAAGGTCAGACAAAGGGCCTCTAAGCAGGAGGCCCTGCACAGCCAAAGGCACAGCCCAGCCTAAAATTCACTGTCATACCCAGGATGGGACCGCAGAAAGAACACAGAACACGCACGGCGCTGGCGAAAGCATCTGGAAGATTTAGTTTCATTAATTTGGGGCATCCCTTTTTCCCCTCAACCTCATACCACACAGCATGATTAGCTTTGAAAGTTCAAACGGGGAAGCCGGGTGCAATGGCACACACCTGTAATCCCAGCACTTTGGGAGGCTGAGGAGGATGGATCACTTGAGCCCAGGAGTTCAAGACAAGCCTGGGCAACACAGCGAGTTCCATTTCTATAAAAAATGGCCTGGTGACACATGCCTATAGTCCTCGCTACTCATGAGGCTGAGGCAGGAGGACCTTCTGGGCCCAGGAGTTCAAGGCTGCAGTGAGCCATGCTACTGCACGGCAGCCTGGGCACAGATTTTTTTTTTTTTAAAGTTTAAATGGTGAGGATATTTTAATAGCTAATATTTGTCCAACACTATTACATGGAAGCACTGTGCTAAGTCTGTACATAGAGTACCCTGTTTAATTCTTACAATAGTCTATGAGGTAAGTACCACTCTTATATATCCATTTTACAGATGAAGAAGATAAAAGACCCAGAGAGGTGGAGGAACTTGCTGCTCGAGATCTCCTATTCACTAAGACAGGGACCCAGGCTCAAACGTGTTCTCTGACTCTCTCAGCCTCTGCCTATGTTGTCTGCAGAAATCGTATAAGGCGCCGGGCACGGTGGCTCATGTCTGTAATCCCAACACCCTGGGAGGCCGAGGTGGATGGATCACGAGGTCAGGAGTTTGAGACCAGCCTGACCAACATGGGGGAAACCTCATCTCTACTAGAAATACAAAAATTAGCCAGGCGTGGTGGCGGGCGCCTGTAATCCCAGCCACTTGGGAGGCTGAGGCAGGAGAATCACTTGAACCCAGGAGGCAAAGGTTGCAGTGAGCCGAGATAGCGCCACTGCACTCCAGCCTGGGTGACAGAGGCAGACTCTGTCTCAAAAAAAAAAAAGAGCATAGGGTCTGATCTTTAATTCTGCTTCTGATGAATACAATACTCGTTGAGCTGGATGTTTGTGGAAGGGAGCAACAGAGGAGGACTGGAAGCATTCCCCGTGGCTGAAAAGCCTTTGAAAATGCAGTATGGGCTGCAGATCCCTTATCCAAAATGCTCGGGACCAAATGTGTTTCAGATTTCGGATGTTTCGGATGTTTCCAGACTTTGGAATATCTGCATCTACACAATGAGATATCTTGGGGATGTGACCCAAGTCTAAACATGAAATTCACTTATGTTTCATATATACCCCACACACATAGCCTGAAGGTAAATATAACATTTAAAAATAATTTTGTGGCTGAGTACAGTGGCTCACACCTGTAATCCCAGCACTTTGGGAGACCGAGGCAGGTGGATCACTCGAGGTCAGGAGTGTGAGACCAGCCTGGCCAACATGGTGAAACCTCATCTCTATAAAAATACAAAAATTAGGCTGGGCGTGGTGGCTCACGCCTGTAATCGTAGCACTTTCAACAGCCGAGGCCGGTGAATCACCTGAGGTCAGGAGTTCAAAACCAGCCTGGCCAACATGGCGAAACCCCGTCTCTACTAAAAATACAAAAATTAGCTGGGCGTGGTGGTGCACCTGTAATCCCAGCTACTTGGGAGGCTGAGGCAGAAGAATTGCTTGAACCGGGGGTGGGAGGTGGATGGAGGTTGCAGCAAGCGGAGATCATGCCACTTCACTCTAGCCTGGGCAAGAGTGAAACTCTGTCTCAGAAAAAAAAAAAATTAGCCAGGCATGGTGGCTCACGCCTGTCATCCAGCTAATTGGGAGGCTGAAGCAGGAGAATCGCTTGAACCCGGGAGGGAGGGGTTGCAATGAGCCAAGATCACAGCACTGTACTCCAGCCTGGGCAACAGAGCTAGAATCCGTCTCTGATAATAATAATCATAATAATAATAATAATAATAATAATAATAATAATTTTGTGTATGAAACACAGTTGTGTACAATGAACCATCAGAAAGCAAAGGCGTCTATCTCTCACCCATGTGGCTGATCTGTGGCTTGGCGTCACCATCATTTCTGACTCTGAATTTGCTACTGATAAGCAATCCTTTTCCTACACTTATTCACACATAAGTGCTTAACGGTAATAAATATGACGGGCCATTCATACAGTGGAAAATAGCATGTTCAGAGTAATTAAGCAGCACAGCTGTGTCATGAGAACACCTGGATCGGCTGCTAAATGGTAACAACAGGCTTTCAATCCCCACCTACTATGCTGTGTTTGGATTAAAGGGTTACTGGACACTTTTTTTTTTTTTTGGAGACGGGGTCTCACACTGTCACCAGGCTAGAGGGCAGTGGCGCGATCTTGGCTCACTGCGACCTCTGCCTCCTGGGTTCAAGCAATTCTCCTGCCTCAGCCTCCCAAGTAGCTGGGACTACAGGTGTGTGACACTACACCCGGCTAATTTTTTATATTTTAGTAGAGACGGGGTTTCACCGTGTTAGCTAGGATGGTCTTGATCTCCTGACCTGGTGATCTGCCCACCTTGGCCTCCCAAAGTGCTGGGATTACAGGCGTGAACCACCACACCCGGCCTTTTTTTTTGAGACAGGGTTTCCGCTCTGTCACCTGGGCTGGAGTGCAGTGGTGTGATCACGGCTCACCGTAGCCTCCTGAGTAGCTGAGACTATGGGTGTGTGCCACCACACCTGGCTAATTTTTGTATTTTTTGTAGAGACGAGGTCTCAACCATGTTGCCCAGGCTGGTCTCGAACTCCTGGGCTCAAGTGATCCTCCCTCATTGGCCTCCCAAAGTGCTGGGATTACAGGCATGAGCCACCGTGCCCAGCCTCATTTTTCAATTTTTCACCAACTTCTGTTCATGGCTTTTGGTGTTTCAACCTTTTATCCTTCTGCTTCTTCAGGTCACGCGTGGCAGTCATTCTTGGCTCTCTGGGCTACAGAAAAACACAAATGCTTCCTCTTTTTCTTATCACTGTTACCCACAGGGGATCTGCAGGCCTTTTTGATGTTTTCAACATTATCTTTACACAACAAAGCAGAGAACAAGCAAAGAAACTGTGAGTAAGCATGGAGGTCTGGGCACCGTGTGGGGCATCGTGGGGAACCTGCTGCTGGTGTGTGTGTGGTCTGGAGAGGCGTGTGCCTGTGTAGGGGAAAAATCTGGGTGTATGTGGAAAGGTTGTATTGCAGCTGAAGGAGGCTGGGAGGGTCTTCTGTCCCTGGGAGACACTGAATAATCCGTGTTGTGTATCTGCGTTTCGACTGTGACCTCTTGCATGAGGTTAGGGGTGGAATTCCTACTTGGAGCGTCATGTCAGTGTTCAAAAGCTCTGAATCTTGCAGCATTTCCGAGTTTGGATTTTTGGGTTTGGGATGCTCAACCTGTATCTCACTAATAGTCAACACAAGGGATTTTATGTGTGTGGAAGACCCACTGTCAGGGTCCAAGAGTATCATTCTCAGGGAGGAGAAACCCAGAAACCGGGGGCACAGACAAGTCATTTGGCAATTTGACAAAATTACCCCAGTTCATTCCTTCAACATAACAAATACATAACAGTAAGAAATCATCAAGTGGCTATTTCCTGTTAGTTACTATGCTTCATGTTGGTGATACAAGAATTAAAAAGATACTGTCACAAATCAAAACAAAAAGCACAACACATATATTAGGATGGCTCAAATTCAAAAAACGGACAATACCAAGTGCTGAGAAGGATGTGAGGTAAGAGAAACTATCGTTGCTGGTGGGAGTACAGCATGGAATAGCCACTTTGCAAGACAGTTTGGCAGTTTCTTACAAAGTTAACAAGATTAATCCTATCATACAACCCAGCAATCATGTTCCTGCAGATGTACTCAGTTGATGTGAAACTTATGTGCACACAAAAACTAGCACACAAGGCCAGGCACGGTGGCTCATGCCTGTAATCCCAGCACTTTGGGAGGCCAAGGCGGGCAGATCACTTGAGGTCACGAGTTCGAGACCAGCCTGGCCAACACGGCGAAAACCCATCTCCACTAAAAATACAAAAATTAGCCAGGCGTGGTGGCAGATGCCTGGCTTAGCTACTCTGAAGGCTGAGACAAGAGAATTGCTTAAACCTGTGAACCCAGGGGGCGGAGGTTGCAGTGACCTGAGATTGCGCCACTGCACTCCAGCCTGGGCGACAGAGAGACTCCATCTCAAAAACACACACACACACACACACACACACACACACACACACACACACACACACAAAAACACAAAAAAACAGTAGCACACAAATGTCTGTTGAAGCTTTATCCATAATCACCAAAACTTGGATACAACCAGGCTGTCCTTCAGTGGGTAAACGGTGGTCTATCTTGACGGTGGAAAACTACTTGGCAAAAGGAATGGGGCATTAAGCCACGTTCTGGTAAGCAAAAGAAGCCAATCTGGAAAGGCTGTATACGATTTAATTCCGACTCTATGACAGTGTGGAGAAGGCAGAACCACAGAGGCAGTAAACAGCTGCCAGGGGCTGGGGGTTGGGAGGAGGCTGAACAGGGGAAACACGGAATTGTTTTAGGGCAGTGGAATTATTCTGTATGATACGGCAGTGGTGGATACATGGTACTATGCGTTTGACAAAATCCACAGAACCTTACAGCACAAATAATTAAAACTTAATTATGCTATTTTTTTTTTAGACGGAGTCTCATTCTGTCACCCAGGCTGGACTGCAGTGGTGTGATCTTGGCTCACAGCAACCTCCACCTCCAGGGTTCAAGTGATTTTCCTGCCTCAGCCTCCTGAGTAGCTGGGATAACAGGTGCCCGCCACAGTGCCTGGCTAATTTCTGTGTTTTTAGTAGAGATGGGGTTTCACCATGTTGGCCAGGCTGGTCTTGAACGCCTGACCGCAAGTGATCTGCCCACCTCAGCCTCCCAAAGTGCTGGGATTACAGGCGTGAGCCACTGTGCCTGGCTGAATTATGCTAATTTTAAAAGTCATTTAGGAAGTCAGGGTCCCAGGATGGAACGCAGAAGGTGACACATGAATCCAAACGTATCATAAATGTACGAAATGACCTCTGTGAAGGGAGTGTGGGGAAAAGTGCTGATCAGCCAGGTGTGGTGGCTCATGCCTGTGATCCCAGCACTTTGGGAGGTTGAGGCCGGAGGATCGCTTGAGCCCAGGAGTTCAAGACCAGCTTGGGCGATAAAATGTAACATCGTCTCAAATTTTTTTTTTAAACATTAAAAACAAAGAAAGTGCTGATCTAAGTAATTCTTGAAATGAGTGGCCTCTGTAAGCTGTAAGGCTGAAGGGACTGCACATAGCAATGTCCTCTAGTTGATAATGGTGCTTCCCCCAGGGTAACGGTAAACAATTCTGAAACCATTATCCATGTATGCTGGCATTGAGCAATTAAGCAAATGGCTAGTGGATGGTGGTAGCAAAGATACTCACTATTGGAGTGAGAGGTGACAGAGAAACAAGGAGAGAAGGCTAGAATGAGCTATGTCATACTGGGCTAGACTTGGAGACATCAGTATGAACTCATGTTAGTGTAATATGGATGGGGATGGTTATGGGTATTAGTATTGACAGATATGTACATATATACTGGTGGAGTACACAGGTAAATTTCCTGGCTCTGTCAGCTGAGAGAGCCTAAAAGCAACCATCCAGTAGCACAGAACATGCCTAGTCCCCAGACCTTGGGTTTTAATACCATTTTAATACCATTTCTCTAAAAGCAGCCAGGGACCAGGCATGGTGGCTCACGCCTATAATCCCAGCACTTTGGGAGGCCGAGGCAGGTGGACTGTTTGAGGCTAGGAGTTCGAGACCAGCCTGGCCAACATGGTGAAACCCTGTCTCTACTAAAAATACAAAAATTAGCTGAGTGTGGTGGCACGTGCCTATAATCCCAGCTACTCAGGAGGCTGAGGCAGGAGAATTGCTTGAACCCGGGAGGCGGAGGTTGCAGTGAGCCGAGATCGCACCATTGCACTCCAGCCTGGGCAAACAAAGAGTGAAACTCTATCTTAAAAAAAAAAAAAAAGAAGAAGAAGAAGAAGAAGAAGAAGAAAGCAGCAGCCAGGACTTCTTGGACAAATGGCTGATCCCAGGTCCAGGGCAGGAAACACAAGACACGAGTCTGGAATATCCTATAGTACCAGGAAGTAAGGAAGCCAAGTGTGGTGGTTCATGCCTGTAATTCCAGCACTTTTGGGAGGCTGAGGCAGGGGGACTGCTTGAGCCCAGGAGTTTGAGACCAGCCTGGGCCATATAGCGAGACCCTTGTCTCTACAAAAAAATTTTAAAACTGAGCCGGGCATGGTGGTGCATGCCTGTGGGCCCAGCTACTCAGGAAGCTGAGGCGAGAGGATTGTTTGAGCCCGGAGTTTGAGGATGCAGTGAGCTATGATGGTGCCACTGCACTCCAGCCTAGGTAAGAGACCCTGTCTCAAAAAAAAAAAAAAAAAAAAAAGGTACCCACAATGATGGGACTTTGTCAAGGGAACACAGGAGCCAACTGAAAGAGCTCCCAATGGCCAAAGCTGGGAATACTATGAGTAGTAAAACAAATACAGTAATAATGGACTATCAAGTACAAAATGAATACCCACAAGCTCATACTGATAGATGGAAATGATTAAATAATGATAAATACATGGAAAGAAGAAATAACCCTAGCATGCAGAATGACTTCAATGACGCATGTAGATTCTCCACTGTCAGGGAGGAGGAACACAGCCCCACACTCCCTATGTGTGGGCTGCACACAACGACTTTCTTCTACAGAGTAACGTACAGGAAGGGGAAAAGAGAGTAAACATATGGGGGAGAAACCTGACCACACTACCTCAGCCATGTGATCAAGGTAAACATCAACAGTGATGGCACCAGCCTGGGCAACATAATGAGACCCCATCTCCAGAAAAAATACCAAAATTAGCCAGGTGTGGTGGCTCACACATGTAATCCCAGGACTTTGGGAGGCTGAGGCGGGTGGATCACGAGGTCAGGAGATCGAGACCACCCTGGCTAACACAGTGAAACCCCGTCTCTACTAAAAATACAAAAAATTAGCCGGGAGTGGTGGTGGGTGCCTGTAGTCCCAGCTACTCAGGAGGCTGAGGCAGGAGAATGGCATGAACCCAAGAGGCGGAGGTTGCAGTGAGCCAAGATCGCGCCACCACACTCCAGCCTGGGCGACAAAGCGAGACTCCATCTCAACAAACAAACAAACAAAACACCAAAATTAGCAGGGTGTGGAGGTGCGCATCTGTAGTTGCAGCTACTCAGGAGGCTGAGGAAGGAGGATCACCTGAGCCCAGAAGTTCGAGGCTGCAGTGAGGTGAGATGGTGCCACTGTACTCCAGCCTGGGCAACAGAGAGAGACCCTGTCTCCAAAAAAAAAAAAACACCCCACAAAACCTGATGGCCACGTTGGCAGTACAATGCCCTGATGTGTGGTGAGAAGGGTGCTTTCCCTCTGTGGTCCTCATCCCCAAAACAAACTACCCCAGTCAAATCATGAGAAAATCAGACCAATCCCAACTGAGGGCCATTTTATAGAGTACTGGACCCACAGAAAGTCTGAGAAACTTGTCACAGCCAACAGGAGCCGAAGAATGCGTAATAACACAATGTGACGCGGTGCCCTGGATTGGATTCTGGAGCAAGAAAAGGGCAGCAGGTAAAAACTAAGGCAGCTGGAATAATGTATGGACTTCAGCTAACAAGTGTATCGATGTGGGTTCACACACTGTGACCAATGTACCAGGTTAATTTAGGAAGTTAAACAATGGGGAGACTGGATATATGAGAACGCTCTGTACTATCTTTGCAATCTTTCTGTGAATCTAAAGTCATTCTAAAATGAGGCTTATTTTGAAAAAGATGGAACTGACATAGCTGAATGGACAAGCACCTTATCTGATCTGGCAGGGCCTGCAGCCAAGGGCACACACAACCCCATGGGGCAGGCTGGCAGGAAAGGCGACTTCTAGGGCCGGGGGCCGGAGGAAGGTGAGGAGAGGCTTTACACAAACAGAAAGCATTGTAAGAGGAAGCTGAAGGTGAAGAGAGCTTCTCCAGTCAGATGAGAAGTCAGGCGGCGTGAACAGAGTACAGGCAGCCTAAGCACATGCAGCGAGGCTGAGGGACAGAGAGCTGGGGGCATGTGGAAGGGAGTGAACAGACCAGCATGGTGGAGACCGGAAGGGGCCAGACCGTGAGGGCCAGGAACACTGGGGCTGCTGACAGGGTTTCACGCAGCATCGCCTCATGGGCGGGTGTGGGTGCCTGGGATCACACCCTGGCCTGCTGCCCACATCCTCTGCAGCTTTGTGGGTGCCATCACCGCATGGTGCCTAAGGTCTGTCATTAGTAAAATGGGGATAACAGCACCACTGACTAACCTCACAGGGCTGCTGTAAGGATTGTTAGTTAATACAAGCAAAGCATTTAGAACTAGGGGTACGTAAGAAGCATTCCGTGATCTTGGGTATTGTTGTAAAGGCAGAAGAATGACTGACAATCCAATGTACATTTTATAAAATAGCTTTGGGGCTGGGTGCGGTGGCTCACGCCTGTAATCCCAGCGCTTTGGGAGGCCAACGCGGGTGAATCACCTGAAATCAGGAGTTCAAGACCAGCCTGGCCAACATGGCGAAACCCCATCTCTACTAAAAATACAAAAATTAGCTGGTGTGGTGGCAGTCGCCTGTAATCCCAGCTACTTGGGAGGCTGAAGTGGGAGAATCTCTTGAACCTGGGAGGCGGAGGTTGCAGTGAGCTGAGCTGGCGCCACTGCACTCCAACATGAGTGATGGAGCAAGACTCCATTTCAAAAAACAGAGCTTTGGAGGCTGTACACAGGTGGGTGCGTGGGGGGTGGAATGGCAAGAGAGTGGGACTGCCTCCACAGTCTTGCAGGTCTGCACTGTATTTCTGTAAGGCTTTTTACTCAATCCCCAGTAAGACCTTGAGTGGCTCTCATGTGCCCCATTCTTACCCATGTGGAGGAAGAGTAAAATGTTGAGGATATGGTGAGAGTGTACCCTGTTACATACACTGTCAATGGTAAAAACTGGGGCTATCTCTTCGGAAAGTAACCTGCAATATATTTCCAGAGCCAGGAGTTCTTTTTATACTCTGTGATATAGTAATTCCCATGGTTAGAAATTTATCTTTATTATTATTTTTTTTTTCCTTTTTGAGACAGGGTCTCGCTCTGTCACCCAGGCTAGAGTGCAGTGGCATAATCACAGCTCACTGCAGCCTCCACTTCCCCAAGGTCAGGTGATCCTCCTGCCTCAGCCTCCCTTGTAGCTGGGACTACAGGCATGTGCCACCACACATGGCTAATTTTTTTACTTTGTGTAGAGATAGGGTTTTACCATGTTGGTCAGGCTGGTTTCCCAACTCCTGGGCTCAAGGAATTCGCCTGCCTTGGCCTCCCAAAGTGCTGAGATTACAGGTGTAAGCCACCATGCCTGGTTTAGAAATTTATCTTAATCTATCACCCCAGAAAGGGGGAAGGGAGAAAGACACAGGATATTCACAGAAGACAAGTACTGGAATCAATCTACTGTTTCATAAAAGGAGAAAGATTAGGTGTATTATGGCATGTCAACTGCTGGATATTACCAGTCACTAAAAAAATTATGAAGGAATTGCTTCATTAAGCAGTACGTGTATAATGTTAAATAAAATAAGCAAAATGGAAAACTTCCTATAATTGTAGCTACACACAAATGATGTGCACATGGAGACTAAGAGAAAATGAATAGAGAAAAAGGTGATCAATTCAGGAAATGATATTTGAGCTTTCTCCATAATTTCCTTCCCCCACTCTTTTTTTTTCTTTCTTTTTTTGAGACAGAATCTCACTCAGCCACCCAGGCTGGAGTGCAGTGGCGCATCTTCGCTCACTGCAACCACCGTCTCCTGGGTTCAAGTGATTCTCCTGTCTCAGCCTCCCGAGTAGCTGGGATTACAGGTACACGCTATTATGCCCGGCTTATTTTTGTATTTTAGTAGAGACAGGGTTTCACCATGTTGGCTGGGCTGGTCTTGAACTCCTGACCTCATGTGATCTGTCCGCCTCGCCCTCCCAAAGTGCTATGATTACAGGTGTGAGCCGCCGCACCTGGCCCTCCTTCCAGTACTCTTCTACTACTGTTTATATATTATTTTAAGATCCAGGAATCTGAGATTTTATTCACAGGCTACAGGCATACTGGGTAAAATGCCACTGACTGCAACTGAAGCACACACTTTGTTTTTAACAGATGAATGAATAGATTAGAAAAAAATCCTTGTAAGTACAGACTTGGGAAAACACTTGTGATACAATGTTACATGATAAAATCAGGACATCTATAAATATGGCATTTATAGAAATAAGGCTTATATATTAAAAAACTGAAATCAAAGAAATTATATTAAAGTGTTAAAGTCATTTTTAGTACAGGTTACAGATAACTTATATTTATTTACAAAATACAGACAGGGTCTTGCTATGTTGCCCACACTGGTCTCAAATTCCTGGCCTCAAATGATCCTCCAGCCTCAGCTTCCCAAAGTGTTGGGAGTACAGGCATGAGCCACTGTGCCCAGCCAACTTTTATTTTTGATGTTGTTCTTTTCTGCATATTTTAAAAATTTCTAAAATGATCATAGAGTATCTCTTTTTCCAAAGACACAAAGGACGTGGGTAGTTTTCCAACATATTATGTTGAAGGATTTTGGCTCTGAAAGAAACAGTTTGATCCAAACACATGCTGAGTGCCTTCTGGACACTGGATACCTGCCCCTAGATCAGGAGCTCTCAGACAGGAACAATTCCGTCCTCCTCCCCCACTGGGGTGCATCTGGTCGTGTCTGGAGACATCCAATTGCTGATGACTGGGGGAAGGTGGGTGCTCCTGGCCTCGGGAGGGTAGACACTAGGATGCCACGAGACACCCTGCAGTGACCAAGACACAGCCCCTCAGGACACAGCATTTTCCAGCCTGAGGCATCAGTAGTGCAACTGTGGAGAAGCTCTGCTCTAGATGTACCTAGTAACAAATCCCCTAAGGGCGCCCTGGATTTCTTTGATGGGCAGGCCTATGTTAGGATAAGTAAGAGTGGTGTGGGAATACATCATCTGGGGAGTTCAAGGCTGCAGAATAATCCACATTGGCTTAATGTCATCCTATGCTGTCATTTCAGACACAAGTCCCACACTGCCGGGAGTCTTCCCTGAGCTACTGGATCAGCACAGAAAACAAGCGGTGAGATGTCCTCTCCAACAACAGAACACCCAGCCAGCTGCCCCTCCTGCTTTTTAGGAGAAGAGCCAAAATAGCTTGAGTGATCTGTGCCTCTGAGTCCATCCAGGACCCACGGCGCACCAAAGCCACCTTGGGGCGCAACTCGGTATTACCACATTACTCCCATTTCTTTCCAGCAGATAACTGGAAAAGCTTGCTTACTCTCACAAAATGAAAAATAAGGAAACTGAGAAGGCAAGATAAGTGGCATACAAACCACTTCTTTTTTGGGACAGGCTCTTGCTCTGTCACCCAGGCTGGAGTGCAGTGGTGCAATCACAGCTCACTGCCGCCTCGGCTACCTGGGCTCAAGCCATCCTCCCACCTCAGCTTTCCAAGAAGGCAGGACTACAGGTGTGCACCACCACACCTTGCTTATTTTTAAATATTTTGTAGGGATGGGGTCTCATTTTGTTGACCAGGCTGGTCTCAAACTTCTGGGCTCAAGAGATCCTCCCACCTCGACCTACCAAAATGTTAGGATTACAGATGTGAGCCAGAGTCCAAGCCCAAACCACTTTTATGATGGTTATCCTTAGAACACTCTATTCTTCCCATTTGGTACAAAGCATGTACAATCATGGGGTATTAACCATTTTTTAATATGTTCAGGTGCTGGCTGGGCGTGGTGGCTCATGTCTGTAATCCCAGCACTTTGGGAGGCCGAGGTGGGTGGAGTTCGAGACTAGTCTGGCCAACATGGTGAAACACCATCTCTACTAAAAACACAAAAATCAGCCGGGCATGGTGGAGGCAGGGGTTACAGCGAGCTGAGATCACGCCACTGCACTCCAGCCTGGGCGACAGAGCGAGACCGTCTCAAAAACAAACAAACAAACAAACAAAACAACAACAACAACAAAGATGCCCAACATCACAAATCATTAGGGAAATGCAAATCAATACTATAGTGAGATACCACTTCACACCCATTAGGATAGTTACCTAAAAACAAAACAAACAAACAAAAAAAAAAACAGAAAATAAGTGTTGGTGAGGATGTGGAGAAATTATAGCCTTTTTGCACTGGTGGGCGTTAAAATGGTTCAGTTACTATGGAAAAGTATGGTGATTACACAAAAATTAAAAATAGAACTAAGGTCAGGTGTGGTGGTTCACACCTGTAATCCCAGCACTTTGGGAGGCTGAGGTGGGCGGATCACCTTAGGTGAGGAGTTCAAGATCAACCTGGCCAATATAGTGAAACCCCATCCCTACTAAAAATATAAAAATTAGCTGGGCATGGTGGTGCATACCTGTAATCTCAGTTATTAGGGAGGCTGAGGCAGGAGAATTGCTTGAACCCAGGAGGTGGAGGTTGCAGTGAGCCAAGATTGCACACTGTACTCCGGCCTAGGTGATAGAGCAAGACTCCAACTTAAAAACAAACAAACAAACAAAAAAAAAACAAGCAGCCAGAGAAAAACCACGGCAGCTTCACATGGTGGCTCACGCCTGAAATCCCAGCACTTTGAGAGGCCAAGGCGGGAGGGTCACTTGAGCTTAAGAGTTCAAAACATAGTGAAACCTAGTTTCTATAAAAAATACAAAAATTACCTGAGGGTGGTGGCACAGGCCTGAGGTCTCAGCTACTTGGGAGGCTGAAGTGGGAGGATCACTTGAGCCCAGGAGTTCAAGACAAGCCTGGACAACATAGTGAGACCCCATCTCTACAAAAAAATAACACATTAGCCAGGCATGGTGGTACACACCTGTAGGCCCAGCTACTCAAGAGGCTGAGGTAAGAGGATTGCTTGAGCCCACCAGGAGTTCAAGGCCGCCGCGAGCCGTGATTGCACTGCTGCACTCCAGCCTGGGTGGCAAAGTGAGATCTTGCTTCAAAAACACAAAAATGAAAACAAAAAACAAATTAAATGGTAGCCTTGAATCCAAACATATCAAGAAAGAGACAGACTGTCAGAATGAATTAAAAAACATAACCCAAACATTTGACGTACAGGAAACATACTTCAAATGCAGTGCTGTTTGAAAGTTAAAATCTAAAGGGATGAATGGAAGAGTAAGGGCCTCCAAAAATCTGCTCCTCCATAAAGGTAACAGAACACTGGCAAAAATCCTAAAAATCAACTTTTTCAGAACTCTGGAAATGCTCCTCGAGCTGTTCAAATGCCTGAACCTCACTAAGAGTGTGAGTTCTGTGAGTTTTAATTTCCCGTCTCCCTCTCCCCAGATCTGAGGGAGTCTTGAAAACCAAGAGCCCCCCTGCCACAGTAGCTGTAAAAATGGGAGGAGGCTGACTGGGTTGGGAGCTGTTGGAAGTTCCACTCCCAGGGTACTGGCCCTAGTTGACCTGTCTAGCAGTTCCCTGGAAACGTCTACCTGCAAGGCTTGTCTTTAGTTGCTCTGACTCAGTATTGAGTTGAGCTCACTCAACGTGAACAGCATTTTCCCCTGGGCGTTTGTCAAAAACCATCAGTGACAACTGTTTAACATCCCACCAACCAAGACAGCAGTAACGATTGACACAAACAAGAAACTGACCAAAAAGCTTAAAAGGAAAAGCTGGGACTCTAGAGGGCCACCAGAGCAGTGCACATGCCCAAGAAAGACAGCCAAGGCCCTGACCGCTCGCCTCTGCTGCCCTGGAGGCTCTGTGCAAGCAGGAAGTAAAGGCTACAGCAAATTGCAGACTGCCTGCCAGGGGGTTGGAGGCACATTCCAACACACACACAGAGCTCCTAGGCAAAGACTGGGAGATGCGGTGGTTCAAGACATTCAAGGAAATCTCTCATCTTCCACTGACCAACTAAGCTGACCGAGCAGAGACTTCAGAGTCCAAACACAACAAAGAATACAGGTTTTACAGAATTTGTTAGGAAAGTCACTAAACACACAAATAGCAACAATGACAATGATAAGCAGCAAAACCAACAAACCCTGAGGAGGGAGGGTCAAATTACTCAGCAAAGGAGATCTATTATTATTATTATTATTTTTTTGAGACAGAATCTTGCTCTGTCACCCAGGCTGCAGTGCAGTGGCACAATCATGGCTCACTGCAGCCTTGACCTCCTGGGCTCAGGCGACTCTCCTGCCTCAGCCTCCAGACTAGATAGGACGACAGGCGTGCACCACCACACCTGACCAATTTTTAAAACTTTTTGTAGAGATGGGGTCTCACTATGTTGCCCAGACTAGTCTTGAACTCCTGGGTTCAAGCAATCCTCCTGCCCCAGCCTCCCAAAAAGCTGGGACTACAGGTGTGCACCACCATGCCTGGCTGATTTTTTACTGTTTGTAGAGATGGGGTCTTACTATGCTGCCCAGGCTGGTCTCAAATTTCCAAATATAATAGGTCCAAGCTACAATAACCCCTTAACAGATTGTGAGAATAGCTTTTATGCCCAATCCTCCTACTTGGGCCAAGTACTTCCATGATCTACTGTTGCGGTGGAGGGGAAAGTGTTGAGGTACTTTATTTGAGAGATGAGGTCCTATCAGTCACATTTTAGCAATTTAAAATAATTTCTTCTAGGAAAGGGTGAGAAACAACCTAAAACCATATCCGATGTGTCACACAGTACATTTACAACTCATAAGGAAGTGGTTCCTAGAAGTGGCCAATCATATTTTATTTTATTTATTTTTGAGACGGAGTTTCGCTCCTGTCACCCAGGCTGAAGTGCAATGGCACAATCTCAGCTCACTGCAACCTCTGCCTCCCAGGTTCAAGCAATTCTCCTGCCTCAGCCTCCCGAATAGCTGGGATTACAGGTGCCTGCCATCACGCCTAGCTAATTTTTGTATTTTTAGTAGAGATGGGGTTTCACCACGTTGGCCAGGCTGGTCTCGAACTCTTGACCTCAGGTGATCCACTCGCCTTGGCTTCCCAAAGTGCTGGGATTACAGGCATGAGCCACCACGCCTGGCCTGTTTTATTTTTTTGAGATGGAGTTTTGCTTTTGTTGCCCAGGCTGGAGTGCAATGGCGTGATCTCGGCTCACTGCAACCTCAGCCTCCTGGGCTCAAGTGATTCTCCTGCCTCAGCCTCTCAAGTAGCTGCGATTATAGGCACGGGCCACCATGCCCAGCCCAATTCTATTTTAATACGTCAATGAAAGTCTGACTTCACCCTAAAACCAAAAACCACAATCATGCACTCAGGAAGCAGATCCAGTCAAGCATGGAATAGCCATAGATGCAGTCATGTGGGGGACAGTGTCATTTTTTGGTCTCTTAGCATCCTTGGCCCTTTCCAGCTGGGGCCCCCCACCCTTATTCACAGCCCATGAGTTCCCAGGGATGGGGGATAGCACCACTAGCATTGTGATGAGTTCAGAGGCGGCAGGATTGGCAGCACGGTGGGATGCTGACCTAACAGCCAACCCTGCCTCCTACTCTTCCTTATTAATGGGACCTGGATCTGGCTAGGGTGGCAATGTACTCAGCTCGCAGTGCTGGATCACGATAGGTTTGAGTTGGTTACAACAGTTCTGTTTTCTATTCCTCTAGCCTGACGGCAGCTAGTGATGGCAAAGAGACCTAGTATCTAAGGTGATGTCTTCTGGGCACTTCTGGAGAAACTTTTGCTCTCCAATTTAAAAAAGGCAGACCACATAAGTACCACCTCACTCCCCTTCTTCTTGCTTTGAACACAGGTACGGTGCCAGAAGCCATGGGAGCCACCTCATACTCTCAGGGTAAAGGCCAGGGAACGTGCGGGGGAGCCAGCCTACACTGCTGAGCCACATCACGCTGCCACCTACTACCAGATTTCTCATCCTGTAAAAACAACCAACTCCTCGTGGTTTAGGCACTTTGTTGCTGCATTTTGTTGCTTGTAGCCAAAAGCATTCTTACCTGACCTGGCAAGTGACTCAATCAGAGCCAGAGAGACACAAAAAGACTTTTGCTAGGAAAGCTGAGACATCCTCTCAATTTTCCCTCCTGGACAAGATCGAGGAGGGATGTAGCCCCGAGAGCTGCTGCAGGCACCTCAAAACCATGAGTGTGAGCCTGAGGACAGGACATCAGGACAGAGGGGGAGATGTCAATAACCAATAATGTCACTGATCTCCCTGACCAGCCATGCCAGAAGGGAGGTCTGTCCTCAACCTAACTTGAACCAGTATCTTTTTGCTTAAGCCAGTTTGGTTTTCTGATACTTGCAATTCAATGGGTCCTAGCTAATATGAATAAGCTGTTATTTCTTCAGTGGCCAGCCAACCAGCCCAAACTCTCCGTCCCTGTGTTTCCTGACAGTTCAGCCACTGTGACCAACAAGAAGAAAGAAGCTACAGCCAAGAAAAGTGGGCACCACTCACCTTCTTGTTTCTTCTGTTCAAGTTTCATCTTCTTTGCCAGTAATTTCTTCTCTTTTAACTTCTGGCTAAAAATGTAAAACCATATACATTGATTCCTTAACTACATTATGGTATATTTTAGAAAATAAACACCTCCTTATGGTATCTCTAAAACCTGCGGAATAACACAAACATTACAATAACAAAATAAGAAAAATATTAGGTGAGTGCAAAAGTAATTGCCGTTTTTGCATTGCTGGAATTTGCTGTTTGATACTGGAATATCTTCTTTTTTTTTTTTTTGAGACGGATTCTCTCACTCTGTCACCCAGGCTGGAGTGCAGTGGCGCAATCTCAGCTCACTGCAAGCTCTGCCTCCTGGGTTCACACCATTCTCCTGCCTCGGCCTCCTGAGTAGCCTGGGACTACAGGCACCCGCCACCACGCCCAGCTAATTTTTTGTATTTTCAATAGACATGGGGTTTCTCTGTGTTAGCCAGGATGGTCTCGATCTCCTACCTCGTGATCCACCTGCCTTGGCCTCCCAAAGTGCTGGGATTACGGGTGTGAGCCACCACGCCCGGCCTATATATTCTTAAATAGATGTGATTATGTTATACATCATTTTAATCGGCTTTTTTTTTTTTTTGCTAATGACTTATTACTTGTTTATGTTTAGACTATGAAAACGATGCTAGACAAAAAGCCAATTCAAGTGATTTTCTTATTCAAATTCAAAATGGGTCGTAAAGCAGTGGAGACAACTCACAACATCAACAACGCATTTGGCCCAGGAACTGCCAATGAATGTACAGTGCAGTGGTGGGGCAAGAAGTTTTGCAAAGGAGACAAGAGCCTTGAAGATGAGCATCGTGGCCAGCCATCAGTCATTGGACAATGACAAATTGAGAGCAATCATGGAAGCTGATCCTCTTACAACTACATGAGAAGGGGCCAAAGAACTCAGAATCGACCATTCTACAGTCATTCAGCATTTGAAGCAAACTGGAAAGGTGAGAAAGCTCGGTAAGTGGGTGCCTCATGAGCTGAGCGAAAATCAAAAAAATCATTATTTTGAAGTGCCGTCTTCTCTTACTCTACGCAACAACAATGAACCATTTCTCGATCAGATTGTGACATGTGATGAAAAGTGGATTTTACATGACACCTGCGACAACCAGCTCAGTGGTTAGACCAAGAAGCCGCTCCAAAGCACTTCCCAAAGCCAAACTCGCACCAAAAAAGGTCATGGTCACTGTTTGCTGGTCAGCTGCTGGACTGATCCACTACAGCTTTCTGAATCCCGGTGAAACCAGCACACTGGAGAAGTATGTGCAGCAAATCGATGAGATGCACTGAAAACTCCAATGCCTGCAGCCAGCACTGATCAACAGAAGGGGCCCAATTCTTCCCCAGGACAATGCCCGACCACGAGTCACACAACCAATGCTTCAAAGGTTGAACAAATTGGGCTGCGATGTGTTGCCTCATCCACCATATTCACCTGACTTCTTGCCAACCGACTACCACTTCTTCAAGCACTTTGACAACTTTTTGCAGGGAAAGCACTTCCACAACCAGCGGGATGCAGAAAATGCTTTCCAAGACTTCTTCAAATCCCGGAGCATGGATTTTTACGTTATAGAAATAAACTTATTTCTCATTGGTGAAAATGTGTTGATTGTAATGGTTCCTATTCTGATCAATAAACATGGTTTGAGCCTAGTTACAATGATCTAAAATTCACGGTCCAAAACTGCAGTTACTTTTGCACCAACCAAAACTTTTGCATGACTCTGCCAGTCCGTCCTTATCAGCTGCTTTCATTAGGATTCAAGAGCAAATCCCAGGGAGCCCTGAGGCAAAGCAACCTCAGAAATAACAGGGGTGCTTTTTAAAAAAAAATTTTTTTTATTATTATTGTAGAGACAGGGTTGCACTTTGTCACCCAGGCTGGAGTGTAGTGGTGCGATCATAACTCACTGCAGCCTCAGCCCCCTGGGCTCAAGCGATCCTCCTGCCTTGGCTTCCCAAAGTGCTGAGATTACAACTGTGAGCCACCATGCCTGGTCCCTAAAGATGCTTTTTCATTTCAAGATATTTAGGGGCTGTTGTTAGAATCCTCCTCAGCTCTCATTGTAAAAGTTGAGAGACCACTTATGTAAACACACAGATACACATATAAACATACAGCCTATATACCATGTAGTCACTTGAGGGAGTCATAAACCGTAATTTAAGAAACATGCTAAATGGGAAGTTTGGTTGCAGCACCTTGTTAAAATACAGATGCGGCCGTGTGTGGTGGCTCATGCCTGTAATCCCAGCACTTTGGGAGGCCGAAGCAGGCGGATCACCTGAGGTGAGGAGTTCAAGACTAGCCTGACCAACATGGTGAAACCTCGTCTCTACTAAAAATATAAAAATTAGCTGGGTATGGTGGCAGGCACCTGTAATCCCAGCTACTCAGGAGGCTGAGGCAGGAGAATTGCTTGAACCCAGGAGGCGGAGGTTGCAGTGAGCCGAGATTGTGCCACTGCACTGCAGCCTGGGGGACACAGTGAGACTTTGTCTCAAAAAAAAAAAAAAATACAGACCTGAAGGAGACACAGAAATCAATGTGATCACTGAAGTCCTGACTTGCAAGCTCTGGACAATCTGTAACCAGTTGGAGGGTCATAAGGAACTTGCTCTCTGCTCAGGTAGTAGAAGTCATTGCTCTACATTCATGACCCCTACAGGTCATGCAGAGGAACTACTACTGACTGCAAGGACAGCTCACCCAGCCACCACCCCTGGCCCTTAAGTGTCATCACAGTTAGGCCATGCCGCTTACCGCTTCTTCCGGCGCTTTGCGGTCTGCTCCTCTGCAGCAATTTTATTCTTTTCCAGTCTTTTCTGAAACTCTGCATCCAATTTTTGCTGCAACAAAACCCACATCATTTAGACACGCTCTGGTCTGGGCAGACTGTGGGAGGTTTTGCTCAGGCAAAGTAGGAGAGTTCTAGAAGTCACACCACTGGGGGTGACGGAGGCACTACCCGGGTCCCCAGGGCCATTTTAACTTTAAAAGGCTGTCCCAGAGGCAGGGCAGGTAATCAATACATAGGTCTCCGATGGCGAAGTAACTCTTTTAGTTGACTGAGGCACCACTCATGCATAGCACAATATAGGAGACAATACAGGAGGGAGTGCAGAGGACACTCTGAGGGCAGCGCTCACCATCTGCTCAGCCGGGGCCTTGGATACTGCCCAGAGCTCATCAGAATGAATGGCCGGAGGGTCAGAACCATGGAATTTTCAAGCCCTAAGCCCAACCATAGTTACCAAATGGCTGAGTTTTTTTGTTTTTGTTTTGAGACAAGGTCTTACTCTGTCGCCTAGGCTGGAGTGCAGTGGCACAATAGCTCACTACAACCTTGAACTCCTGGGCTTGATAGATCGTCCTGTCTCAGTCTCCTGAGTACTTGGGACTATGGGTGCATGCCATTACATCTGGCTAATTTTTATGTTTATTTTGTAGAGACAGGTCTGGCTATGTTGTCCAGGCTGGTTTTAAATTCCTGGCCTGAAAGGATCCTCCCACCTCAGCCTCCCAAAGTGCTGAGATTACAGGCCACTGTGCCCAGCCACCAAATGACTGATTCTAAAGCAGCGTAACACACGCCATCTGCTGCCATGACCTGCTGCTAAGCACACACCCACACCCACACAGATATTTGTAAGTACTGCATTACTTCTTCTCAGCAGTTCTGTCTCCAAGCCTCAGTCTACTCATCTATAAAATGGGGAAAATTGTAATTCCTCTCTCCCAGAGCTGTTAGGAACAATAATGAAATAAGGGTTTGGGCACAATGGCTCATGCCTGTAATCCCAGTACTTTGGGAGGCTGATACTCAGGAGGCTGAGACAGGAGAATCACTTGAACCCAAGAGGCAGAGGTTGCAGAGACCGGAAATTGCGCCACTGCACACCAGTCTAGGCGGCAGAGGGAGACTGTCTCAAAAAAAATAGAAAACCACCTGTAAACTACAAAGACATCTACTGATTCAAAGTGTCATCTCTTGTTTCTTCCAGTCACAGCCATAAAGGTCAATGGAGCAAAAAATAAGGAGCCGGCAAAGGAGGAAGAGGTGCCTTCAACACCTCTGCTGGTCTGCACCGCCAGGGCTGTACGCATCTGCTTACAGTGGCACAGAAACCAAACCAAACAAGCCCTCTCTCTGAGGGCAGAAAATATTCCTTCAGGAAGGAAATCAACTTTAATTAATCAACTTTCTGGACAACCAAAAAGCAAATGACTTAAATCTAAAAGATCTGATTTGCTTAGAAGCTGAGCTGTGAAGTCCGGGTGCGGTGGCTCACTCCTGTAATCCCAGCACACTGGGAAGCTGAGGTGGGCAGATCACCTGAGGTCCAGAGTTCGAGACCAGTGTGGGCAACATGGTGAAACCCTGTCTCTACTAAAAACACAAAAATTAGCCAGGCCAGGTGGCAGGCACCTGTAATCCCAGGTACTCGGGAGGCTGAGACACTAGAATTGCTTGAACCCAGGAGGCAGAGGCTGCAGCAAGCCAAGATTACACTCCAGCCTGGGTGACAGAGTGAGACTCTGTCTCAGAGAAAAAAAAAAAGCTGAGCCGTGAATGTCTTACTCTGTGCTGCTGAAGAAGCCAAATTTACCAGCAAGTGAACTAAACAGAGCCCCCGCTGGCTGCCGCACCTGGCAGAGGCAATGTCTCAAGCAGGGGTGAGTGGGACTGGGCTCTGATGGAGGTGATCTGTCACTAAAAAATGAGGACGTGCTTGCCTTTTTTTTAAATCTCAGAGACTGTCTTTTGCCATCCAAAATAAGAATCTTTGCATTTGCATAGAGGCCAAGGTTTGTGAAACATTTTTCTGTATTTTCTCTGAATCTTGAATCAATACATAAAAACTTCAGACGAATTTATAGTGTTTGAGACAGCAACCTACTCTATGTCCTCCCCTCTAAAATAGTTTATAAAAGTGTTTCTTCTGATAGTAGTTTCTTTTCCTTTCTCTCCCTCCCTCACTCCACCCCCCACCCCCTTTCTTTCTTTTTGAGACAGCGTCTGGCTCACTAACTCAGGCTAGAGTACAGGGTGTGATCACAGCTCACTGCAGCCTTGACCGTCCAGGCTCAAGCGATCCTCCTGCCTCAGCCTCCCAAGCAGCTGGGACTACAGGTGGCTACCACCACATCTGGCTAGTCTTTGTATTCTTTGTAGAGATGGGGTCTTGCCACGTTGCCTGGGTTCAAACTCCTGGGCTCAAGTGATCTTCCCACCTTGGCCTTCCAAAGTGCTGGGATTACTGATGTGAGCTGCCGCACCCAGCTTGATGGTTTCTATACACAGAGCATTATTTTTGACAGGCAAACCCACTGCAGTGACCTGGTAGAATTTTGTGACAAAAACTGTCTAATACTTCTCACTAGGATTGAGACTGTTACCAACAAAAGATGGCAGAAACAAGAAGAACCACCAACACCCAGGGGCCAGGAAAAACTACAGGACAAGCAAGTATCAGTTGACAGCCAGCACAACAATGACCCCATTCTGTTTCCAGAGCAGGACATTTTTTCTTCTTCTTTTTTCAGAAGGAGTCTCACTCTGTCGCCCAGGCTGGAGTGCAGTGGCACAATCTCAGCTCACTGCAACTTCCGTCTCCCAGGTTCAAGTGATTCTCCTGCCTCAGCCTCCCAAGTAGCTGGGATTACAGGTGTGCACCACTGCGCCTGGTTAATTTTTGTTTTTGTTTTTTTTGAGACAGAGTTTCACTCTTGTTGCCCAGGCTGGAGTGTAATGGCGCAATCTCAGCTCACCGCAACCTCCAACTCCTGGGTTCAAGCGATTCTCCTGCCTCAGCCTCCCGAGTAGCTGGGATTATAGGCATGTGCCACCACGCCCGGCTAATTTTGTATTTTTAGTAGAGATGGGGTCTCACCATGTTGGCCAGGCTGGTCTTGAAATCCTGACCTCAAGTGATCCACCCACCTTGGCCTCCTAAAGTGCTGGGATTACAGGCATGAGCCACCACGGCTGGCCCCCCAAAGCAGAATTTTTTCTAACTCAATTTTGGCCATTCCAATAAATTCTTACATATTTTCTTCTGTATCCTGGCTGTCTCTTTGGTTTAAATTTTCCCTAATGTTTTATTTTGAAAATTTCAAACAGAAAAGTTAAAAGAATTATACAGCAGATATATCCACTGCTCTTTGACTCAACAATTCCTGTTGTGCTGGATTTTCTTTATCACACACCTATTGATCTATCCATACCTCTATTGGTATGCACTGTATTATGTCTTCCCAGCAGTCCTGTTTCCAAGCCTCATTTTCCTCATCTATAAAATGGGGAAAATTATGATTCCTCCCTTCCAGAGCTCTACTCATACATCTATTCCTCCACTAATTCATCATTTTTTTGTTTGTTTGTTTTGGTGCATTTCAAAGTAAGCTGCAGACATCGGGAAGTTCCATTCTTGAACATTCAAGCATGCACGTTATTAAATAGGGTTTCATATTTGTGTATGCTTTTCTTCTTCCTTTTAAAGTAATAGCTGGCCGGGCATGGTGGCTCACGCCTGTAATCCCAGCACTTTGGGAGGCCGAGGCAGGTGGATCACTTGAGGTCAGGAGTTCAAGACCAGCCTGGCCAACATACTGAAACCCCATCTCTACTAAAAATACAAAAAATTAGCCAGGCATGGGGGTTGTGCCTATAGTCCCAGCTACTCAGGAAGCTGAGGCAGGAGAACCACTTGAAACTGGGAGGTGGAGGTTGCAGTGAGCCAAGATCACCCCACTGCTCTCAGCCTGGGCAACAAGAGCAAAACTCCATCTCAAAATAATAAATAAAGTTAGTATCTACACAGAACCAAATGCCCAGATCTCGAGTGTACAGTTTGATCACCCCAGAAAGTCCCCTCATACGTCTTTTCCCAGTCAACCGTGACCCCAACCAGATAACCAGTTTTTTTTTCTCACACAAACTAATTGTACCTGCTCTAAAACGTCATATAAATGAAATTACACAATATGGTCTCTTTCGTGCAAGGCTTCTTTTACTCACCATGTTTAAAGATTCATCCCAGTTGCTGTACAGATCAGTAGTTTGTTCCTTTTTATGGCTAAATATTACAATATTTTATGATTATTTCTTGGTGTTATTTTTTTTTTCCTTTTTTTGAGATGGAGTTTCACTCTGTCGCCCAGGCTGGCATGCAATGGTGCAATCTAGGCTCACTGCAACCTCCACCTCCCACGTTCCAGCAATTCTCCTGCCTCAGCCTCCTAAGTAGCTGGGACTACAGTTGCCCACCACCACGCCCAGCTAATTTCTGTATTTTTAGTAGAGACGGGGTTTTGTATTTTTAGTAGAGACTCTGCATTTTGTGCTGTCCGTAGAAGGCAGACCTCACACCAGCCACAACTAGCAGTATCTATTCTTCCTCAAACGCTTTTTTCTTTTCTTTTCTCTCTTTTTTTTTTTTTTTGAGATGGAGTTTCGCTCTTGTTGCCCAGGCTGGAGTGCAATGGCACGATCTTGGCTCACTGCAACCTCCATCTCTTGGGTTCAAGAGATTCTCCTGCCTCAGCCTCCTGAGTAGCTGGGATTACAAGCATGCACCTGGCTAATTTTGTATTTTTAGTAGAGACAGAGTTTCTCCATGTTGGTCAGGCTGGTCTCAAACTCCCGACCTCAGGTGATCCCCTGCCTCGGCCTTCCAAAGTGCTGGGATTACAGGCCTGAGCCACCACGCCCAGCCTCTTCAAATGCTTTTTTCTAAAGAAAGTACACGCACACTGCCCAAACATGGGGGCTCAGCCAGCCTTCTGGCTCACTGACCTTCTCAGCCATGGCATCCATGTAGTCCTGTCGCTGATATTCTCTCCGGCGCAGATGTCTGTACACGTGGAACTCTCCACTGCCGGCCCCAGCACTTGAACCTGTAGCCAGAACAGTCCACAGTTCTAGATGAAATTCAGTTACCAACACAGGTCACCCTTAATCGAGGGTGACTAAAGAAACAAAAAGTGGAAGTCGTGGAAGGGACCATGCCTTCCTTTCTCCCCACTGTATCCAGAACTGGCCCAGTACCTGGCATATTGTAGATGTCGTGAATTATTTGTTCTATGAATGTTGAATGTAAAGTCACTAAAAATCCCACTCAAATGCAGTATCAGGAGGGGCAGACTGTGGTTAAGTGACTTTCTCACCTCCTCCATGATTTCACATTTGACACGCTAAATTTCTAGTGAGTTGAAAAGACATCCATGATACATTAAATGAAATAAAGGTGCTTACAAAGTTGTATATGTAGAACAATCATATTTTTGTAAAAGTGTTTTTTCTTCAGCTTTTTTCTTTTTTTTGAGACAGGGCCTTGCTCTGTCACCCAAGATGGAGGGCAGTGGCGCAATCACAGCTCATTGGAGCCTCAACCTCCTGGGCTCAAGCCATCCTCCTGCCTCAGCTTCCCAAGTAGCTGGGACCAGAGGCATGCACCACTATGCCTGGCTAATTTTTACATTTTTAGTAGAGATGAGGTCTTCCTGTGTTGCCCAGGCTGGTCTCAAACTCGAGCAATTCTCCTGTCTCGGCCTCCCAAAGTGCTGGGATTACAGGCACGAGCCACCGTGCCTGGCCTATGTTGCTTTTTAAAGACATAATGCTATTGCACATTAAACTACAGTAGAGTATAAAGAAAACTTGTATGTGCAGTGGGAAACTAAAGAATTTACATGATTCCCTTTATTGCGACATTCACTTTAACTAGGTTGCCTGGAACTAAACCCGCACCATCTCCATGGTAAGCCTGTAGATATGTTAATTTATGATCCAACAAAATAATAAAACTATTTTTATTTACAAAAAAACCACAATGCGTTATTAAGAATAATGCAGGAGATGGCCGGGCACTGTGGTTCACAGCTGTAATCCTAGCATTTTGGGAGGCTGAGGCGGGCGGATCACCTGAGGTCAGGAGTTCAAGACCAGCCTGGCCAACATAGTGAAACCCAGTCTCTACTAAAAATAAAACAATCAGCCAGGCATGGTGGCACGGGCCTGTAGTCCTAGCTACTCAGGAGGCTAAGGCAGGAGAATCGCTTGAACCCGGAAGGCGGAGGTTGCAGTGAGCCGAGATGGTGTCACTGCACTACAGCCTGGGTGACAGAGTGAGACTCTGTCTCCAAAAGAAAAACAAAAACAAAAACAAAAACAAAAAAAACCGCAATACTGCAGGAGAAAATTCTATAGTGCCAAACCATAAGCAACTATAGCCCTTAAGCTAAATTTACCAATGTCAAATGAAAAACAAATAAAAGCAACTATATCCCCGTCATTGTAAAAGCAAAACACGAACATGTGAACACACATTTCCCCTCATCAGAGATTTAACAAATACCAACTACAGGATTTTTATAGCTACCTTTTTTTTTTCTTTTTGAGACAGAATGTCGCTCTGTTGCCCAGGATGGAGTGCAGTGGCGCCATCTCGGCTCACTGCAAGCTCCGCCTCCTGGGTTCACGCCATTCTCCTGCCTCAGCCTCCCAAGTAGCTGGGACTACAGGTGCCTGCCACCACGCCCGGCTAATTTTTTTTGTATTTTTAGTAGAGACGGGGTTTCACCGTGTTAGCCAGGATGGTCTCGATCTCCTGACCTCATGATCCGCCCGCCTCGGCCTCCCAAAGTGCTGGGATTAGAGGCATGAGCCACCACGCCCAGCCTATAGCTACCTTAAAAAATTATATTTACACACACACACACACACACACACACACACAGCCATTACCCATGACATCTCGGACAAATTCTGGGGGAGGTCGAGGTGCCCATTCACTCATTTTCTCTGGAATTGGAACTGCTTTGTCCTGCAACATTTAAACATGAAAGCATTTAAGTATAAACCTGTTGACAAAATTATATATCTCCCTCTCTTTTTTTAGAGACAGGTTCTTGCTCTGTTCCTCAGGCTGGAGTGCAGTGGTGCAATCAGAGCTCACTGCAGCCTTGAACTCCTGGGCTCAAGTGATCCTCCCGGTTCAGTCTCCAGAATAGTTAGGACTCTCAGGCGTACACCACCACACCAGGCAATTTTTTTATTTTTGTAAAGACAGGGACCCACTATGTTGCCCAGGCTGGTCTTGAACTCCTTCCTGGCCTCGGACCATCCTCCCGCCTGGCCTCCCAAAGCGCTGAAATTACAGGCAGGGGCCACAGCACCCAGCCCAAGTTACATCTCTTAAGACCAAAGAATTTTAATTGACTAATGAAGCAGGACTGCTTTGCTACTTGGACACAGAGCTGATTTTGTGTTCTTCCCTCTGTCGTGGCTTTTTTCATCCTATGTACTCTTGGGTATAACACAGTCCACACCTTCCCAGGGCTACGCTTTCCAGAGCAGAACTGAAAAACCTAAGCCATAGTTTCCAGCTAGAAACCGCCAACTTTAACACTACTAGATAAGAAGAGTCAAGCTTTTCTAGTTAAAGGTATAAAGGACGTTCCCGTTCAATTGTTTTTATGATTGAGGGGACCGAGGCCCAGAGGGGGTGTGAGCGGGAGAGGAGTGACCAGCTCCAAACGTCTCGGCCACTGTCTCTCTAACGATCAGTGTTGTTTAGAGTATACCCTTTTGCTAACCCACAAATTCTACCTTTTCAGTCTAACGCTTTTTGTTCACAGAAAGTTAAACCAGAAGGGGTCTTGGAGCACGGGAAGCCGCTCCACCGTGCTTTGATTCAAGCTGGGCTCTCACACAAGGACAGACGGGAAGTTCACTATCTCCGGGACAGCCTCCTTCTCCTCCTCCTCCCCAAAGACTGCTCTTGGAGGGTCGGATACTGAGTTTCTGAGTTTGGAGGCGGGGAAGGTGGACCTGCGGGAACCCTGAAGCGCTGCAGAGGAAGGGGGTGGGCCTCGGACGGGCCGTGGAGCCTGGGCCTCGTCTCACCGGGTTCTTCATGAGCCGCTCCAGCTTGAGCTTCTGCTCCTCCGCCGCATTCTTGGGGATGACGAGCGTCTGCGGCTCTTTCTTGGGCCTCGGTGGTCGCACCGAGGAGGCGGCTGGGCTAGCCATGGCAGCCTTCCAGTTTCACAAGCGAGCGGCGGCGTCGGCGCGCAAGTATGACGACACAGCCGCGCGCCGGCGACGCATACGCAGTCTCCGCAGAGGGGAACGGAGGCGGGGTTGCAAGGCGCAAGCAGCCTGCTGAATATTCATGAGCCTGAGGCTGGCGTGGGTTATTGTGTTCAAAGCTGCGGGGTTTCATTTCCTGTTCCTGAACAACAAATCAGTGCAGCTAGATGCTCACGTCCCTGAAGGGGAGGTGGCCCTCCGTGCCTGAGTAGCCTGGCCCTAGCCGACCTCTCCAGTCCCCGCGGGCGTCTTCGTGCCACCGAGCAGCCCCGCTGATGCTCTCGGCACCTCCTCCCCGTCGGCTCTCCTCGCCTCCCGGCTTTGTCCGGGCACTTCCTTGGATCTGGTGCCCCCTCCTCCATTTCTGACAATCTCCTGTTTACATAAGACAGCGCAAACATGTCACTGAGCTTCCTGAAGACTGGGACATTCCTCCTTTGTCCGCCTTGAATTACTCTATACCTGGCCCCCCGCAAATACACCTCTGCCAATGAATGACCGTCTCGTAGTGTGAGGCACAGTAATAAACCTAAGGAACCATGTCTGCTCATTCTGCTTGCGAGCAGGATTTCACAAAGGCCGTGACTCGGTGACTGAGCGCAGCCCTCTCCAATAACGCCCTGAACAATAAGCTGGGAAGAGCGAGAGAGAACACAGGTTTCCACCTCTCTTGCCTGAACACTGCATTTTTAGAAAAGACAAGTTCAATGATCCTAGCCCCTGCCTCTTCCTGTACATAATCTCTGACGGGATTAATGATTATGCTTCTATAACTTTTTTTTTTTTTTTAGAGACAGGGTCTCGCTTGGTTGCCCAGGCTGGAGTGCAGGGGCTCGATCATAGGTCACTGCTGCCTTGAACTCCCGGGTTCAGGCACTCCTCCCACCTCAGCCTCCTGAGTAGCTGAGACTACAGGCGCATGCCACCACACCCAGTTAATTTTTTATTTTTATTTTTTGCAGAGACAAGGTGTTGCTGTGATGCCCAGGCTGGTCTTGAACTCCTGGGCTCAAGCGATCCTCCTGCCTGGGCCTCCGAAAGTGCTGAAATTATAGGTGTTAAGTCACCATGCCCAGCCAAGCCTCTGTAATCTGTAACTAGATAATACCCTCACACACAGCCTTGATGAAATTTTGCTCTATTGTTAACTTCTGAGCACATTAGATATAACTTTTTTTTTTTTTTTTTGAGACAGAGTCTCACTCTGTCCCCCAGGCTAGAGCTCAGTGATGCAATCTCGGCTGACTGCAGCCTCTGCCTCCCAGGTTCAAGTGATCCTCCTGCTTCAGTCTCCTGAGTAGCTGGGAATACAGGTGCACGCCACCACGCCTGGCTAATTATTGTATTTTTAGTAGAGATGGAGTTTCACCATGTTGGCCAGGCTTGTCTCGAACTCCTGACATCAGGTGATCCACCCGCCTCAGCCTCCCAAAGTGCTGGGATTATAGGCATGAGCCACCACGCCCAGCTTGATATAACTTCTGAGCACATGCAGGGCACCACCAACTGTATATAAATGTTTTTATATAAACTGTATATAAATATAAATATATAAATGTGTGCTGAAACTCTGTTTTGGAGCAGTTTAACAAACTCTGTGAAAGACTTTCCCTGGTTACAGTCCTCAGTAAGATTGCAAAAAACCAACCTTAATTTTTTAAAAGCCTGATTTTTTGTTTAGTTGACATTGAGAAACAGAAAAGGCCCGGCATGGTGGCTCACACGTGTAATCCCAACGTTTTGGGAGGCCGAGATGGGCAGATCACTTGAAGTCAGGAGTTTGAGACCAGCATGGCCAACATGGTGAAACCCCATCTCTATTAAAAATACAAAAATTAGCCAGGTGTGGTGGTGTGTGCCTGTAATCCCAGCTATTCAGGAGGCTGAGACAGGAGAATAGCTTGAAACTGGGAGATGGAGGTTGCTGTGAGCCAAGATCGTGCCACTGCACTCCAGCCTGGGTGACAGAGCAAGACTCTGTGTCTAAAAAAAAGAAAAAGAAAAAGAAAAAAAAATTAGAGAGAGAAAGAGAAAGAGAAAAGCTGTTGCTCACATACATTTGGTGTTACAGACCATAGGCTGTTTGGCTCCCCTTGTAATGAAACTTAACAGGGATCCAAGCAGATTTCCCAGACAAGGCATTTATTTCAGAGCTTGTGCTTGAGTGCAGGGAAGACAATGGAAGCAGAAGTGAAGGGATCCTCCAGCTGACTTGTGGAAGAGCCAGTGGGGAATTTTTTTTTTTTTTGTGAGACAGAGTGTTGCTCTGTCGCCAGGCTGGAGTGCAGTGGTGCGAACTCAGCTCACTGCACCTCCGTTTCCCAGGTTCAAGCAATTCTCCTGCCTCAGCCTCCCGAGTAGCTGGGACTACAGGTGCACGCCACCACGCCCGGCTAATTTTTTGTCTTTTAGTAGAGACAGGGTTTCACCATGTTGGCCAGGATGGTCTCAATCTCCTGACCTCATGGTTCGCCCGCCTCGGCCTCCCAAAGTGCTGGGATTACAGGCATAAGCCACTGCGCCTGGCTGGGAATTTTTTTTATTAGGCAAAGCATGGGAATTGACATCAGGGGTAGGGTATGCAGGCTGGGCTGGGCAAAGCACGTGAGGGTATGCAGGTCGCATATCTGGTTTTGAGGGTATGCAGGTCGCATATCTGGTTGCGATGGTTATCTTAAGTAATGAGTCACCTGGTAGTCTGGCTGGTGGCAACAAGGGTGTCAATCAATTGTTCAGCATTCCTTCCCGAGGTGGGACACTCCGCAAGCTTCATTTGATATTTGGATCTCCTAAGGCCAGTCTCTGGAATTCTTTTTTTTTTTTTTTTTTTTTTGAGACAGTTTCGTTCTTTATTTTCTTTGTATGACTAAAGCCTCGGGGTTAGCAGCTATATTGTCAGCGAGGCAATGGTGTGGGTTTTGTGATCAGTGGGACAAAAGAAGGAAAAAGGGAAAGGATGTGAAGGAGAAGCTCTGTCCAGTTCCTGTTCTGTTTCCCTGGGAGCTGGACAGACATTCACAGCTGGGTCTTGGTGTTCTCTTGTCAAACAAAAGTAATTTCCAGGACACCAACATCACACAAGACCATTCCGTGACCACAAAAACCTGGTGTGGTGGCTCATGCCTGTAATCCCAGCACTTTGGGAGGCCGAGGTGGGCAGATCACCTGAGGTCAGGAGTTTGAGACCAGCCTGGCCAACATGGTGAAACCCCGTCTCTACTAGAAATACAAAAAATAGCCAGGCGTGGTGGTGCACACCTGTAATCCCAGCTACTCGGGAGGCTGAGGCTGGAGAATTGCTTGAACCTGGGAGGCAGAGGTTGCAGTGAGCTAAGATTACGCCTTTGCACTCCAGCCTGGGCGACAGAGCAAGACTCTGTCTCAAAATAAATAAATAAATAAAAATAAAAATAAAAGAAACATTTGCTGGAGGGACATGGGCTCCTAGGGACAGGGTCGCCCTCCCACTGAGTCCCCAAGAGGATGAACAGGTGGACAAGTGGATGGTACCTGGAGGGTGAAGTGTTTGTTCTCCAAAGGTCATTCCTGGCTGCCCAATAGTGGGTGGTTTTCTAGGAGCTCAGGGTGGAATTAAGGGTCCTTAGTGGCCCAGGTCTGTCACTGGAACCTGGGGAGGGCTTGGCCTGGCTGGGGCCATGCACACAAACTCACCCAGGATCACACACATTAGCAACCAGTACCTCACTTTTCTCCAAACACTCCACAGAACGAAGGTTTTTGTCTACAAAACAAAGCATCTTTTCCTCCTTGGAGAACTCCCATACAGGCTTCTCAACTTGGCCAAAATGCTACCTCCTCCAAGAAGCCTTCTCAGATTGCCTCTCCCACCCCTCACTTCCAGGAAGTGAATTGCTCCCTTCTTGGTGCTCTCCCAGCTCTGAATCCCAATAACTGGTGAAGTAGTTACCACTATGTCCTCACCATCTGTGTCCCCATGGGCTTGGCAGTGTGGTGGGCTGGGCCAGAATCCCAGCATCTAACCCTGGCATGGTGTAGAGTGGGTACTTCCAGGATGCTTGGAGAATAAAGGAATGAAAACATATATGAAGACTGAATAGACGTGTCAGTGAGATGAGCAAGTGATGGATGAATGAATGAATAAGGACATTAAGAGAAAGAATGAAGACTCAATCAATAAAAGGACACTTAATAAATGAACATGTGAGGCCACGGACTATCAGAAAGCCACAGAGCCAGGAGTGCGGGGCAGTGTCTGTCCGGTTGGTAAAGGTCTCCCTGGCACCCCCAGCCTCAGTGTCTGTCACAGAGCTGGTGCTTGGCAGATATCTGCTGGATGAAAGTTAAGCGAATGAATGGAGTGAAGGAATGCATGAAGGCAAGAGAGAGTTAAGGCATGTGGGTGTGAAGGAGCTGGTAATAACTTCAGTGTCTAAGTCTGGTCTAAATTGTGGACATATTTATCAGCAGATATATGTTTTTCAATAGACGGGGTCTCACTCTGTCACCAGGCTGGAGTGCGGTGGTGCCAGTATAGCTAACTGCAGCCTCGAACTCCTGGGCTCAAGGGATCCTCCTGACTCAGTGTCCAGAAAAGCTAGGGCTACAGGCAGGTACCACTATGCCCAGCTAATTTTTCACATTTTTTGTAGACATGGGGTATTGCTATGTTTCCCAGGCTGACCTCAAGCAATTCTTCAGCCTTGGACTCCTGAGTAGCTATGACAACAGGCTGGTGCCACCACACTCAGCTAACTTTTTATTTTTATTTTTTGAGAGGGAGTTTCTCTCTTGTCACCCAGGCTGGAGTGCAATGGCGCGATCTCGGCTCACTGCAACCTCTGCCTCCCAGGTTCCAGCGATTCTCCTGCCTCAGCCTCCTGAGTAGCTGGGATTACAGGCACCCGCCACCATGCCCGGCTAATTTTTGTATTTTTAGTAGAGACAGGGTTTCGTCATGTTGGCCAGGCTGGCCCCGAACTCCTGATCTCAGGTGATCCACCCGCCTCAGCTTCCCAAAGTGCTGGGATTACAGGCGTGAGCCACCTTGCCCAGCCTAATATTTTATTTATTTATTTATTTATTTATTTATTTATTTATTTATTTGGTAGAGCTGGAGTCTTGCTATGTTGCCCAGGCTATCATCCTGATTCTACTGAAATGGAACTGAGGCCCAGAGGAGAAAGCAATTGGCTCAGGGCCACACAGACTCAAACCCAGCAGTCTAGCCCTGGGTCTGTGACAGCCTGAGTGATTATGTGACTCACACAGATGGGACAGGGCCCCAGCAGACCCTGGCGGGAACCCTGGTGGCACCCTCCTAGGTGGCACCTTCCTGGTGGCACCTTCCTGGGGCTGAGGTCAGATTTGAGGTCCGGCTCCCTGGGATGAAAGGCCGCCTCACAGATGCCCACAAGTCTCACACCCAGGGTGATGTCCCTTCTGCCACCAGAGGGCAGCAAATCCCCACCCAGGTCCCGCCACTAGGAGCCTTAATCCACCTTTCCTGAGATCCAGAACTGGGCACCCAGGGAGCAAGGTCTACTGGCTGGAAGATACCAGTGCGTTGCAGACTGGCAGACTGGGTGCCACCTACCCTGGGCTTGCACAAGCAACCTAACCTCTCTAAGGCTGTTTCCTTATGTGCAAAATTGGTACAAGCGAATCTACCTTGTCGCTGGCACATGGGTAAAATGACGTTTGGACATGCAGTGTCCAGCAGAGCCTGACATTCAATAACATGGCTCACGCCTGTAATACCAGCACTTTGGGAGGCTGAGGCAGGTGGATGATCTGAGGTCAGGAGTTCGAGACCAGCCTGGCCAACATGGTGAAACTCCGTCTCTACTAAAAATACAAAAAAAATTAGCCGGGCGTGTGGGGTGGGGGGAGCTGCCTGTAATCCCACCTACTCGGGAGGCTGAGGCAGGAGAATTGCTTGAGCCCAGGAGGCGGAGGCTGTACTGAGCCAAAATCGCACCTCTGCACTCCAGCCTGGGAGACAGAGAGAGACTCTGTCTGAAAAAAAAAAAAAAAAATAGGTGACCACACTTGTCCTAGTTTGATCCTAGGACTGAAGGGTTTCCCAGAAAGTGGGACCTTCAGTGCTAAAACCAGGAGAATCTTGGGCAAGCCAGGATGGTTGATTACCCTAGACGAGTGGGTACTCCTATCTCAATTCTTTGAGTAGTGGTTGATACTTTAAGTACTAAAACAGCAGGGTTTTTTTTCTTTTTTCTTTTTTTCTTTTCTTTTCTTTTTTTTTTTGAGACAGAGTTTCACTCTCGTTACCCAGGCTGGTCTCAAACTAGAGAAATGAAAATATATGTCCACTGACTGACCTGTATGCAAATACAAACAGTAGCTTGATTCATAATTGCCAAAAACTGGAAACAACCCATATGTCCATCAAATTGAGATCTAGACCTACAGGGAAATACTACTTAGCAATAAAAGGAAGGAGCTTTTGCTGAGTGCGGTGGCTCATGACTGTAATCCCAGCACTTTAGGAGGCTGAAGAGGGAGGATCACTTGAGGCCGGGAGTTCAAGACCAGCCTGGCCAACAAGATGAAAGCCTATCTCTACTAAAAATACAAAAATTAGCTGGGCATGGTGGTGTGCACCTGTAATCTCAGGTACTTGGAAGGCTGAGGCAGGAGGATTGCTTGAACCCAGGAGGCGGAGGTTGCAGTGAGTCGGATTAAGAAGGTGGATTAAGATATCATACCACTGCACTCAGCCTGGGCGACAGTGAGACCCCATCTCAAAAAAAAAGGGGACCAGGTGTGGTGGCTCATGCCTGTAATCCCAGCACTTTTGGAGGCCGAGGCGGGCAGATCACGAGGTCAGGAGATCAAGACCATCCTGGCTAACAGGGTGAAACCCAGTCTCTACTAAAAATACAAAAAAATTAGCCAGGTGTGGTGGTGTGCACCAATAGTCCCAGCTATTCAGGAGGCTGAGGCAGGAGAATGGCGTGAACCCGGGAGGCGGAGCTTGCAGTGAGCCGAGCTCGTGCCACTGCACTCCAGCCTGGGCGACAGAGTGAGACTCCATCTCAAAAAAAAAAAAAAGAAAAAGAAAAAAGAAAAAGGAAGGAAGGACCTCTTGAGGCTTGCAATAACGTGGATGGATCTCAGATGCATTATGTTTAGTGAGTGAAGTCAGATCTATTAATAGAAGGCCACAACCTGAATGGTTCCATTTACTTGATGTTCTGGAAAAGCCAAAATGATAGGGATGGAAAACAGATCAGCAGTTGCCATGGGCCAAGTAGGAGGACGGGACTGACCTGGGAGGGCCTCAGGGAACTTTCTTGGGTAATAGATATTTTTTCCCCTCCCTCCCTCCCTCCCTCCCTTCCTCCCTTCCTACCTTCTTTCCTTCTTTTGAGATGGTGTCTCACTCTGTTGCCTAGACTGGAGCGCAGTGGCGTGACCATAGCCCATTGCAGCCTCAAACTCCTGGGCTTCAGTGATCCTCCTGCCACAGCCTCCTGAATAGCTGGGACTATTGGTGCACACCACCACACCTGGCTATTTTTACTTTATTATTATTATTATTTTTGTAGAGATGATGTCTTGCTGTATTGCCCAGGCTGGTCTCAAACTCCTGGCTTCCAGTGATCCTTCTATCCCCAGAATCCCAAAGCACTGGGATTATAGGCATGATCCACTGCACCTGGCCTCTCTGCATAATATTTGGATGACAAAAATGTTCTATATCTGAATTGTGGTGGCAGCTACACAACCATCCACATTTATCAAACTTATTTAACCATATACTTCTATTTATTTATTCATAGACAGAGTTTCACTCTGTCGCCCACACTGGAGTGCAGTGTCTCGATCTCTGCTCACTGTAACTTCTGCCTCTCAGCCTCAAGCAATCCTCCCATCTCAGCTTCCCGAGTAGCTGGGACTACAGGCACGCACCACCATGTGCAGCTAATTTTTGTATTTTTTGGTTTTGTTTTTTTGTAGAGATGGGGGTCTCACTATGTTGCCCAAGCTGGTCTCAAACCAGAGTCCTGGGATTACAGGTGTGAGCCACTGTGCCTGGACTTGAACCATATACTTTAAAAGGGTGGATTTAATCATATGAACATTGTACCTCAATAAACTTGACCTAATTTACAGTGTGGATTTGCCAGGTTGCAGGGGAGCTAACCCTCCATTGTCTGAGTTGCTTTCGTGAGGAGTTCAGCCTTTAGCTCCTTGTGCCCTCTGAGGCAGCTCGGGCCTGTAAATCTGCCCTGCTCACCATAAGGCCAAGGCTTGGGGTGACAGGTTTTTGAAAACCCAGAGGCCAATGTGGTTGAAGCCCCCACACTTCTTTTTATTTATTGGTTTACTTATTATTATTATTTTTGAGACAGAGTCTCGCTGTGTCATCCAGGCTGGAGGGCAGTGGGGCAATCATAACTCACTGCAGCCTCAACCTCCTGGGCTCAAGTGAACCTCCCAACTCAGCCTCCTGAGTAGCTGGGACTACAGGAGCACATCACCACGCCTGGCTAATTTTTATTTTATTTTATTTTATTTATTTTTTTGAGACGGAGTCTCGCTGTCGCCCAGGCTGGAGTACAGTGGCGCAATCTCAGCTCACTGCAAGCTCTGCCTCCTGGGTTCACGCCATTCTCCTGCCTCAACCTCCTGAGTAGCTGGGACTACAGGCGCCCACCACCACGCCCAGCTAATTTTTTTGTATTTTCAGTAGAGACGGGGTTTCACCGTGTTAGCCAGGATGGTCTCAATCTCCTGACCTCGTGATCCGCCCGCCTCGGCCTCTCAAAGTGCTGGGATTACAGGCATGAGCCACCGCGCCCGGCCTACGCCTGGCTAATTTTTAAATTTTCTGTAGAGATGGTGTCTTGCTCTGTTGTCCAGGCTGGTCTCGAACCCCTGAGCTCATGTGATCCTCCTGCCTCAGCCTCCAAAAGTGATTATCACACCACTGCCCTCCAGCTTGGGTGACAGAGTGAGCCCTTGTCTCAAAAAACAAAAAAACAAAACAAAAAAGATAGCTTCTCTATGGAGGTCACACAGTGTCTGTCCTAAGCCATTCCAGTGATTGTGCAATTGGTCCATCAGCAGAATGGCCACGCGCAGGACTGAAGGCTACACATGGGCACGATGGCGTGAGCTCACTCTCAGCAAGGCTGATATATTTACTGCTGTTACTGAATGCCTGAACTGAATGACCCATGATACAGTGCGATCCTTTGAAGAGCCCAGTCAGCCTCTTGGGGGTAAGTTGATTACACTGGCCGCCTTTCATCCCAGAGGGGGGCATTGATTTGTCTTACTCTAATTGGTACTACACCAGAAATGGACTGGCCTTTTCTATCTGCAGTACCTCTGCCAGCACCATCATTCAAGGGCTTGTAAAATGCATCTGACTTGTGGGGAAGGGATCTCCTATGTCATCTCTTCAGACCAAGGGGTCATTTAGGGCAAAGAAGATGCAGCATGGCCAGGTGCGGTGGCACATGCCTATAATCCCAACGCTTTGGGAGGCTGAGGCAGGTGGATCACCTGAGGTCAGGAGTTCAAGGCCAGCCTGGCCAACATGACGAAATCCCGTCTCTACTAAAAATACAAAAAAAAACAAAAGAAAAAAATTAGCTGGGTGTGGTGGCACACGTCTGTGCTCTCAGCTACTGGGGAAGCTGAGGCAGGAGAATCGCTTGAACCCAGGAGATGGAGGTTGTAGTGAGCTGAGATCGCACCACTGCACTCCAGCCTGGGCGATAGAGCGAGACTCAGTCTCAAATACAAACAAACAAAACTTAACAACTGGCCAGACATGGTGTCCCAGCTACTAGAGAGACTGAGACAGGAGGATGGCTTGAGTCCAGGGGTTCAAGATCAGCCTGGGCAATATAGCAAGACTTCCATCTCTATCAAAAAAAAAGAAAAAGTAAAAAAACTAACTGGCTTCAGAGGGGAAGGGGATAAAACTGTGATTGGTAGCATTTGCCTATCATACTATTATATAAATATTCCCATAGTGGTCAATGTCAAGCTACTAGCGCGATATCAGCTGGTTCACAAAAGTCTTGAAATTTTAAAAATTGTTTCTCATGAGAGGATACAAGCCAGCTTCATCATGTCACTGTGACCATATATGTCCATAGATTAAGTTGTTCAAATCTTCTATATCCTTACTAATTATTTGTCTAACTATTTTATCAGTTTCTGTTGAAAAGTATGTTAAAATTTCCCACTATTTTTCGTTTAGCTATTTAGTCTTATAGAGTTGTTGATTTTTGCTTTATGTATTTTAAGACAATATTACTAGGTACATGCAAATTTAGAATTCTTTTATCTTCCTGGTGAATTTAACTTTTTATTACAGTGAAGAGTTACTGTTTATCTTGAGGAATAATTTTTTTTAACCTTTAAACCTTGATATTTATTTTTAATATAGCATTATATTAACTGCCTCTGGAGAGAATTTACCTTGGCTTCTGCCAGGATATACATTGCTAGCGCTTGAGAGTGCCAACAATCTATGAATCTATGATTACTTTTATTCAGTTTCAGGAACGGAGATGATTAGAAGCTGGACTTTAGTCCACAGAAGGGCTGGTCTATTTCTTTCTTTTCTATTTTTTTTTCTTTTTTGAGACAGAGTGTCGTTCTGTCACCTAGGCTGGAGTGCAGTGGTGTGATCTCGGCTCACTGCAACCTCCGCCTCCTGGGTTCAAGGAATTCTTGTGACACCTCAGCCTCCCAAGTAGCTGGGACAACAGGTGTGCACCACCATGCCCGGCTAATTTTTGTATTTTTAGTAGAGACAGGGTTTCACCATGCTGGCCAGGCTGGTCTGGAACTCCTGACCTCAAGTGATCTGCCCGCCTTGGCCTCCCAAAGTGCTGGGATTATGGGTGTGAGCCACTGTGCCTGGCTTTCTGGTCTATTTCTGATTCCTAGGATGCAGCATTTTTTTTGGTTTCACTCCAAAGTGCAGAGACTTTAATAGGGCCCCTTGCCTTGGCAGGTCCTGTATTCAAATAATTGTTCCCTAGCCCAACAAGGCTGTTGAAAGCCTTCTCAGCCTTTTAGACATTCATCCACCTCTTCCAAATTGGCAGACAACTCCAGGAAAAAGTAGTTTGAAATGCTGGGCTCACCTCTCCAGATTTTTTGTTCTTCTCCCAGGCTGTAGCCTCATCATTCTTCACTACCTCCTCAACATTACAATGGCTTAAGATTTTAAAAAATACATTTGACCAGCTTTCCTATCTTACTCACTGAGTGGGTTGGTTGGAGATACTTAATGTGCCATTATAGGGAGTGGAGGTCTTAGTAGACATTTTCTTTTCTTTTTTGAGACAGGGTCTCTCTCTGTCACCCAGGCTGGAGTGCAATGGTGCGATTATAGCTCACTGCAGCCTCAACCTCCCGGGCTCAAGCGATCTGCCCACCATGGCCTCCCAAAGTGCTGGGATTACAGGCAAGAGCCACCATGCCCGGCTGATACTATTTTTTTGGAAATGGAGTTTCACTCTTGTTGCCCAGGCTGGTGTACAATGGCGTGATCTCGGCTCACTGCAACCTCCACCTCCCCGGTTCAAGCGATTCTCCTGCCTCAGCCTCCCGAGTAGCTGGGATTACAGGCGCCCGCCACCATGCCTGGCTAATTTTTGTATTTTTAGTAGAGATGGGGTTTCACCATGTTGGCCAGGCTGGTCTCGAACTCCTGACCTCAGGTGATCTGCCCACCTCGGCCTCCCAAAGTGCTGAGATTACAGGCGTGAGCCACTGCACCTGGCCCTTACTGAGCTTTGAATCCAGTAGGTGCATTTTTGGCCCTATTGGAGCAGACAACCTACTGTCATTTGTGGAAATTAGCAAGCTTGTACACAAACAATGTACAAATACAGGCTGGTTAAGAGAGGTTGGAAATATGACTCAGGACTAATCATTAAGTAAGAGAATATTACACAGGTAGTAGCCTTCCCTGTCATACACCTTGCTTTCAAATTTATTTTCAGTCAGCACCTAATTTTTTTTTTGTTTTTTTTTTTGAGATGGAGTCACCCTGTCGCTCAGGCTAGAGTACAGTGGTGCGATCTCGGCTCACTGCACCCTCCCCCTCGTGCGTCCAAGTGATTCTCCTGCCTCAGCCTCCTGAGTAGCTGGGATTACAGGTGCCCACGACCAAGCCCAGCTAATTTTTGTGTTTCAGTAGAGATGGAGTTTCATCATGTTGTCCTCTCAAACTCCTGACCTCAAGTGATCTACCCGCCTTGCCCTTCCAAAGTGCTGGGATTACAGGTGTGAGCCACCGTGCCCAGCCAGCACCCAATAATTTAATTGGCATACTGAACCCTGTTCCACCCGGAAGTCAGTGGACTTCACATTTCTCTGCTGTTTGATCTTAAATAAGAGCAACAGACTAGGAGAGGTGAGAAAGTGCTGATTAAGCCCGAGGGTAAATAGGAGTTAAGCAAACAAGAGAAGAGGAAAGAGCGATGCAGATAGAGGGAGCAGCACATGTGAAGATCCTGTGGTCGGACCCAGCGTGATGTTTTAGGAACTCCTCGGACAGTGTAGCTAGAGTACAGAGCAAAGGAGGAAATTGGGTGAGGTAAGGTAGCCAGGGGCCAAATGATACAAGATGTCTGTGAAGCCATGTTAAATATTTGACGTTTTATCCTAAGCACCTAGGAGGTTAGCAAGGGGGAGACAGTGACAATATCACTCGTCGCCCAGGCTGGAGTGCAGTGGCATGATCTCTGCTCACTGCAACCTCCGCCTCCCAAGTTCAAGCGATTCTCCTGCCTCAGCCTCCCGAGTAGCTGGGATTATAGGCACTCACACCACACCTGGCTAATTTTTGTACTTTTAGTAGAGACGGGGTTTCACCATGTTGGCCAGGCTGATCTCAAACTCCTGACCTCAAGTGATTCACCTCCCTGGGCCTCCCAAAGTGCTGGGATTACAGGCGTGAGCCACCGCGCCCGGCCTTGTTTTAAGCATTTGGGGATCAATTGCAGGGACCTATTGGACTATGGGGAAAATGAGATGGTTCTACTCCTGTATTTTAAAGTCTTCCTTTTCCTTTTGGTTTCTTTAGTTTGTAGTTAAGGCTTTGCAGACTTGCATCCCATAATGTCTTCTTTTCTTTCATTTTTTTTATTTTTTGAGACAGAGTCTCACTTTGTCACCCAGGCTGGAGTACAGTGGTGCGATCATAGCTCACTGCAGCCTTGAACTCCTGGACTCAAGCAGTCCTCCCACCTCAGCCTCCTGAATAGCTGAATACAGGCATGCGCTACCATACCTGGCTAATTATTATTATTGTTTTTGTAGAAATGGGGTCTTGCTCTATAGCCCAGGCTGGTCTTGAACTCCTGGGCTCAAGCCATCCTCCTGCCCTGGCCTCCCAAAGTGCTGGGATTATAGGCATGAGCCACGGTGCCCAGCCTTTGTCTTAGTTTTTGGTCCCCCTCACCCGACCCCAGAGTTCTAGAACCATTCCCTTGCAAAGAAAGGGACTGCTCACGGCTGGGGATGGAGAAGTGCTGTGGTAGGAGCCCTTTCTTCTCTTTCTTCCCCAGCTGGATCGCCAAACCTACCCTGCGGTCGTCGTCTTCCTGGCCCCATAGCTCCTCCTCACCAAGCATGTCTTCCCCACTGCAGAGAGCTGTGGGAGATACCAAGAGGGCCTTGTCTGCATCTTCTAGTTCCTCTGCCAGTCTACCCTTCGATGACAGGGACTCAAACCATCCCTCAGAGGGTAAGTAGATGTTGCATTGTGCGGCCACTTCCTGTGTCCGTGGCAGCCTTCCCCCTCTCGTTTTCCCACATTGATGATAATATTCGTGGGACTGTGTGAATACACCAGAAGTGCTGTACTCGTTCAGCACAGTGACACCCTCCCTCCAGCTCCAGGTGTTTTTTTTTTGGTGGTCCTAGATGTTGTAGACATCAAAATAGTAGTACATCCTGTTTTTTGTTTGTTTGTTTGTTTGTATGAGATGGAATCTTGCCCTGTCGCCCAGGCTGGAGTGCAGTGGTGTGATCTTGGCTCACTGCAACCTCCGCCTTCCGGGTTCAAGCACATCCTGTTTTTAATCCATCATCCATCGTGTCTAAACCTCTCTTAAACACATTTCTGTGTTCAGCATGTACAACCCCTGGTGGGGGCTGGGAGGTGGCAGATGGGTGAGTAAAGAGTTCTTTACTTGTTGCCTGGTAAATTGTATAAACTTTTTATCTGGTGTCCCCTAGTTCTTCTACTTGGGGATTTTGTAAACAGGTCTGTGTATCCTTATTTATTACCACATATGAGGTTATTTTGTGTAGGTTATAATAATATATCTTGGTTTTTTATCTTTCCAGAAGGAAAAAAGCTAATGTCATACAGATCTGCTTTATCCCCTGGCTGTTTTAATTGGCTTTCTCTGAATCATTTCTGTTTCTGTCAGTGCTGCTGTGGTGTACCCGATTATATCAATGTTACACACTTGAATTGATATGACATGTGGTTGATGTTTCATGGGTGAAATTTAACTCTAGGTCCATATTACTCTCCCATTTATGGATGAGTGATGGATGACTTCCTGGGCCATGATTGTTTTTCTCTACAAAGAGCAGTGATCTCTCTACCCGCTAAGTGAGTAGCATTTGATTCTCTTCTTCGGAGAGAATACTAGGAAGGGTTGTCCTTCCCGTGCCTCATTTCCTCATTCTTCGTCTCCACTGCTTTCATGTGAAAGTTTTCCTTTAAGACTTTGTCCTGGCCGGGTGTGGTGGCTTACGCCTGTAATCCCAACACTTTGGGAGGCCAAGGCAGGTGGATCACCTGAGGTCAGGAGTTTGAGACCAGCCTGGCCAACATGGTGAAACACCTGTAATCCCAGCTACTCGGGAGACTGAGGCAGGAGAATCACTTGAACCTGGGAGGTGGAGGTTGCAGTGAGCCGTGATCACACCATTGCACTCCAGCCTGGGTGACAGGAGTGAAACTCTGTCTCAAAAAAAAAAAAAAGACTTTGTCCCAACTTCCTACTAACAATAAGCTCATTTTTTCTTAAATTCTGAATATGTTTTTCTCATGGAGATGGGATGCAGTGAGAGACAGAGAAACTAATTCATTAGCCTTTTATATGGAGGGAATTAGGGTGGTTATATTTAAAGAGAACGGTACTTTCTCACAGGAATACTGACTCTTTATTAGCTGATGAAGGCAATGACTTTGAAGACAGCTTGAATCACAGTGTGAAGAAGAAAGCAGCAAAACGACCACCAAAAGCAACACCGGTGAGTCAGCCAGTTTTCTTTTGTTTTTGAATCTTGTGGGGGAAGCAGCCCAGCTACTTGGGAGGCTGAGGCAGGACAATAGCATGAACCCAGGGGGCAGAGCTGGCAGTGAGCCGAGATCACGCCACTGAACTCCAGCCTGGGTGATAGAGCGACACTCCGTCTCAAAAAAAAAAAAAAAAAAAAACCTAAAAGAGGTTCAGGTGATATGGTTCATAAAAGGACAAGATTTACAAAGTGTTAAGGGACGGAAATAGGAAGAAGAGAAATTTTGAAGAGAAAAGAAGAGAAAAGGACGTTAGGATATAGGGATACAGGAAGGGGACTCAAGGACTTTTTTTTTTTAAGGGAAAAAAGTTAATAAACTTCATAATATAAAAATCAATTATTTCAGGACTAACTCAGACTCTGCCATGGAAGTGGCAGCATAAGCCTACTTGTGTGATAATGATGAGACCAAGTGTTAATGTCATTGTTACCTTTTTTTCATATTTCTGATCTTTTTATACATATTAGATGGCAAACATCCAGAGAAAGGGTCCCGAGTGGTACATCGTCATAGCCGGAAACAGTCAGAGCCACCAGCCAATGATCTTTTCAATGCTGTGAAAGCTGCCAAAAGTGACATGCAGGTAAAGCAGTGTCTCACCTCTGTTGATACCATCTCACTTTTTGTAAGGTGGTAAGGACAAGTGTCTACAAACTTGATTTGATGTGAACGTTTTAGTGAATGTAACATATCAAGAAAGATAAGATTATGGAGTGAATCCTTGGAGTGATAGAAGGGTAACCTTGAATGAGAGAGCATGTTCCTTTTTTTTTTTTGAGACAGAGTCTCTTTCTGTCACCCAGGCTGGAGTGCAGTGGCACAGTCTCGGCTCACTGCAGCCTCTGCCTCCTGGTTTCAAGCGATTCTCATGCCTCAGCCTCCCAAGTAGCTGGGATTACAGACAAGCACCACCACGCCCAGCTAATTTTTGTATTTTTAGTAGAGATGGGTTTCGCTGGTCTCCAACTCCTGACCTCAGGTGATCTGCCCGCCTCGGCCTCCCAAAGGAGGCTGGGATTACAGGCGTGCACCACTGCACCCAGCTTTGAGAGAGTGTGTTCTTTTCTTAAAGGTATCACAGGAGTGATTATGCCTTTATTGATTGATGGAGCAGATGAGGAGAGGCATTACATGACATGGGAAGGAAGCTTGCATGTGGGTGGCACCTTGTTCACCCATGTTATTTTTTTAGCTCCATCTTGACAATTATACTTTTTCCCCTGTTTCTCTTTTTTATAATTTTATTGAAGTTCTAATATCCAAAAGTGTACAAAGCTTATATGTAGTTTAAAAAATAAAAATGAAATGATTACCCAGATCTCTAGCCCCAGCTCAAGAAGTGAAACATTAATAGTGCTGTAGAGATCCTTTGTGTACCTTCTTTCTACCCTACCTCACAGTCCCCTTATTACCCATAGGTAAACACTAGGGTGAACTTTGTGTTAATCTTTCTCATCTTTCATTATAGTGTTACCACTATGAATGTGTTCTTTAATTATGTAAATGAATCCATTATTCAGGCTTCTGTGATTTAATTATTTCAGTTAAGATTGTTTGAGATTTATCCACATTAACATGTAGTTTTATAGTTTCTGGGAAAATATTTAAAATTTTCAAACATACAGAATTTTGCTAGTTATATTTTCATTATTTGATTTCTAACTTTTTTGTGTTGTATTCAGGGAATGTGGTGTTTGAAATTTATGTAGGGGCTGGGCACAGTGGCTCACACCTTTGATCCCAGCACTTGGGGAGGCTGAGGCAGGCAGATCACTTGAGGCCAGGAGTTTGAGACCAGCCTGGCCAACATGCTGAAACCCTGTCTCTACTAAAAATAAAAAAATTAGCTGCATGTGGTGGCGTTTGTCTGTAATCCCAGCCACTTGGGAGGCTGAGGCGTGAGAATTGCTTGAATCCGGGAGGCAGAGGTTGCAATGAGCTGAGATTGTGCCACGGCACTCCAGCCTGGGTAACAGAGTGAGACTCTGTCTCAAAAAAAAAAAAAAAGAAAGAAATTTATGGAGACTTAGCCTTATGGCCTAGTATTGAGTTGGTACATTCATTTTATCTTTTCTGTTTCTTTTTCCCCCTTTGCTTGATTTCCTTTGGATTTCTTGTCTTCTACAAGGACCTGAGCACATTTTAATTCCAGTTGTCTTTATAGGTTTACTAGGTTTATTGTGAGCCACTCATTTCCCTGGAGTTCTTATGTGCTGGAATCTTTGGGCTAGGTCAAACGTGGTTTTTTTTTTTTTTGAGACGGAGTCTCGCTCTGTCGCCCAGACTGGAGTGCAGTGGTGCGATCTCTGCTCACTGCAAGTCCGCCCCCCAGGTTCATGCCATTCTCCTGCCTCAGCCTCCCAAGTAGCTAGGACTACAGGTGCCCGCCACCACACTCAGCTAATTTTTTTGTATTTTTAGTAGAGATGGGGTTTCACTGTGTTCACCAGGATGGTCTTGATCTCCTGACCTCGTGATCTGCCCGCCTCGGCCTCCCAAAGTGCTGGGATTACAGGTATGAGCCACCACGCCCGGCCATGTTAGGTTCTTTTTTTAACCACAATTTAAAATTAAATGAAGGGGGCTGGGTGCAGTGCTCACGCCTGTAATCCCAGCACTTTGGGAAGCTGAGGCAGGCAGCTCACAAGGCCAGGAGCCCAACAGAGTGAACTCCTGGCCAACAGACTGAATCCCCGTCTCTACTAAAAATACAAAAATAGGCCGGGCATGATGGTGCACACCTGTAATCCCAGCTACTCGGGCGGCTGAGGCACAAGAATCACTTGAACCTGGGAGGCAGAGGTTATCATGAGCCAAGATTGCGCCAGTGCGCTCCAGCCTCAGTGACAGAGTGAGACTCTGTCTCAATAAATAAATAGGCTGGGCACAGTGGCTCAGGCCTGTAATCCCAGCACTTTGAGAGGATGAGGCAGGCGGATCACAAGGTCAGGAGTTAGAGACGAGCCTGACCAATATGGTGAAACCCCATCTCTACTAAAAATATAAAAATTAGCCAGGCATGGTGGTGTGCACCTGTAATCCCGGCTGCTTTGGGAGGGTGAGGCAGGAGAATCCCTTGAACCTGAGAGGGGGAGGCTGCACTGAGCCGAGATCATGCCATTGCACTCCAGCCTGGGTGACCAGAGTGAGACTCCATCTCAAAAAGGAAGGAAGGAAGGAAGCGAGGGAGGGGAGGGGAGGAAGAAAGGGAGGGAAAATATATATTATCTGGGCCAGTAAAATGCAGATGAAGGAAAAGGACCATGATCCTTTGAATGGAAGATGGATCCACTGTAATCCAGGTATGGGAGAATACTGAACACTAATGTCAAAAGAAACAATGTGCTGATGATCTGCAAGGCATTTCACAGAAGACAAAGAACACAAACAATGGAGAGGAGACTAACACAATCAAATACTGGGAGGTGAGGAAGGTAGACAGAATTCATGATTTTGGAATGTGCACAGTTTATCATCAGACATTCTGAGAAAGAAGGAAGTGAACTATCTCACTGGTACTGCTATGTTGTCAAGTAAAATATTCAACTAGGTTAAAAGTGTCAGACATATCAATCTGGAGGCAAACTGCAAAAATACACAAGAAAAAAGGTCTTAGAAGTTGAGATTAGAAAAACTCTTTTAAGGGATACAAAGAAAACCAAAAAAGTAGAAAACGGGTTCTAGGGGGACACTCCTGAAAAGGCAAGAAAAGGAACCAACATTCCCTTATGAAATTCACACTTCCTGAATGTCTACTATGGACAGAGCATGATGCCAGTTATGGGGAAGGGGAAATGAACACACAGACGGGTCATAAATGAGCACTGGGGAAAGAGGGGAAAGCTGAGGGAGCGCTATATCATCACATCAACTGAGCATGGACTTGGGGAAATAAGGTAAACCACAAGCTGTGACTCAATTCGCAAGCATAGGTAGAGGACGAGGTTTTGGTATCTGAATGCCTAAAGAAGTAAATAAAATCGAGGGCAGAAAATAAGTCCAAGGTATTTTTAAAGCAAGGAAGGAAAGAAAATGGAAGATTAAAAGAATGAACCTAAAAGTCTCAAGTTAATTTTTATGTCAGACTTCTGAATGCCCCAAAACAAAACAATTCTGTAAGGCCGAAAGCAGTGGCTCAGGACTGTAATCTCAGCACTTTGGAAGGCTGAGGTGGGCAGATCACTTGAGGCCAGAAGTTCAAGACCAGCATGGCCAACATGGTGAAACCCAGTCTCTATTAAAAATACAAAAATTAGCCAGGCGTGGTGACATGTGCCTGTAATCCCAGCTACTCAGGAGGCTGAGGAAGGAGAATCGCTTGAACCTGAGAGATAGTGGTTGCAGTGAGCGAGAACATACCAGTGCACACCAGCCTGGGTGATAGAACAAGACTCTGTCTCCAAAAAACAAACAAACAAACAAACAAACAAAAAACTCACAACAATTCTCTAATGGCGAGGGAGTAAATAAGTGAGCGATAATGCTGGAGAAAGAGGAAGTGACTGGGTCCCCAGTACAGGTTAGAATGAAAAAATCCCTACCAATGTAAATCAAATGTAAAATCAACAAAAGAGTTCATGTATGTGGTATGTGTGTGGGAAGGAAAGTGATATTTGGGGGTTGGGAGGTGTTACTGAGGGTACCGAGTACATATAAACAACTCTTTAGTCACTCCCAAAGGTCGGGGATGAGTGTTTTTTAACATGTGATAATCTACTAACTTACCTGGACTATGTTGACATGGAAATTCACCTTCCATTATCCACGGCTCCTCTCCCTGCTCCACTTCCTTCACCTCCACTCCATGATGATGTTTGGCTTGGTGATAATCATACCCTGTTAATGGGAAAAGAAGAAGGACTTGGGCAAGCTGCTTGGCTTCAGAATCTCCAAAGTACAAGATGTTGCCACCTCATAAGCTGCATAACAGAAGTGCTCCATTTTTTACCTTATCAAAGTTAGAACCTTTCAATGAAGAATAATATAAACGCTCCAGCTAGTGCCCACAAGGAATTAAATGGTGTCATCACTTATTTCTTCAAACTCAAGGATAAAACCCCATTCAACTGAGAGCATTCAGAAAGCAAGCTATCCTCACCCACAGAAACTAGATGGCTGTAGTTCTCCAACATCACATCCCCGTATGCTATCTTCTCATCAGGGTCCAGTTGCTGCCACTCCTCCTGGGTGAAATCCACAGCCACATCTTTGAATGACACTGGCCCCTGTAATGGCAACATGATCAGAATTGGGAGATATGGAAAAGGGATAGGGGGATATCATTTTACAAAGCTCACTCGTAAAGTTAACCATGAACATTGTATACCTTATTTTATGTTACAGATTATGGAAGGGAAATCATATTGGAAATCATACAGGAAACATATATCCTTTGGGGATATATATATATAAAATATATATTACCCCACAAAAATAAAAACCCAAAACACAACTGAGCTCCTATTTTGCAACTGAACTGAGTTTTGGGGACATGAGATGAGTGAAACACCATGCCTGCTCTGAGAAAGCAGACAACCTAATAAGGAGATAAACATGTAAACAAACACAAGCATTTTACTCCTTGTCACTTCTTTGCTGCCAGGCCCTCCCCTTCTCCTGGACCTCTTCATGTTGGAGTGCCCACCACTCAGTTCCTGGTCTTCTTCTTCCTAACTCACTGCTCTGGGGCTCTCACCTAGTTTCAGCTCCTTGTTCTTTTGTCTTTTTTATTCTCATAGCCAGTGGCCTCTGGCTATCTGCATGGCTGAGTTTTATCTCAAACATCTCAATCTCACAGCAATAAATATTCATTAAATGAATGAATGCCCAAAGCTGTTATTAGAGTAATGCAGACAAGGTGCAGAATGATTTAACAAAAGAGGATCAAATTATTTTAACTTTATGCCATCAGTTAGGCTTCACAGACTCAGTTAACTTGAAGTCCTTAAAGATGAATTGTGTATTCTATGGGATGAAGGGGAAGAAGAATATGATGAGGTGTAAAAAGTACCAATGGCAAACATGAAGCAGCTTCAATTTTTAAGAGGTTGGGGCTGGGCATGGTGGCTCATGCCTATAGTCCTAGCACTTTGGGAGGCCGAGATGGGAGGATCATTTGAGCTCAGGAGTTCGAGGCCACGTTGGGCAACATAGTAAGAACCTCATCTCTACTAAAAATAAAATTTTTTTTAAAAATTGGCTGGGCATCATGGCACATGCCTGTAGTTCCAGCTACCTGGGAGGCTAAGGCAGGAGGATGGCTTGAGCCTGGGAGGTCAAGGCTGCAGTGAGCTGTAAATGCGACACTGCACTCCATCCTAGGCAACAGAGCGAGACCTTGTCTCAAGAAAAAAAAAAGAAAAATGCAAAACTCCTGGGCTCCAGCAATCCACCTGCCTTGGCCTCCCAAAGTGTTGGGATTACAGTCTTGGGCCAGCATACCCTGCCCAAACTTGTAGTTTAGAAAAAGGAAGTGCCCAGTAAGCATGTTGCATTATCCTGTTATTTATAAAGAAGATATCAACAAGGGGTTCAAACCCAGTGATATAGCTAGGACAATGTAGATCCCAAGAGATAGCAGAGGCAGAGCCGCTAGGCTGGTGGGCTGAGAAACTAAAGCAGAACATCCAAGCTTATCCACAGGCAGGCCACAGGAGCTGATAAAATCACCGAGAGAGAGTAATAACCTTCTAGGTTAAGTTAGTCCAGAAGGCAAGGAGGTGGAGGGGTTAGAAGATGGATCAGCCAATAAATAACATAAAATTACATGCCAATACAATACCACTTATATCAATACAAATACCCAAAATGAAACATAACCAAACAAAATCCAGTACCAGATTAAAAACATAATATACAACAGACAAATAGGACTTATTCCAATAATATAGACTAGTTTAATATTTGGAAACCTATTAATATGATAGGCCACTATAACACAGCAAAGAAGAAAAATCTTGTATCCATGAAGATACTTGAAAAAGCTTGACAGAAAAACCTGATTTAAAAAAACAAACTAAAGAAAACAGAAACTGATGGATGCTTCATTAACATCAATATTATGTATATATACAAATATAAATATTACACCCTAATATGCAGTAGTACGTATGATATATATGTGACATATGTATTTCAATTACACACAAGCACATATATAGTTTGTGTATATACACACACACGCACATGCACGTGCACACACACACGCACACACATAAACTCTTATGCCTCAGTCTTCTTGGTCCAAAAGTCAGGATTTTACTTAACAGGGAAAAACTACATACCTTCCCATTAAGATCAAGAACAAGGTATTAATAAAATGCTCATTATCTACAACTAGAGAAGAGAAAACAATTAGAGGAATATAACTAAGGAAAAGTAAAAGTGCTCGGGCGGCCAGGCGCGGTGGCTCACGCCTGTAATCCCAGCACTTTGGGAGGCCAAGGCGGGCGGATCACGAGGTCAGGAGATCGAGACCATCCTGGCTAACACGGTGAAACCCCGTCTCTACTAAAAATACAAAAAATTAGCCGGGCATGGCGGCGGGTGCCTGTAGTCCCAGCTACTCGGGAAGCTGAGGCAGGAGAATGAAGGGAACCCAGGAGGCGGAGTTTGCAGTGAGCCGAGATTGTGCCAGTGCACTCCAGCCTGGGCGACGAGTGAGACTCCATCTCAAAAAAAAAAAAAAAAAAGTGCTCGGGCACGGTGGCTCACGCCTGTAATCCCAACACTTTGGGAGGCTGAGGCGGGCAGATCACCTGAGGTCAGGAGTTTAAGACCAGCCTGGTCAACATGGTGAAACCCCATCTCTACTAAAAATCAAAAAAAAAAAAAAAATTAGTTGTATTATTAAGGTCAACGTAATAATACAAAGATATCAGTTACCCTAAATTACTTTATAAATATGCAATCCCAATAAAAATACCAAAAAGCTTTTTCCTGGAACTAGATAAGCCGACACTACAGTTCATATGAGGTGGAAGAAAATCAAAAACAGCTCAGGGAAAAAAACCATTTGGACATGGATAAAACTGGATCCAGGCCAGGTGTGGTGGCTCATGCCTGTAATCCCAGCACTCTGGAAAGCTGAGGCAGAAGGACTGCTTGAGGCCAGGAGCTTGAGACCAGCCTTGGCAACAGAGCAAGACCCTGTCTCTACAAAGAAAAAAATATATATATTAGAAAAAATAGAGAGAGAGAGACATGAGGACTTCTGCCCTCAGGTGTGATAAACTAACAGGTACTGCATATACCCTCCAACCTGAAACAGCACACACCAAAGAACAACAACAAAATCAAAAACAGAAAGAAAAATAAAATGGAGAACATATATGAAGCAATGGTTTGTTTGTTTTTGTTTTTGTTTTTTTTGAGACAAAGTCTCGCTCTTGTCTTCCAGGCTGGAGTGCAATGGCACAATCTTGGCTCACTGCAACCTCCGTCTCCCGAGTTCCAGCGATTCTCCTGCCTCAGCCTCCCAAGTAGCTGGGATTACAAGCATGCATCAGCATGCCTGGCTAATTTTTGTATTTTTAGTAGAGACGGGGTTTCACCATGTTGGTCAGGCTGGTCTTGAACTCCTGACCTCATGATCCGCCTGCCTTGGCCTCCCAAAGTGCTGTGATTACAGGTATGAGCCACCACGCCTGGGCTGAAGCAATGGTTTTCAAGGCACTGATTATCAGGCAGTAGAGTTATCTATGAGTGATGGGAAATAAGGTGAACCAATCAACTTCTGCCTTGAGCGTTTCCAGGCCATGGAGCAGGGAAGAAGAACCGAGGCAGATGTGAGGAGAAAGAGTTGTGGGATGGGAAAATGGGCAGGAAATTACAACCCATAAGGAAGAAAAGAATCAGTCCATCAAAACTGGCCCAGAATTGACACAGAGTTCACAACCGGCACAGAGCACTGAGAGAGTTCATCGTTCTATTCCAAATGTTCAAAAAAATCAAGACAGGCAAGATGTAAAAAAGACCCACGCTAACGTTCTACAGATAGTACAATATCTGAGATGAAAATTATACTGGAAAAGATGAACAGCATCGTGGAAAAAAGAGATTAGTGAATATAAAGACAGCAACAGAAGTTACATAAAATGAAACAGAGAAAAAAGAATTAAAAGCAAATAAAGAGCAACAGTGTGTTGTGGGAAAATTTCAAGTGGCCTAATATACAGGCAACAAGAATCAATGGAGGGGAGGTGGCGGGTACTTGAAGAGATAATGATAAAAATGTTCCCCAAGTGATGACACCATAAACCCAAGATCCAAGAAGTTCAATGATCCCCAAAACAGAAACATGAAAAAAATGATACCATGACATATTGCAATCAAATTGTCCAAAACTAGTGATAAAAAGTTTAAAACAATAAGGGGGGAAGAAAAAAAGACATGTTATATATAGGGGAACAAACATGAGTATGAGATCAGATTTCTCTTAGAAAAAAATGTAGGCAGGAAGACAACAGAGAAACATATTTAAAGCACTGTGGAGAAAAATCCAGCAAAAACACCTTTAAAAGCAAAGACACAATGAAGACATTTGCAGACATATAATAATTCATCATCAACTAGAAGAAATGTTAAAGTCCTTCAGGCAGAAGTAAAATGACAGCAAATAAAAATTTAGATTTACACAAAGGAATGAAGAGTACCAGAAATGGTAACTGTGTATTTTCTCTCATTACTTAAATCTCTTTAAAAGATACCTGGGCCAAGTGTGGTGGCTCACACTTGTAATCCCAGCACTTTGGCCGGCTGAGGCAGATGGGTGACCTGAGGTCAGGAGTTCGAGACCAGCCTGGCCAACATGGCGAAACCTCGTCTCTACTAAAAATACAAAAATTAGCCGGGCGTGATGGTGGGTGTCTGTAATCCCAGCTACCCAGGAGGCTGAGGCAGGAGAATCACTTGAACCTGGGAGGCAGAGGTTGCAGTGGGCCAAGATAGCACCCCTGCACTCCAGCCTGGGGGACAGAGTGAGACTCTGTCTCAAAATAAATAAATAAATAAATAAATAAATAAATACTGTTTAATTAACAACAACGTAATAGATAGTGTGTGGCACTGATACCACCTGTAAAAATAAAATGAACAACGGTGTAAAGACCAAGAGGAGAGAAATGGAAGTGTCCTATTACAAGCTTCTCTTATTCTAAGAAAAATGGATATTACTTAAGAATAAACTATGACAATGAAAGTTGCATACTATAAATTCTAACTCACTAAAATAACAAAACAGTGTCATAGCTAAAAACCCAACAAAAGATATAAAGTAGAATCATAAAAAATTCTCAACTAATCAAAAGGAAGGAAGACAGAGACATTTTAAAAAGAAACAAAGAAGATGAGACTAAAAGAAAGCAAAGACAACAGACTATAACCTAACTCATTTTATCAATAATCACATTACATGTAAACAGTCTATACATCCCCAATTATGAGACAGAAATAGACTGATGAAAACAAGCAAGATCCAAATTTTGCTGCCTATAAGAAATAATACTTTAGATATAAAGATGCAAATAGGTTAAAAATAAAAGGATGGAATAAGATATACCATGCATGTATTACTCAAAAGAATGCTACATAAATAACAAAGTACATTTCACAGCCTGGAATATTAGCAGGGATAAGGAAGGCCATTTTACAAAGTGGTTAATTAATCAACAGGATGTAATAACCTTGAACATTTATGTATCTAACATAACACATAAAGCAAAAAGTGGTAAAATTGCAAAGAGAAACAGAACCACAACTGCAGCAGATTTCAATCCCCTCTCCCCCACAACTGACACAAGTGGGCACACAATCAACAAGGATATAGTACACCTGAACAACACAACCAACCAACTTGATCTCATTAACATTTATCAAACACTCCACCCAACCAGAGCAGAACAAGCCATCTTCTCAGGCATGCACAGAATTTTCCCAAGACAGATCCTGTTCTGAGCCATAAATTTAAGAGGTTCCATGTAGCATTCCAGACAAAAATTCACAGACTAAATCTAATCATGAAGAAAGATCAGGGAAACCTAAATTTAAAGACTTCTATAAAATCATTGGCCTGTATTCTGCAAATGTTATAATGGCACTGCGGAACAAATCCGTATTAAACAGACTTAAAAAGCATGAAAACTAAAGGCAATTAACAGTCCTAGACTGAATCTTCTACCAAAAATTAAAAATTGCTATAAAGGAAATTATTGGGAAATTGGCAAAACTGGAAAATGAAATATAGTTTAGATAAAAGTATTAAATCAATGATAAATTTCCTGAATTCAATTACTGTGCTATGGATATTTAATAGAATATTCTTGATTTTATGAGCTCTAATCTAAAATTTATAGGGTAAAGAAGCTGACACTTATACCACTCTCAAATAGTTCAGAAAATATATATATATATAAATATATATATACACATACATATATAGGCATATAAATGATTAATGTGGGAAAATGTTAAGAATGAAGTATCTGAACAAAAGGAAGTATCTGGGATTTCTTTGTAAAATCCTTGCAATTTTTCTGAAAATCTGAAATGATTTCAAAATAAAATGCTAAATAGAAAATAATGCTACCAAATATATGTATATATTTGCTATCAAATATATATGTATATATTTGCTATCTTCTATATATTATATGTATATATTTGCTATCTACTATATATTATCTGCTTTTTGTTGCTATCTAATATCTATTATATGTGCATTTTTGCAATCATTTATTTTTTATATGTGCTCTTTTGCTATCATATTTTGCAAATATATCTCAAAAGGACTCAGAAACCAACTTAAAGGGATTCCGTCTGGCCAAAGATGGAACCACTTTAGCATTTTATTTTGAAATCATATAAATTTATATATATTTGCTATCAAATATATACATATATTTGCTATCAAATATATATGTATATATTTGCTATCAAATATATATTATATGTATATATTTGCTATCAAATATATATTATATGCATATATTTGCTATCAAATATATATTATATGTATATATTTGCTATCAAATATATATTATATGTATACATTTGCTATCATATATATCAAATATATCTCAAAAGGACTCAGAAACCAACTTAAAGGGATTCCGTCTGGCCAAAGATGGAACCACTTAATTTTCAAAAAGAATCACAACTTCTATGTACTGAAATATTTACTATCTGTTTAAACCCATGAGCTCATGATGGTTAACAAAACAAAATACCCTCCTGCTTAAAAGCCTACTCAATATTTTAGAAACTGTCTTTCCTGCATGAATTACATAAACAAACAGAGAATAGAAATTTATCTTTAGAAAAGTATTCTAGGCCAGCCGTGGTGGCTCATGCCTATAATCCCAACACTGGGAGGTCAAAGAAGAGGATCACTTGAGCCCAGTTCCAGACCAGCCTGGGCAACATAGAGAAACCTGTCTCTACTAAAAATTTAAAAATCCGCTGGGCATTGTGGCATATGACTATACTCCCAGCTACTTGGGAGGCTGAAGTGGGAGGATCACTTGAGCACAGGAGTTTGAGGCTGCAGTGAGCCATAAACGTGCCAGCCTGGGTGACAGAGTGAGACTCTGTCTCCAAAAAAAGAAAAGAAAGGTATTTTGGCTAGTAAATAAAGAAGAAATGGTAGAATTAGCAGATCACCATTTTGCCTCCCCTAATGAAGGCAAATCACAGCAATAGTAAATCACAGCAATAATCAACAGTCAATAGTTCTTAACTTCACAAAAACAAAGAAGGTAACACGTGCCTCCAGAAGTAGACAAATGCCACATATGGTATAGTTGTGTGAAAAGAACTGAACATAAACCTGATTAGACTTCCAGATCAAACTACCAATTTTACCAAGGCATAAAAGATATTTTTTAAAAATGTGCTAAAGGTGAAACAAGGGTAACACAATCCAAACTGAAGATAACCAACCCAGTTTCTTCAAAACAATAAGCACACAGGAGACATACTATGGGAACTATTAAAAGATTTAACCCAACTGCCACATGTATTAAGAAAGAGAGTATTATGGGTTATTCCTAGCCCCTTTTAAAAAGATTCCTTATTGGCCAGGTGTGGTGGCTTACACCTGTAATCCTACCACTTTGGGAGGCCAAAGTGAAAGGACTGCTTGAGGCCAGGAGTTTGAGACCAGCCTGAGCAATACAGTGAGAGTACATTTCTAGGCCGGGAGCAGTGGCGCATGCCTGTAATCCTAACACTTTGGGACGCCGAGGCGGGCAGACTGCCTGAGCTCAGGAGTTCGACATGCATGACACGGTGAAAGCCAGTCTCTACTAAAATACAAAAAAACTAGCGAGGTGTGGCAGCGTGCACCTGTAGTCCCAGCTACGCGGGAGGCTGAGGCAAGAGGATCGTGTGGGCCCGGGAGATTGAGGTTGCAGTGAGTTGTGATCATGTCTCTACACTCCAGCCTGGGCGACAGAGCAAGACCCTATCTCAAAAAAAGAAAAAAAGAAACAAAACAAAACAGACTTCACCATTTAAAGACAAACAAATACTTACAGATGAATCTTTTCAAAAGCCAAGAAAAGAGAGACTCCATGGAGAAAATATCAGTTTGGAAGTAACGGATGTCAAAGGCAGACAAAGGGTCCTGTGAGGAAGGGGCTAGGAAATGCCCGCTGGATTTGACTGCAATTAAATCACTGGTCACCTTTACTGACTGACTTAGCAAAGTGAAAAGGACAAAACGAAAACACTGAGAAGTGAAATGAGAAACAGAAATGAGGAAATCTTCACAAGAGAGTACTGTTTGTATTGTTTGCTGTGCAACCCGAACAAAAAGACGAACAAATATTTGACGGATGATCACGTCATTCATTCCCCCCATGATCTAGGACTCAACAGTAAAAACAGAATTGTTTACTTGGATCACGATATTTCCGTCCCTGGAAAAATTATGCACCAAGTTCTCCTTGGGCAGCAGGCCCTCTGCTTACATAAGCACCGAGAATAAGCCATAAGTTACAGTAATTTAATGGTTGTTGTTAGGAAAGCTATCCACAATTATATCAACTTGAATGAAGAAATTTTTCCAAGTCCTAGAAAATCTTTTAAATGCACAAGTAACAAAACTGGTTTCTCCTTATAATCAATGCAAACGATGTCATGGATGGTGATATGGTTTCGGTGTGTGTCGCCTCCCAAATCTCATGTTCAATTGTAATCCCCAATGTTCCCTCTTCCTCCTGCTCTGGTGATGGAAGATGCACCCGCTTTCCCTTCACCTTTCACCTGACTGTAAGTTTCCTGAGGCCTCCTCAGCCATGCTTCCTATGATAGAGCCTGCAGACGTGAGCCAATTAAACCTTTTTTCTTTATAAATTACCCAGTCTTGGTTATTTCTCTATAGCAGTGTGAGAATGGACTAATACAGATGGCATTTTCCTTTTGTGATGACTGCCAAGAATATCAGTCCTAGGTGCGGCTCAATTTCAACAGCCTTAAAATATACTACCCATACATACAAGCTTCACAAATCATTTTTGGTGCTGATCTGCCACACTAACTATATTTTACAGGATAATGTCTATTTCCACATTCCCATTTTAAAGTATGAATCCTGGCTGGGCTCGGTGGCTCATGCCTGTAATCCCAGCACTTTGGGAGGCTGAGGCGGGAGGATCACCTGAGGTCAGGAGTTTGAGACCAGCCTGGCCAACATAGTGAAACCCCATCTCTTCTAAAAATACAAAAAATTAGCTGGGCATGGTGGCGCACGCCTGTAATCCCTGCTACTCAGGAGGCTGAGGCAGGAGAATCACTTGAACCCAGGAGGTGGAGGTTGCAGTGAAGCGAGATCATGCCACTGCACTGCAGCCTGGGCAACAGAGCAAGACTCCATCTCAAAAAAAAGAAAAAAAAAAGTATGAATCCTTACAAACCTCTTAAAATGCATCATAAAATAAAGTTGAGGAACATATACACAAGCAGGAAAACTCACCTGCAATGTGTTCATTTTCTGCTGCTCTTGGAAACTTGCAGAGACTGTGGCTGATAGACCTAGAGGGGCAGAAGCAGGTCACTGAAGTCATGAGGGCTCCGGCCTGCAAAGGCAGAAATCACCTGCATAAGAACCACAAAAGAAAGCTCAATAGGCTAACACCCTGTGAACACTCAACCTGCAAACACTCAGAAGGGTCTAAAAGAGTGACACAGGGTTTCGCCATGTTGGCCAGGCTGGTCTCAAATTCTGGCCTCAAGTGATCCACCTGCCTGGGCCAACATGGCAAAACCCCGTCTCTACTTAAAAATAACAAAAAAAATTAGCCAGGCATAGTGTCACATGCCTGTAGTCCCAGCTACTCAGGAGGCTGAGGCACGAGAATCCTTTGAACCTGGGAGGTGGAAGTTGCAGTGAGCCGAGACCACGCTGTTGCATTCCAGACTGGGTGAGACACACTGTCTCAAAAAAAAAAAAAAAAAAAAAGAGTGATAGGGAAGCATGCGCCTGTAACTCTAAGATAATCAGGTAGTAATTAGATGAGTTAGACTCTCATGGGTAACACGACTCCTTTTACAAATAGTCTGCCATCATCATCAAATACAAGGTGCAAAAAGAAAAAAAATTCCCATTATACGGCTCATGTTTTTTGTGGTTTGTTTGTTGAGACAGGGTCTCAATCTGCCACCCAGGCTGGAGTGCAGTGGTGCATTCACGGCTCTCTGCAGCCTCGACCTCCTGGGCTCCATCCATCCTCCCACTTCAGCCTCCTGAGTAGCTGGGACCACAGATGCATCCCAGCATGCCTGGCGACTTTTGTATTTTTTGTAGTCAGGGTCTCCCCATGTTGTCTAGGCTGGTCTCTAACTCCTGGTCTCAAGGGATACTCTTGCCCTAGCCCCGCAAAGTGCTCGGATTACAGGTGTGAGCCACTGCATCCCGCCCGCATTTTCTTATTGTCTCTCTAAACTGCTTAAAATAAAATAAGCCATAGGAATTGAGTATGTGAGCTCTCAGAAATGAAATGAATGTGTATAAAATATGGTTTTGTTTCTAAATTATCTAACTGAACTTGGTTATTGCTGCACCTAATAATCTTCTATTAAGAAAACTAGGATACGGGAGAAAGAACACTGGCCTGGGAGATAAGTCTCCTGGGTTCTACTATGAGCAGCTCTACCCACAAAGCCGGTGACCTGGTCAAGTCACCCACCTGCTAAGGCCCAGTCTCTTCCCCTAGCAACTGAGGCAGCAGGAGAGAATCCCTGCAGACTGTTCCTGCATTACTACGATTCTCCCAGGGCAGATCTAAGGGGGGGATCAGCAGACACTTAAGTGAGAGAATAGAAGTGCTGACGGACGTTTAAAGGCGGTCCAAATCTGGAGCACGGAGAGGAGGAGGAAGGACTGTTAGGGGTTAGCGGGGAGTGGAGACGACGTCCGCAGCTGAGGGTGGTGACACCCTCCACGCCTCCGTAAGCCTCGTCCTCCCAGATCTTCCCATGCAGCGCCTGTTCGGTGCAGCCAGACCCTGCCCTCAAACCCAACACATGTCTCTCCGGCAAGCAATCGGGACCCTCCCTCTGCCCCACACTCTAAGGTCCCCAACACACGGTGACTTCACCCAGGCCCTTCTCGCTCCGGGCCCAAAAACCCAAGACTTACCCTCCTGGGGCTCCGCAGCCTCTGCCCCACGGCTCCCGAGAGGCCGGGGCGGGCTGCTGTCGCTGGCGCGCGCGTCTGCTCGCGAGGTCACCTCCTGTCCACCTCACCAAAGCTGTTCTGCTCCCGAGGGGCCCGGGCCGGGCCTACGGGGCAAATCCAGGCGGGGGTCCTTCTCGGGGCCCAGATCCGCCTCCCTGGGGCTCACCGTACAGCGACGGCCGGCGCCAGGCCGCCGAGGACACACACGGGCCAGGCCCAGGTCCCGTCGCCCCTTCGCCTCCGCCACCACCTCCCGCCCGGCCCCTCTGGCCCCAGCGCCGCCGGCTCCGGGGTTCACGCTCGGGGGTCCCGGCTCGAGCCTCTACCCGGCCCGCGTGAACCCTGGGCCGCACAGCTCCCGCCCGCCTAGGTGCTGGCCCGGGCAGTCAGCGTCCAGCCCCGCAGACTCGGTGATTCTCGTCCACTAGAGGCCAAAGCCTGGGAACGAGAGCAAGCGATGACCTGAAGAGGCGCAGGAAGCCAGGGCAGTGCGGAGGTGGCGCGCATGTGCAAGCACGCACGCGCGAACACGCACGCAGGGAGAGGTGCACACGCGCAGGAGTGCACCGGAAGTCCGCCTCCCGGGACACCCACCACCGGTCCCAGGACAAGTAACGGACTCTATTTCCCATGAGCCTATGCGCTCCCCAAGTTTAGGGGCCGTCTTAAATGTCTCTACCCTGCCTAAAGGTTAAGAAGCTCCAGCCTATGAGCTTTACGCGCCCTCCAAGTTTAGGGGCCATTTTAAATGTCTCTACCCCGCCTAAAGGTGAAGAAGCTCCAGGCTATGAGCTTTGGCAACCCTGAACCCCGGACTGAACTTCACCTTTGTCTTTACTCCCTTTTAGGGTCAAGTCCAGGGCTGCGTTACTGGGTCCTGGAGCCCAAGTCCTCTGGGTTAGAACCAAGTTTCCCATAAGGAGAAGGAAAGGAAAGGGTGTATCATGGTCACTGCTCTGAAATGCTGAGAAGTTTCACTCAAATACTGGGACAGGATAAATGCCCAGCGATGCTTTCCAAGGAACAAAAAGAAAATAGAATTTGTAGCTGGGCGCGGTGGCTCAAGCCTGTAATCCCAGCACTTTGGGAGGCCGAGGCGGGCAGATCGCAAGGTCAAGAGATAGAGATCATCCTGGCCAACATGATGAAACCCTGTCTCTACTAAAAATACAAAAATTAGCTGGGCGTGGTGGCGCGTGCCTGTAATCCCAGCTACTCGGGAGGCTGAGGCAGGAGAATCACTTGAACTTGGGAGGTGGAGGTTGCAGTGAGCCGAGATCACGCCACTGCACTCCATCCTGGCGACAAAGCGAGACTCCATAGCTTTTCTAGATCACACAGTGAATGCCTAAAAACTGTAGAGAAATAAGGACATACACACACAAATTGAATGAAGAAGAGATACCTGTGATCTTACCTTCCCCAGGAGGATTATGTTTAGGGTTAGGTTATGTTGACCAAAAAGAGTCAAAGTCTGTAAAGAGTTTTATTCTGGGCCTCCTATTTGAGTGACCATGGCTGGTGACACAACCTCAGGGGGTCCTGAAAACGTGAGCCCAAAGTGGTTGGGTTACAGCTTGGTTTTATGCATCTTAGGGAGACAGTAGTTACAGGCAAAGACATAAATCAATACATGGGAAGTATATGTTGGGTCAGCCAGGAAAGGCTTTCAGGTCACTAGTAGATTGAAAGATTGGCAGTTGGTTCAGAGTTAAGTGTTGGCTGAACAGCTGGAAGACTACATAAAGAAATGGGCCATTGCAGTGGCTCATGCCTGTAATCCCAGCATTTTGGGAGGGTGAGCTGGGAGGATCCCTTGAGGCCAGGAGTTCAAGGACAGCCTGCGCAACACAGCGAGACCCCCTACTTCTACAAAAAAAATAATTATACAGGTGTGGTGGTGCATGCCTGTAGACTCAGCTACTCAGGAGGCTGAGATGGGAGGATCGCTTGAGCCTGGGAAGTTGAGGCTACAGTGAGCCATGATGGCACCACTGCATTCCAGCTTGGGCAACAGAGAAGAAAAGAGAGAGAGAGAGAGAGAGAAAGAGAGAGAGGAAGGAAGGAAGGAAAAGAAAGAGGGAGGGAAAAAAAGAAAGAAAAGTTTGAGTTAAGATAAGGGGGATTGTGGAAACCAAGGTTCTTGTTATGTAGGTGAAGCCTCAGAACAGGCTTCAGAGAGAATAGATGATAAATATCTCTTATTGGATCTTAAAAGGTGTCAGACTCTCCAGAAAAGACCTGGAGTCTTTTCTGTAAGGGAAAGAGATTCTCTACAGAATGCAAATTTCCCCCAAAGAGATGGCTTTGCAGGACTATTTTAAAGTTTGTCAAAGAAAATATGTTACGGGGTAAAATACTGTGATTTACTTCAGGGACTGCTATCTGTCATGTGATGCTATATCAGAGTCTGGTTGGAGATGGGTATCTTACTGATAAAAAGAGCCTGTTTTGTCAGTCCTATGATCTCTATTCTAATAGAGATCATAATGTTGGTCAGCTGTGCCTAAACTCTGACGGGAGGAGAATTATGACAAGGCATGTCCAACCCCCTCCTTCCCATCATGACCTAAATTAGTTTTCCATGTTTATTTTGGATCCTGTTGGCCAACAGGGGAGTCCACTGAGTCAGTTGTGGGGGCTTAGAATTTTATTTTTGGTTTACAATTAAAATGTCAATTTTCAAAAATGGGATCATAAAGACAATGATTCATCACAATTTTTTGGTGAAATCTAACAGTGTTCTTGCCCAGTTGTTTCATAAAAACTGGTAAGGAAAAGACTAAAAATAAATACTTCTGAGGCCAGGTGCAGTGGCTCACGCCTGTAATCCCAGCACTTTGGGAGGCCGAGGTCAGCAGATGATGAGGTCAGGAAATCAAGACCATCCTGGCCAACATGGTGAAACCCCGTCTCTACTAAAACACAAAAAATTAGCTGGGTGTGGTGGTGTGTGCCTGTAGTCCCAGATACTTGGGAGGCTGAGGCAGGGGAATCACTTGAACCTGGGAGGCGGAGATTGCAGTGAGCCGAGATCAGGCCACTGCACTCCAGCCTGGGAGACAGAGCAAGATTCCATCTCAAAATAAATAAGTAAATAAATAGATTATTCTGTTAACCTAGAATATTCTCTCCACAAATTCAGAAAATAAAGAAAACAATTTTATTACTGAATAAGCATTAAACCAGACTGTGATGCCCATCACAGGTGATCCATTAATGAGATGCAAAGAGAAATAAACCCTCCTTTTTTTTTTTTTTTTTTTTTTGAGACAAAATCTTGCTCTGTCGCCCAGGCTGGAGTGCAGTGGTGCCATCTCGGCTCACTGCAACCTCTGCCTCCCCAGTTTAAGCGATTCTCCTGCCTCAGCCTCCCAAGTAACTGAGACTACAGGCGCGTGCCACCACACCTGGCTAATTTTTTTGTATTTTTAGTAGAGATGGGGTTTCGTTATGTTAGCTAGGATGGTCTCGAAATCCTGACCTCGTAATTCGCCCGCCTAGGCCTCCCAAAGTGCTGGGATTATAGGCGTGAGCTATGGCGCCCGGCCAAAGCGTCCTTTTTATATAGCCTGGCAGATACAATCCATTGCATACATGCTCTCAAGATAAATAGTAACTCATCCTCATGCAAAAGGACTTGCTATGCAGTTTTTTTTGTTTTGTTTTTTTTGAGACAGGGTCTCATTCTGTCATCCAGGCTGGAGTGTAGTGGTGTGATCTTCTTGGCTCACTGTAACCTCCACCTCCTGGGTTCAAGTGATTCTCGTGCCTAAGCCTCCCAAGTAGCTGGAATTACAGACATGTGCCATCATGCCCAGCTAATATTTGTATTTTAGTAGAGACAGAGTTTCGCCATACTGGCCAGGCTGGACTCAAACTCCTTCTTTCGATTTCTGTGTGGCTTCAAGTGATCCACCCGTCTCGGCCTCCCCCAGAGTGCTGGGATTACAGGTGTGAGCCACCGCGCCTGGCCTGCTATGCATTCTTAAACACTCATCCTAAATTCACCTGGAAATCAACGTGGCCATCCATGCTAGTTAATTACCTGTATCCAATGAAAAAATAAAACTTCTCACATCTCCTTGACAAGCAGGTAGTAACAGCTCAAGGTGCCTAGGCTAAACTCCCTAGGCAACAGGAAGATAGGGACACTATTTTCCTCCAGGTTTACATTTCAAAGACAAGACTCTTAGGCTCTTAAGAAAAAAATTCCTGGATTGTGACCAGGCACGGTGGCTCACGCCCATAATCCCAGCACATTGGGAGGCCGAGGCTGGTGGATCACCTGAGGTCAGGAGTTCAAGACCAGCCAGACCAACAAGGTGAAACCCTGTCTGTACTAAAAATACAAAAATTAGCCAGGCGTGGTGGCAGATGCCTGTAGTCTCAGCTACTCAGGAGGTTGAGATGGGAGAATTGCTTGAACCCAGGAAGTGGAGGTTGCAGTGAGCCGAGATTATACCCCTGCACTCCAGCCTGGGTGACAGCGAGATTCTGTCTCAAAAAAAAAAAAAAAAAATTCCTGGGTTGTAAGGTTGGCAAGAAGTTCATTTACCTTTTTAAAAGATTTAGGTACATATCAAAGGCACAAAAGAAGTTATTTATATTACAAGGTTTATCAAGGAAATACTCTTTAAAAAGGAGAGGAGATAAGGTTAATTTCCCTTTTGGCAAGTAAGACAAATGTAATCTTTTTTTTTTTTTTTTTTTCAGAAAATCCATACAGTGAGGGCTGGGCACGGTGGCCCACATCTGTAGTCCCAGCACTTTGGGAGGCCAAGGCAGGTGGATTACTTGAGGCCAGGAGTTCGAGACCAGCCTGGGGAATATGGCGAAACCCCATCTCTACTACAAATACAAAAATTAGCTGGGTGTGGTGGTGTGTGCCTATTGTCCCAGCTACTCTGGAGGCTGAGGCACGAGAAGTGCTTGAACATGGGAGGCAGAGGTTGCAGTGAGCCGAGATTGAGCCATTACAATCCAGTCTGGGCAACAAGAGTGAAGCTCTGTCTCAAAAAATAAAAAAATAAAAAATAAAAAACAAAAACAAAGAGCCTCTTTTCCCTCTCCCTGCCACAGAGTTGTCTTCAGTAATTTCATTCCCTTTTTTCCTGAGGGTTCACTGGGTTTCTGGGTCCCAGAAGGGGAAGTTCTCTTCAAGGTACAGGAACCACAACTCCACAGAGAACTGCAGAGATGGCAGCATGACCAGACCCTGGCCAGGTTTGGGGAGGCTGCTGGGCTGAGACTTGGGCTGAACTTCCGCTGCAGGTCGACTTATTCCCATCAGCACCAAAGCTGCTAGAGGGGGTCATCCAAAAGCAAAGGAAGCAGGGGCGCAGCTTGGAGGCTGTTTCAGAAGGTCCCACTGAGCCAAGGACTCAAGGCCTGGCCACAGCCCTCCCAAGTGAGGCCCAGATCATATTTCACCATGCTCAGAAAACCTTGTCTGCTCATTTCAGTCCATAGTGATTTTGCTTTCTTTAGGATCTCTCTTGAACTGTCCAACCCAGAGAATTTCAAATCTGAATGGATTCCAATGATGGAGCTAAATCAGGCCCCACCTCAGTTTCTGAATTACAATCAATAGGGCTGGGTCCCAGCATCTGTATCTTAATGTTCCTCCATGTGATCCTCATGCTGAAAGGCTGGTATTTGCAAATCCCTTTTTTTGGGGAGTGAAGGGTTTTTTTTTTTTAGAGAGAGGCCTCACTCTGATGCCCAGCCTGGAATGCAGTGGTGGATTACAGCTCACTGCAGCCTTGAACCCCTGGCCGCAAGAAATCCTCCCACCTTAGCCAACCAAAGTGTTGGGATTGCAGGAGTGACCACTGTGTCTGGCCAGGAAAGCCCTTCCGTTTCACTTGAATGATATTTCTGCAGCATACCTACAGCCATTGTTGTATGCAACTGCATCACTGCGGGAAAAGAAAAGGTGAGAGGTGACTGTTTTGCTTTTTTCTGAACATATCAGACCAAACCTGGGCTGTTTAGCCATTTTTTTTTTTTTTTTTTTTTTTTTTTGCGATGGTGTCTCGCTCTGTCACCCAGGCTGGAGTGCAGTGATGCAATCTTGGCTCACTGCAACCTCTGACTTCCAGGTTCAAGTGATTCTCCTGCCTCAGCCTCCCAAGTAGCTGGGATTACAGATGTGCACCCCCACGCCCAGCTCATTTTTTCTGTATTTTTAGTAGAGATGGATTTAAACATGTTGGACAGGCTGGTCTCGAACTTCTGACCTCTGGTGATCTGTCTGCCTCTGCTTCTTAAAGTGGTAGGATTACAGGCATGAGCCACCGCGCCTGGTTTGCCAATTTTTTGACAATGTATCGACATCATTTGTGATGGGCATGGCCTCAGTGTAGTGTGTCTAGACAAGGTGGCCGGAAGAGAGAGGAATATGCAAACCAGGCTTGAAGATGGGTTAAATCAGAGCTTTTCATTCCACAAAAGAGAAATTTTAATGGGGTCAGAACATTGATCTTCTAATATTTGAAAGCCTGTTAACTAGGAGAGAGAGAGCAAACTATTTTGTTGTAGGAGGACCCACCCAGCTCTGACGGTTTAAAGCGTCATGAATGCGAATTTGAACTCCAGAAAAGCAGAGCTTCCTAACAATGGGACTTCCACAGCAATGGGATCTGCTTCCTCTTTCAGTTTGTGCCTTTTCTATGAGCGAGAGACTCCTAGGAAAGCAGCAGCCCATTAGGAAAACGTGTGGGAACTCACTCGCAGGTTCTTTATTTTTTTTGAGATGGAGTTTTGCTCTTGTTGCCCAGGCTGGAGCACAATGGTGCCATCTTGGCTCCCTGCAACCTGCGCACCATGAGTTCAAGTGATTCTCCAGCGCCCTCTCCTGAGTAGCTGCGATTACAGGCATCCACCACCATGCCTGGCTAATTTTTTGTATTTTTAGTAGAGATGGGGTTTCACCATGTTGTCCAGGCTGGTCTCAAACTCCTGACCTCAAGTGATCCACCCACTTTGGCCTCCCAAAGTGCTGGGATTACAGGCATGAGCCACTGAGCCCAGCCGGGAACCCACAGGTTTTTTGGATGGTCTCTGAATGTCATGTAACTCTTTTATTTTTTATCAAAAAAAATTTTTTTGACACAGTATCTTGCTGTGTTGCCCAGACTGGAGTGCAGTGGCAAGATCACGGCTCACTGCAGCTTCTAACTCCTGGGCTCAAGTGATCTTCCTGTCACATGAGTCTCCCAAGTAGTTGGAACACAGGTGCCAGCCACCACACCTGGCTAATTTGGTTTGGTTTTGTTTTTTTAGAGATGGGCTCTTGCTATGTTGCCTATACTGGTCTCGAACTGCTGGCCTCAGGCAATCTTCCTCCCTTGGCCACCCAAAGTGCTGGGATTACAAGCATGAGCCACTGTGCACAGCTGAAATTTTTTGACTTAGTCTTTTTGTACATGTGATATTTTATTCATAGAATCCATAAATGGAAGGGAAATTTCTGAGTTCAGAGCAATACATATGATACAAAACTTGATATATAGACTAGAGTTTCTTAGCCGAACTGGAGGGGCTGGCTTAGGTAATCCATGGATTCCCTGAAACTGGGGACACCATTGGAAATATGTGTGAGCTCAGGGGCAGTTTCCTATGATTTTTAGGCCTCAAAATGTCTCTTGGACTCAAAATTGCCTTAGGGCAGAGGACGTGTGTACCCCCAGTATAGAATCTCGGACAGTGAATGTGAGTAAACATTCGGCAGAAAAGCTCTGCCAAACTGAGTGCTCTGATGTGACTTTTTCATCAAGTCAGTATTCCTGGGATCTCTTGTACGTGATAATCTCACTCTTGTACATGATAATCTCACTCTTGTACATGATACTCTCACTCTTATAAGGTTTCATCGTTTCTGCTTACCCTAGTTTTCTTTCCCACTCTGTTCCCTCTCCCACCAGACTGGACTCTGAAATGGGCATGTACAGAGACGAAGAGACCCCAACATGCTTCAGGCTTTGAGTGGAGAGGACACAGCCTCTGCTGGGACAGGGAATAGAGGGATGTGGAGTCCCTGAAGATGCTTTTGGACAATGGTCTGAGGTTGGGACAGTGGCAGGAGATACCATTCACCCAGGATCTCCAGGACAAGAGATCAGCCTGGCAGTTACATGTGTTTTTTTTCAAACTGGTTGCCAGGTTGGCATGAACGATGACATCAGAGATTCCGACCTTCCTGATTGGAGGGACCGGACTCCGTGGTGCCTGGAGATCAGTTGGACAACAGTATCTTCTCAGAGCTGTTCTCTACTCCTGACTTCTCCTAGGCTTGAGAATTGATAACATACTCTTCTGGATCCTAGAAGTGTCCAGAAGAAGGCCATGGACAGAACGGAGACTAGGTTCCGTAAGAGGGGACAGATTACGGGAAAGATCACGACCAGCCGTCAACCGCACCCCCAGAATGAGCAGAGTCCCCAGCGGAGCACCTCGGGGTACCCCCTCCAGGAGGTGGTGGATGATGAAATGTTGGGACCATCAGGTGAGGGGACTGGTGGAAGAAGAGGTGGGATAGGATTGACTAAGACGAAGGAAGGGGGCCGGGTGCGGTGGCTCACGCCTGTAACCCCAGCACTTTGGGAGGCCGAGGCGGGCGGATCACCTGAGGTCAGGAGATCAAGGCCAGCCTGGCCAATATGGTGAAACCCCATCTCTACTAAAAGTATAAAAATTAGCCAAGTTGTAGTGGTGCACACCTGTAATCCCAGCTACTCAGGAGGCTGAGACAGGAGAATCACTTGAGACTGGGAGGAAGAGGTTGCAGTGAGCTGAGAGCACACTACTGCACTCCAAAAAAAAAAAAAAAGAAAAGAAGGGTCAGTGGTCAGGAAGGAGAACCTGAGGAGGGTGTGTGGGAAGAATGGAGAAATTCAGGCTGGGTGCAGTGGCTCACACCTGTAAGCCCAGAACTTTGGGAGGCCAAGGCAGGCGGATCACTTGAGGCCAGGAGTTTGAGACCAGCCTGGCCAACATGGTGAAACCCTGTCTCTACTAAAAGTACAAAATTGAGCTGGGCATTATGGCAGGCACCTGTAATCCCAGCTACCTGAGAGGCTGAGGCAGAAGAATAAATGGAATCCAGGAGATGGATGTTGCAGTGAGCTGAGATTGCACCACTACACTCCAGCCTGGGTGACAAAGCAAGATTCTGTGTCAAAACAAAACAAAACAAAAAAGGAGGGACTCAGAGAGCCAGGGACCAGGGAAGGACATGAAGCAGTGTTCGGAGGACAGAGAGAGAGAAGAATGGGGAGGGGAAGGAGCGGCACATGGGGTCGAGCAGAGGAGAAAATCAGAAAGATGGCTTAGAGAAGCCAGCAGTCTGCAAGTCTGGGGAGGATGGAGAGTGGTTTGGGGTTTTGGGTCGGGGTCTAAGGTGATCAGATGCAGAAGCATTACACGGTGGCCTGGTTTCTTTACTCAGCCCCTGGGGTAGATCCCAGCCCCCCATGTAGGTCCCTTGGCTGGAAAAGGAAGAGGGAGTGGTCAGATGAATCTGAGGAGGAGCCGGAGAAGGAGCTCGCCCCTGAGCCTGAGGAGACCTGGGTAGTGGAGATGCTGTGTGGGCTCAAGATGAAGCTGAAGCAACAGCGAGTGTCATCCATCCTCCCTGAGCACCACAAGGACTTCAACAGTCAGCTTGGTAGGAGGATACCCCAGAGAGCACCTCCAATCCTGTTCTTTCTAAAAAGAGGAAACTTCCAATAACCACACTTTTCCAATGGGAAAGATACGCCCCCAGTAGCTGAGCTCTCCACGCAGGAGGACTCAGAAGTGATCACTCATGAGGGACACTTAGGAGACGATAGAGGACTAGGCTAGACTTGATAAAGGTTGGCGCTTGGGATGAGAAAGCTTGGTTTCGGGCCAGGTGCAGTGGCTCACGCCTGAGATGCTAGCACGTTGGGAGGCTGAGGCAAGAGGATTGCTTGAACTCAGGACTTTGAGGCTGCAGTGAGCTATGACTGCACCACTGCACTCCAGCCTGGGTGACAGAGCAAAACCCTGTGTCAAAAGAAAAACGAAGGCCGGGTGTGGTAGCTCATGCCTGTAATCCCATTACTTTGGGAGGCTGAGATGGGTGGATCACTTGAGGTCAGTTGTTCGAGACCAACCAGACCAATATAGCGAAACCTCATTTATACTAACAATACAAAAATTAGCCAGGCATGCTTGTTATCCCAGCTACTCAGGAGGCTGAGACAGGATAATCGCTTGAACCCAGGTGGAAGAGGTTGCTTTGAGCCAAGATAGCGCCACTGCATTCCATTCTGGGTGAGAGAGTGAGACGCTGTCTCAAAAAAAAAAAAAAAAAGGAAGGAAGGGCCCAGAAGTCAGGAAGGAGCACATGAGGAGGGTGTGTGGGAAGAATGGAGGTACTGAGGCAGGGTGCAGTGGCTCACACCTGTAATCCCAGCACTTTGGGAGGCCAGGCAGGCAGATCACTTGAGGCCAGGAGTTGGAGACCAGCCTGGCCAACATGGTGAAACCCTGTCTCTTCTAGAAGCACAAAAATGAGCTGGGCGTTCTGGTGGGCACCTGTAATCCCAGCTACTTGGGAGGCTTAGGCAGGAGAATCACTGGAACCCGGGAGGCAGAGGTTGCAGTGAGCCAAGATCGCACCACTACACTCCAGCCTAGGCCACAAAGCAAGACTGTTTCTCAACAACAACAACGACAACAACAACGAAAAAAAAAAAAAAAAAAAGGGACTCAGAGAGCCAGGGACCAGGGAAGGATATGAGGAAGTGTTCTGAGGACAGAAAAACGGGAGAATGGGGAGGAGAAGGAGCGGCACATGGAGCTCAGCAGAGGAGACAGACAGAAGGAAAGATGGCTTGGAGAAGCCAGCAGTCTGCGAGGCTGGGGAGGATGGAGAGTGGTTTGGGGTTTTGGGTCGGGCTCTAGTGTGATCAACTGCAGAAGCATTACACCGTGGCCTGGTTTCTTTACTCAGCCCCTGGGGTAGATCCCAGCCCCCCGCATAGGTCCTTTTGCTGGAAAAGGAAGATGGAGTGGTGGGACGAATCTGAGGAGTCGTTGGAGGAGGAGCCACGGAAGGTGCTCGCCCCTGAGCCTGAGGAGATCTGGGTGGCGGAGATGCTGTGTGGCCTCAAGATGAAGCTGAAGCGACGGCGAGTGTCGCTCGTGCTCCCTGAGCACCACGAGGCCTTCAACAGGCTGCTTGGTAGGAGGACACCCCAGAGAGCACCTCCAATCCTGTTCTTTCCAAAAACAGGAAACTTCCAATAACCACACTTTTCCAATGGGAAAAATAGGCCCCAGTGGGTGAGCTCTCCATGTGGGAGGAATGTGAAGTGATCACTCATGAGGGACACTTAGGAGATGATAAAGGATTAGGTCAACTTGATAAAGGTCAGCGCTTGGGATAAGAAAGCTTGGTTTCGGGCCAGGCGCAGTGGCTCCCGCCTGAGATCCCAGCACGTTGGGAGGCTGAGGCAAGAGGATTGCTTGAACTCAGGACTTTGAGGCTGCAGTGAGCTATGACTACACCACTGCACTCCAGCCTGGGTGACAGAGCAAAACCCTGTCTCAAAAGAAAAACCAAGGCTGGGCACAGTAGCTCATGCATGTAATCCCAGCTACTCGGGAGGCTGAGACAGGAGAATCGCTTAAACCCGGGAGGCAGAGGTTGCAGTGAGCCAAGATCAGGCCACTGCATTCCAGCCTGGCCCACAGAGCAAGACTCTGTCTCAAAATAAATTAATAAATAAATAAAAATAAAAATCAAATAAAGAAAAACAAAATCAATAAACAAAGAAAGTGGTTTCCGCTGTGCCCTCTGAAACTTAATGTCTCTTACTGACTTTTCTAAACCTAAGTGTCTCCATCCATAGTGGGGGATACCAAGGCCATGGTCACACCCTGATGTGACTGTCTCATGAGGAAATGATGGGAATTCCTTTATGACTCTGCAGTGGTCCCTCCGTGTCTGCTGGAGGGGGTCCTGGCTGATTCCCAGCTCTACATCCTGTAGATTCTCACACCCAGGGCCTCCTTCGGCCTCTTCTCAGGGGAGTCTCAGAGCAGGAGCCTCTCTCCCTTGCCCAGTGAAAGTCATTCTCCCCTCTCCCATCCACCTCACCCGCGGCCACAATCCTGAGACTTCCCCCCGGGAGGCACACTTCTCCTCCCTGCCCTGCTGCTCCCACGGAAACCCTGTCCTGCTTCTCACACTGACATCTGCTCTCTAATCACAGAGGATCCTGTCATTAAAAGATTCTTGGCCTGGGACAAAGATCTGAGGGTGTCGGACAAGGTAAGGTTGTTCTCCATGTAACTGTTCCTGTTCCAACGCATGGCTGGGGGGAGGGCGCAGCTTCCAAACCCACAGTTCTCCCTCCACCACCTCCCACCAGATGCTCCTACAGTCTTTTTTTTTTTTTTTTTTTTTTTTTTTGTGTGTGTGTGTGTGTGTGTGTGTGAGACAGAGTCTTGCTCTGTTGCCCAGGCTGGAGGGCTGTGTCTCGATCTTGACTCACTGCAGCCCATGCCTCCTGGGTTCAAGTGATTCTCCTGCCTCAGCCTCCAAGCAGCTGGGATTACAGACATGAACCACCACGCCTGGCTAATTTTTGTGTTTTTAGTAGAAACGGGGTTTTGCCATGTTGGCCAGGTTGGTCCTGAACACCTGACCTCAGGCGATCCACCCGCCTTGGCCTCCCAAAGTGCTGAGATTATAGACGTCAGCCACTGTGCCCGACCAGCTCCCATGGTCTTGAGTCTTGGCACCCACAAATTTTTTTTTTTGTGAGACAGAGTCTAGCTCTGCTCCCCAGGATGGAGTGCAGTGGCATGAACATAGCTCATTGCAGCCTCTAATTCCTGGGCTCAAGCAATCTTCTTTCCTCAGCCTCCTGAGGAGCTGGGACTAGGCACATGCCACCATGCTCAACTAATTTTTGAAATGTTTGTAGAAACAGGGTCTCACTATGTTGCCCAGGTTGTTCTCGAACTGTTGGGCTCACATGATCCTCCTGTCTCCACCTCTCAAAAAGTACTGGGATCACAGGCTTGAGCCGCCACTCCCGGCTATTCTTGGTCTTTTTATGATTTGTCAGCATCTCCCTCAGGATTCTGCTGGTCTCTTGCAGAGTGAATGAGTGGCCCCTGCCTCTCCTATGGGTCCTTTGGGATCTGAGCTCTGGGCCACAGTCTGGCCGCAGCCCTGAAGCTCCTGGCCCCTCTACTCTCAGCTCTTCGGGACAGTTCTCTGCCTGGCACACAAAAGACCCTCCTGACACCAGCCGACCTAGACACACCCCCTCCAAAGATCCCATCGGAGCCCACCATCCTGGGAGCATCACCCAAAACCCTTCCTCTGGCTTCTCGGATTTGCATCCGACCTTCGAATACCCCTCCATCCCGCAATTTCCAAATGAGTAGTCACCCCAACACTGAGGTCCCTTCTCTGATGGGCAGCCCCTCCCCAGACCCTCATTCCCCCTCTCCACAATCTTCCTCTTCCAAGATGTGACCTCTCCCTCTCTGTGTTCCTTTCTCTCCATCAGTATCTCCTGGCTATGGTCATAGCGTATTTCAGCCGGGCTGGCTTCCCCTCCTGGCAATACCAACGCATTCATTTCTTCCTGGCTCTGTGAGTGGTTTGCTGCCTCCTATCCGTCAATATCCAATGCCCTGGGACAGCGGGGGAAGTGGGATTCCAGCCTTTCATTTATTCTTTCACCTATTTGTCCTCTTTACTCTGTGTACAAAAAAGAGAGGATTATACTATCATAGACTGTTGTTTCTAAACAGAAACTCAGGCTGGGCACAGTGGAATACGCCTGTAATCCCAGCACTTTGGGAGGCCGAGGCAGGCGGATCACCTGAGGTCAGCAGTTCGAGACCAGCCTGGCCAACATGGCCAAATCCCGTCTCTACTAAAAATAGAAAAATTAGCTGGGCGTGGTGGTGTGCATCTGTAATCCCAGCTACTCGGGAGGCTGAGGCAAGAGAACCCTTTGAACCCAGGAGGTGGAGGTTGCAGTAAGCTAAGGTCGAGCCACTGTACTCCAGCCTGGGTGACAGAGTGAGACTTTTTCTCAAAAAAAAAAAAAAAAAAAAAAAAAAAAGCCAAAAAAACAAACTCCAATGCCAGTGTACAAATAAAAGAATAAAACAAAAGGAACCATAAACCGCTCCTAAGGGGAAAAGAAAAGGAGTGGAGGAGCGGACATGCCGCTTCCTCCAGCAAGCAGACGTTTCTGGTTCTTCTCTCTCTCTCCTTCCCACATCAACCACAAACGCCATCGACCTCCTCTGGGTTCCCATGACAGAGGCCACAGTTCAGGTCCCCCTCGCATCACTCGAATTTACTGTCAAATGCTCCCCGCTGGGGTCTCCTGGAGTCTCTCCCCAAGCCAGGGGGCTTCCTAGTGCAGCCTGAACATCTTTCCAAAGCACGACAACCTCACTGCCCACCTGAACAACTTCCTTAGCTGATGCCTTTCTCTATCGAGGCCAGGGTCCACAGTGTCAATTCTACCCTCTCTACAATCTCTACAAGCACACTGGCTCGCCATCTTGGTATTTCCTGGCTCGGCTTCACTGCTCCTTCCAAATGCCCTCCACTCGACTTTGTGTTTGTGTTTTCTGTCTGGGTGTCCCGCACACATGTGGCTCTGAAGGGAAGGACCCATTCCTTGAAATCAGTTCACCCCACAGCCTCTGTGATGCCTTCCCTCATCTTCCAACTTCTGCATGCCCGTAGCTCTCTAGTTACATCCTGGACACTGGGATTAGGTCATCTGCCTTGATTACTCCCAGTCCCATTAGACTAAATGCCTGTAGAAGGCAGGGTCCTGGCAAAATATCAATGTATTCAATTTCTTTTATTTTTTTGAGACAGACTTGCCCTGTCCCCCAAGCTGGAGTGCAGTGGTGAGATCATAGCTCACCGCAGCCTCCATATCCTGGGCTCAAGCGATCCTCCCACCTCAGCTTCTTTATTAGCTCCGACTACAGGGCTGTGCCACCACACCTGGACAGTTTGTTTGTTTGTTTGTTTATTGAGACAGAGTCTTGTTCTGCCTCTCAGGCTGGAATGGAGTGGCCCAATCTCAACTCACTGCAACCTCCGCCTCCTGGGTTCACACAATTCTTGTGCTTCAGCCTCCTGAGTAGCTAGGCCTAACGGGTGTGCCACCGCACCAGGCTCATTTTTGTATTTTTAGTAGAGATGGGGTTTCTCCGTGTTGACCAGGCTGGTCTCCAACTCCTGGTCTCAAGCGATCCACCTGCTTCAGCCTTCTAAAGTGCTGGGATTACAGGCATGAGCCACCGCGTCTGCATATTTCTTACATTTTTAATAGAGACGAGGGTCTTGCTATGTTGCCCAGGCCCGTCTCAAACTCCTGGCCTCAAGTGATCCTCCTGCTTTGGCCTCCCAGTGTGCTGGGATTCCAGGCGTAAGCCACCACTCTCGGCCACCAGTTGGGTTTTTGTCTCCATCCTGAAGGAGTGGGAGACGCCCTTGATCAGGTCTCTGTCCAGCAGAGCCCTCCTGAGGAAGGCATGGCTCTCTGCAGGGTGGGTGCCAGTCCTGAGCTAGGGACGGTCCCTTACCTTCCTCTCTGGGAAGCTGACCTCAGCCGGAGGCCTCTCCTGGTGGTGCCCCTGAGCAGCAACCTGATTTCTGTCCTCAGCTACCTGGCCAATGACATGGAGGAGGACGACGAGGACTCCAAACAAAACATCTTCCACTTCCTGTATAGGAAGAACCGCTCTCGCATACCCTTGCTCCGTAAGCGTTGGTTCCAGTTAGGCCATTCCATGAACCCGAGGGCCAGGAAGAACCGCTCTCGCATACCCTTGCTCCGTAAGCGTCGGTTCCAGTTATACCGTTCCACGAACCCGAGGGCCAGGAAGAACCGCTCTCGCATACCCTTGCTCCGTAAGCATCGGTTCCAGTTATACCGTTCCATGAACTCGAGGGCCAGGAAGAACCGCTCTCAGATAGTCCTGTTCCAGAAACGACGGTTCCACTTCTTCTGTTCCATGAGCTGCAGGGCTTGGGTTTCCCCAGAGGAGTTGGAGGAGGTGAGTGGGGCCTGGGGAGGTGGAGGAGGTGGGGAGGAATTGGGTGGGCTGGAGGCTGGATGAGGGGAGAGAGGGGTATCCTGGCGAGTCCCCGTCTTCTCAAAGGGCGTTTGTTTTTCCAGATCCAGGCTTATGACCCAGAGCACTGGGTGTGGGCGCGAGATCGCGCTCACCTTTCCTAGAGCTCCAGGGACCGGGGAGGCCTGAGGTCATCGGCCTGAGAGAAGGTACATCTGCATCCTCTGGGGTAAAGGCAGAATATTGGGGTCTATTTCGGAAATCCGAAGAACCCAATTGCTTGATCTGGCTTCAAGCCTGGGCAACGTGGCGAGATCCCCTCTCCACAAAAATACAAAAATTAGCCAGGCGATGTGGGACGCATCTCTACTCCCAACTACTCAGGAGGCTGAGGCGGGAGGATCGCTGGAGCCTGGAAGGTCGGGGCCGCACGGAGCCCTGATCCTGCCACTGCACTCCAGTCTGGGCGACAGAGTGAGACCCTGCCTCAAAAATAATCATAAAAACTGAGTTTGGGGAGGTTCATTATGATTGACGCACTTGAGTTACTGATTTGGGTCGAGGGTTCAGTGAAGCTTTGGTTTACATCTTGTGCAGCTAACCACGTTGAGCACAGAGCATGAGACTTCATCATGAGGAGGTAGGATTAAGGATTAGGCTTCTGGACTCGTGGTTCGTGATGTTGTCACATTAGAAACACATCTAGCATGGTTACAAGTTTAGATCTTAAGTGACACAAAAGGCCCCAGCTGTGATAAAGTCCAAAGCCACATTCTCTGAGGGTGCCCTACTCCCTGGGCAGACCCACCCAAAGTCCTTGGTATGAAGCAGATCACTGGGGCTGACCTTGGGTGTATTAAGTGAGTTTTGGAGTCGTGGTCACCAAAGTGTGAGTTTCACAGTTGAACACGATGGTTCAGAAGCAGGGTATAGAATGAAAGGCAGCAGATAAAATTGCATTTCTCAATTGACATGGGACGTGAATAACTTTCCTGTCTAGAGAGCTGCCTCCTTGAAGTGTGACATTGTCTCTCTCGCTTCCAGAACACCGGACCCAGGGGAGATGTGGATTTTCAGCAGGAACTTTATTCCAATGCTAATGGCAGACACCAGGCAGGAGGAGAGGAACCATTTGTGCAGATCATCTAGAAGAACCTGGACCATTCTTGATGGAGCTGAATACAGTGATCACGTTGTCCTCCTAGGAGCAGGGGTGGGGGGAGGGGGGTGGGGTCCTTCTAGGAGTCCTTGGAGAAAAGTAAGAAACCAGGAGCGTTTCCAGTTCCACCCTTTCCTGCGGCACCACCACCCTTTTTATATTGCTGAATTCCAACCTCCCTGGGGCGGAACCTGGAGGTCCTGTTTCTTACGGACTTGCAGTCCAGGAGGATTTGAAGGCACAATGCAGGGGCTCAGATTGGGACAGAATTCTTTTGTGAAATATCAGTGCCACAGATTGTAACAGATAGCTTCATGCACACTCTGCATTTTATTGGTTTGTTTGGAAAATGTCGGCCATTGAATTATTCATAGATTTATTTCAAATAGTTTGGAAATTGTTGTACTTTTGAAAACATGCTGTTCCTGTAGTTTTTTGATGAGAGTTATAGTTGTTATATATACATAAAGCTAATTTTCTTTTCATTTTTAAGAGACAATTCTTTTATCCTAAATATTTTATTATCTTTAAATTTGTTTCTGTATTATTATATGTGCTCCTGAAGCGAGCACTCTTTTTATCTATGATACTTCCATAATAATCTCTTCTATTTATAGCTATTGGTAGTTCCCCACCAGAAAAATACATAATTCTGGTGATAGAAATTTTTATTTGCTGTTTAGGTTTGTGACTGAATTGTGAGAATTCAGTTGTGATTTTTAACATGTCTCAGATATATATACTAACACGTCTAATATATACTATCTATTTTATTGGTTTATTTTGAAAAACATGGGTATAGAATTATTTAAATATTATTTTATTTATTTAAATATTTATTAAATATATTTATTTATTTAAATATTATTTTTACATTAAATATTATTTTAAATATTTTGGAAATACTGGTATTTTTGAATAGATGCTGTTTCTACAAAGCTGTGTGATGGGTATTATAACTGTTATATACACATACATATAATTTTGTTTTCCTTTTTAAGAGAGGATTCTTTTCATCCTAAATCTTTTACCTTTCAATCTTTGTATCTATTATTACACGTGCTGCTGAAGGGAGCATGGATTTTATCTATGATACTTAGTTAACATATATATTACATTTATAGCTATGTAGTAGTTCCCCTAAATTCTTGTAAAAATAAATTTTTATTTGATATTTCATATATGTTTGAAATGTGAGAATTCAGATGTAATTTTTTACCTTGTTTTGGCATGTTTGTATATTACTTTAAAGAGAATGTGTGTTCTAAAGGAGGACATGAGCTGTGTGTTTTCAAGAGAACAATAGAGTGGGTCTCTTGGGGAAACATAATAAAAATGAACTTTTCTCACCTTCACAGCAATTGTGATCATATTGGTCTGGATTGATTATTTGCTGCCCAGTGATATTTTTCCTTAATGGGGTTGTGGTTATTTGAACATATTTATTAGCTCTGGAAGATAATCCTGTGCTGTTTTTTATGTAGAAAAAAACATAAGGCTGGGTGCAGTGCTCACACCTACAATCCCTGCGGTTTTGGAGGTCATGGTGGGAGGATCACCTGAGGCCAGGAGTTTGAGGCCAGCCTCAGCAACATAGCATCTACATCTATTTTTAATTTTTATTTTTTAAAGAAAAACAATAGAAGAGAAGGCTGATCCCAAGCTACAGGGTTTTTTTGTTTGTTTGTTTGTTTTGGAGACAGAGTCTTGCTCTGTCTCCCAGGCTGGAGTGCAGTGGCACAACCTCGGCTCCCTGCAACTTTCACCTCTGGGTTCAAACAAATTCTCCTGCCTCAGCCTCCCAAGTAGCTGGGACTACAGGCACCCGTCTGTACGTCCGACTAACTTTTGTAAAAATAGTAGAGACAAGGTTTCACCATGTTGGCCAGGCTGGTCTCGAACTCCTGACTTCAAGTGATCCACCTACCTCGGCCTCCCAAAGTGCTGGGATTACAGGCATGAGCTACTGCGCCCAGATGCCAAGCTAGAGTTTTAAGGCAGGAAATGAGAGAAAGATATTGAGAGAGGAAAACCAGGTGGTAAGAAAACTCTAAAGGTGGCCGGGCGTGGTGGCTCACGCCCATGATCCCAGCAGGAGTTTGAGACCAGCCTGGCCAACATGGTGAAACCCTGTCTCTACTAAAAATACAAAAATTAGGCAGGCGTGGTGGTGCACGCCTATAATCCCAGCTATTTGGGAGGCTGAGGCAGGAGAATCACTAGCAGAGATTGTGTCTCCTCACACCCTCTCAAAAAAAAAAAAAAAAAAAAAGTTCGTTCCTGCAGCAGTTAAAGCTGTGAAAGACAGGCACTCTGACATGCAATTCTTTGTGATTTTTCTTTTTCCTTTTTGGAGTTGGGGTCTTGCGCTGTCACCCAGACTGGGGTGCAGTGGTGTGGTCATAGCTCACTGCGGCCTCAGACTCAAGCTCAAGCGATCTTCTTACCTTGCCTTTCAAATTGCTGGGATTATAAGCATGAGCCACTGCATCTGGCCTGAGACACAATTCTGTTTTTGGTCTTTTTTTTTTTGGGGGGGGGATGGAGTCTCGCTCTGTCACCCAGGCTGGAGTGCGGTGGCGTGATCTTGGCTCAATGCAAGCTCCGCCTCCTGGGTTCACGCCATTCTCCTGCCTCAGCCTCCCAAGTAGCTGGGACTACAGGCGCCCGCCACCATGCCTGGCTAATTTTTTGTATTTTTAGTAGAGACGGGATTTCACTGTCTTAGCCAGGATGGTCTCGATCTCCTGACCTCGTGATCTGCCCGCCTTGGCCTCCCAAAGTGCTAGGATTACAGGTGTGAGCCACCGCGCCCAGCCTATGTGATGCAATTCTGATGTCAACTCCCTGATGTTACCTCAAATGCCACAGGTTAAGGCCACCAGCCCCTACTAGGCTGCCCTCGCTTTAGACACACCTGCAGGCTTGGGTGTCCTCAGACCACATGTACTTCTCACCAACTGGCTGCAAATTTGGAGGTTCCCACCATGCCCTCAAGTTCGATAACTCACTAAAACAATTCACAGAATGCAGAAAAGCATGATACTTTCTTTCTCTTTTTTTTTTTTTTTTTTTTTTCGAGACAGAGTCTTGCTCTGTCGCCCAGGCTGGAGTACAGTGGCCACCATGCTTGGCTAATTTTTGTATTTGTATTAGAGACGGGGTTTCGCCATGTTGGCCAGGCTGGTCTTGAACTCCTGACCTCAGGTGATCCACCCGCCTTGGCATCCCAAAATGCTGGGATTATAGGCATAGCCACCATGCCCGGTTGACTTCTAGAGTTTCAATAACAGAGAAGTGATTCAAGAAGGGAGACATGTTTTGTAGATGGCAGGAGCTTCATGAAAAGAAGCCAATGAAGGGCAGGACGTGTAGCTGTCTACCTACAGGAAACCAGCCAGGAGCCTCCCCACAGGGACTTCAGCACAGATGGCCGGGAAAATCTGCATTCACCTGAGCTCTGGACCTAAGAGAGGACAAGGCCTTGACCATTTCTACAGACTCACAAGATGCAATCTCTGTGGTCCATGCCCGTGGTGTGATCTGGGAAGCAGGGGGCCTTCTAAATGCCAACAACAAGGAAATCAAATGTGCAACAAACAGAAATAACGGCATTGACGTGGGCCATGGAAAGGCCTAAACAGATGACTGCAGTTCACTGCCAAGGTCATCAAAGGGGTGACTCTGAAATAATAAATTTCAGACGCCACGGCCCAAATAGCTGCACGAGGTGGGGAAGTCCTCCACATGCCTCTGCTTCCTTCGGTACCTGTTTATGAAATCAGCCGAGGTACTTCCCTGGGGAATTTCCTTTCTCTTTCTTTCTTTCGAGACGGAGTCTTGCTCTGTCGCCCAGGCTAGAGTGCAGTGGTGCAATCTCAGCTCAATATAACCTCCCCCTCCTGGGTTTTAGCAATTCTCCTGCATCAGACTTCTGAGTAGCTGAGATTACAGGTGCATGCCACCATGCCCAGCTAATATTTGTATTTTTAGTAGAGACAGGGTTTCACCATCTAGGCCAGGCTGGTCTTGAACTCCTGACCTCGTGATCCACCCGTCTTGGCCTCTCAAAGTGCTGGGATTACAGGTGTGAGCCATCACGCCCGGACTTTTTTTTTTATTTTTTGAGACGACGTTTCACTCTTGTTGCCCACGCTGGAGTGCAATGGCACGATCTCAGCTCACTGCCACCTCCTCCTCCCAGGTTCAAGCGATTATCCTGCCTCAGCCTCTCGAGTAGCTGGGATTACAGGCACCCAACACCAAACCCAGCTAACTTATTGTATTTTTAGTAGAGATGGGATGTCACCATGTTGGCCAGGATGGTCTTGAACCCCTGACCTCTAATGATCCACCTGAATTGGTTTCCCAAAATGTTGGGATTACAGGCACAAGCCACTGCGCCCAGCCCCTCCCACACCTCTTTTGGCCAAGGCAGCACAATTCAGAAGAATCTTGCCAGGGAAGACTGGTAAATGGACGTCAACGTGATGCCTATGGCTCCTGGTGGATTTAGATACCTCCTGGTGCTTATTGATATCTTTACTACCAGTTGCATGGGGGCTTTTCCATGCCAGACTGAAAACGCAGGAGATCAATGATCAACCTTCAACTATTTACTAGCAGAACACTGAGGGGACTGTGCAGTCACCAATACCTCCTATTGCACTTGGATAAACACCTCCCAGGAAATAGAGATGAATAGAAAGGACATAGTCAAACAAGCAGAATGGCTGCATTCCTTCAACCAGAAGGGTCCATTAGTCTGTTTTCACACTGCTATAAAGAACTATGAGAAACTGGGTAATTTATGAAGAAAAGAGGTTTAATTGACTCACAGTTCTGCAGGCTGTACAGGAAGCGTGGCTGGGGAGGCCTCAGGAAACTGACAATCACGGCAGAAGGCGAAGGGGAAGCAGGCACGTCTGGCCATGTTGGAGCAGGAGAGACAGAGAGAGTGAAGTGGGAGGGCTGCACGCTTTTAAACAACCAGATCCCACAAGCGCTCACTCAATATCACGAGAACAGCAAGGGGGAAGTCGGCCCCCATGAGCCAATCACCTCCCACCAGGTCCCTCCCACAACACTGGGAATTACAATTTGACATGAGATTTGGGTGTGGATACAGAGCTGAACCATGTCAAGGGTAGTTCAACCGCTGAGATTGATTGATTGATTGATTGACTGAGATGGAGTCCTGCTCTGTTACCTAGGCTGGAGTGCAGTGGCACAATCTCGGCTCACTGCAACCTCCGCCTCCCGGGTTCAAGCGATTCTCCTGCCTCAGCCTCCCGAGTAGCTGGGACTACAGCACATGCCACCATGCCTAGCTAATTTTTGTATTTTTAGTAGAGACAGGGCTTCACCATGTTTGCCAGGCTGGTCTTGAACTCCTGACCTCGTGATCACCCTGCCTCGGCTTTTCTTTTGCTGGAATTACAGGTGTGAGCCACCGCACCCAGCCAACAACTGAGATTTAGAAGGCAGTCGAGTCCACTATACCGCACCTCACCTGGTTTCTTCCTCTGTTGGGGCCCCTCGTGGCCACTGTTCTGTTACTTTTTGGTCCTATTTATTTAAATGGATGGTGAGCTGTTTGTTCTCCAGGATCCAACACTTCCACCTTCAGCTTGTATTACAACAATACCAGCCTTTCAAGCTACTCCGGGTGACCCCAGAACTCATTTGAACTCAGAAGCCCAGGAGTTTCATTCCTTTCACTTTAGGGGACTCAGTGCCCTGCTCAGCATGAAGTCGAAGCAGAAGCATGACCTCCATCCCTAATCCCTCAAGAATGAGGAGTGGAAGGTGTTGGCAGAAGGGTGGGGGTGAGGTTTGTAGATCTGTAACTGCATCAGACCAAATCTGGTTCAACTTTTTTTTTTTTTTTGACGGAGTTTCACTCTTGTCACCCAGGCTGGAGTGCAATGGTACTAACTCAGCTCACTGCAACCTCCACCTCCTAGGTTCAAGTGATTCTGCTGCCTCAGCCTCCAGATAGCTGGGATTATAAGGGTGCACCACCACACCTGGCTAACATTTATATTTTTAGTAGAGACGGGGTTTTACCATTTTGGCCAGGCTGGTCTTGAAGTCCTGACCTCCACCTGCCTTGGCCTCCCAAAGTGCTGGGATTACAGGCGTGAGTCACTGCACCCGGCTCAGTTCAACTTTTATGTAATGAGGTTGTCAGTTGTTTTTCAATTGCCATGGACCCACAGGTTGAAGGGCATGTACCCTGTGCATGCCCAGGTTAACCAAGCATGCAACCACGGAGTGGAACCTAAGAGCTCGGCCTGAAGAGCTGAGACTGATTTAAGAACTGGACACTCCATGGCAGGAGCCAGGATCCAATCAGATTGAGTTTTGGTGTCATCCCATGGCAGGATCCAGTCAGATCACACCTCCCAGCATTACTTTATTGCAAGATCCAATCAAATCACAACTCATTACCCTATGCTTATAAAACCTGACATAGCCCCCAGCTGGGTAAGGGAGATTTGAGTATTTCTTCCTGTGTTCTTGCTAGCTGACTTACAAAAAAGCTTTAAAAAAAAGGCCACGTGTGGTGGCTCATGCCTGTAATCCCAGCACTTTGGGAGGCTGAGGCAGGCAGATCACTTGAGGTCAGGGGTGCAAGACCAGCCTGGCCAACATGGTGAAACCCTATCTCTACTAAAAATACAAAAATTAGCTGGTCATGGTGACACATACCTATAATCCCAGCTACTTGGGAGACTGAGGCAGGAGAATCACTTGAACCCAGGAGGTAGAGGTTGCAGTGAGCCAAGATCACACCACTGCACTCCAGCCTGGGCAACAGAGTGAGAAGACTCTGTCTAAAAAAAGAACAGTTAAAATTAGCACCAAATGCTTTACGAGTAAAAAAAGTTTTTAGCTGCATATGTTTAAGTAACTTTTTAGATTGTAAAAAATACACATACAAAATGGAAAGGCACAAAGAAGAGAGCAAAAAGTGCATGAGATCTCACATCCAAGGATAACCGCTGAGAACATGAAAGTGCTGACTCTTCCAGCCTTTATACTATACACATTTAGGCCGTTGTTTTGTTTTTATTAAACTGTAATCATATAATACAGATAGTTTTATAATCTGGTTTTTAAACACAACAATTACATAACATTTAGCTGTTTCTTTTGCATTCAGATTCATAAGGGTTCCAGTAACTCATTTATCAGAAAACCAAGAGAAATAGTCTCATTAAAATATAAGTACATAAGGCAGGCATGGTTGCTCACGCCTATAATCCCAGCACTTTGAGAGGCCGAGGTGGGCGGATCACCTGAGGTCAGGAATTCGAGACCAGCCTGGCCAGCCTGGACAACATGGTGAAACCCCGTCTCTGCTAAAAATAAACAAATGAGCCAGGTGTGGTGGTGCGCGCCTGTAATCCCAGCTATTCAGAAGGCTGAGGCAGGTGAATCGCTTAAACTCGGGAGGTGGAGGTTGCAGTGAATCGAGATCGTGCCACTGCACTCCAGCCAGGGCGCCAAAGTGAGACTCCATCTCAAAAAAAGATAAAAATAAAAAATAAAAATAAAATATATATATGTATATATATTTTTCCAGACAGGGTCTTACTCTGTCTCCCAGTCTGAAATACAGTGGTGCAATCATAGCTCACTGCAGCCTCAAGTTTCTGGGCTCAAGTGAATCTCCCACTTCAGCTTCCCAAGTAGCTGGAACTACAGGTGGATGCCACCATGCCCAGTCAATTTTTTTTTTAATTTTTCATAGAAACAGAGTCTCACTATGTTGCCCAGTCCTAATAAACACTATGTGATGAAAAGAAAAAAGTAAATCACCCTAAGTTAAGTCTTTAATGTTAAGTCTTTAACGAGAAATGCAAATAAAGCATTTCTCAATAGATTATGGCAAGAGTATCAACTGAAGAATAAACATCTTTAGTAAATCTTTTGCTCATGTGCATTAACCAATACTCTTGAAAACCAGGATTAATTTACTGTACCTTCTTAATATTCCTTTGAAATTCCTTATGGCGCACAGGTAGTGTAGAAAATAACTGCTTCACGCTGACTGTCATCCCTCTGGGGTGGGGGTAGGGGGTTTTCTGGATGATTTTCCCATAGTGATCAAACACCAGTCGAGTCCCAACCTTCGCCGATGCGTGGCAGGTAGAAATGGTGACATCGCTGTGAGAGAATACCAGGCGTGGTGTGTTCAGTGAGAGACCCGTGATGTTGAGCATTGACTACGCTTTTCTTCACTTGCTTTTCTCTCAAAACTTTCTTAAAAAGCTGATGATCCCTCTGAGATAACCAAGATCTAAACGGTTGAGGAGTCATCATAAAATCTAAGGTTTGGCATCTAAAAGACAGTGAGACAGAGAGCACTAAACATGCTTTGTTTTGATAAAAGCTTTGATTTCATTTTTCAGGTTGAATTGCAAAACCATAAATGATCTCAAGGTTTATTTATTCACAAATAGAGATTTGTTTTGTTATTACTCTTCAAATAAAATTGTTTTAAAGAATTTTTTAAAGAATTAAAAAATTTTTTAAAATTTTTAAAGAATCCAAAAGATATTATAATTAAAATGTATATGTAGGGCAGGGTGCGGTGGCTCATGCCTGTAATTCCAGCACTTTGGGAGGCCGAGGAGTGCAGATCACTTAAGGCCTGGAGTTCCAGACCAGCCTGGGCAACACGGCAAAACCCCATCTCTACTAAAAATACAAAAATTAGCCAGGAGTGGTGGTGCACGCTATAGTCCCAGCTCTTTAGGAGGTTGAGGCACGAGAATCACTTGAACCTGGGAGGCAGAGATTGCAGTGAGCTGAGACTGTGCCACTGCACTCCAGCCTGGGTGACAGAGTGAGACTCTGTCTAAAAAAAAAAAAAAAATACATATATATATATATACACACACACACATATATACACACACACATATATATGTGTATATATATACACACACACATATATATGTGTATATATATACACACACATATATACACACACACATATATATGTGTATATATATATACACATATATATGTATATATATATTTAAATATAATTATAAAAATTTAGTATATGTGCTATAATTAAATAGTGCTTTGGTGAAATGTTTCCCTAAAATTTGATGATGAAAAGTAATGGTAACTATCATTTATTACCTATATGTTATGTTAAAATTGAGAAGTTACTGTTCTAATAAGGGTAACCATTTTTTTTTAACAATACTATTTGCTTCATTTCATTCATTTATTTCCCACATTTCAGAAGTACTAGGACTTAGATTGGCAGTGAGACAAAACAGAATTCAGAAGCTAGAAGCTGAGATACCGAGATAGAAAATTGTAAATAATAACAATTCCAATTAACTTTCTGAGAGGTGTTTCTAAGGGGTCAAGTGAATGGATAAAAACATTGTATCACCTCAGTGCACACAGTGAGCTCAGAGCTTCCCCCTGAAAGCCGAAAGTTTCAACCTCAGTTAGGTCGGCAAACTCTTGAATCTTACATGTGTGATGTTTCAGAGCTGAAAGAGACTGTAAAGTAAGGAATAAGATACCTCAAGTGCTAAAACAACAGATATACATGATATCTAGTAACTGGCTTAAAAAACTGTTTTTGCGTTTCCCAAGACAGTGTTACTCAAAATCCTGAGACATGTGGCCCAATTATTTTATAATAGGATTAGACAAAGTCAACTTACTTAAGCCTTCAAAGTTTTCTTCTTCTACCCCACATCCATTGTCTGAAACTTCAATGAGATCCACTCCATAGTCCTTAAGCTTTAGATCTAGAAAGTTTAAATATTTATGTATTTATTAAAAATGGACCCATGCTAGAATGGCATGAACCCGGGGGGCGGAGCTTGCAGTGAGCCGAGATCGCGCCACTGTACTCCAGCCTGGGAGACAGTGAGACTTCGTCTCAAAAAGAAAAAAAAAAAAAAATGGACCCATGCTATAAGCTTTTATATTGATATTATTTATAACATATGCAAATTGAAGAGTCATAACTATACCTTTAGTTAAACGTACGAGTATCATTTTGTATATTTCATTTTTATAAAGCCCTTTCTGGCCATTTACTAGCCCAGATTAAATAGTTTAGCTTTTTCTTTCCTCTTTTTTTTTTTGTCCATAGGCTAGTCAAATGAAGCAGTTGGAGTGGAGAAGGAACAAAAAAATCTGTAACTGGTTGTGATCAATTAGTGGTTAACACCGTTGCACTTTGACCAGCCTTTTCTTTTGAAAGAAATAATTTTAACATACCCAGTAAGGAGAAAGGGGGGCAGGCGCGGTTGTTCATGCCTGTAATCCCAGCACTTTGGGAGGCAGAGGCAGGCAGATCACTTGAGGTCAGGAGTTGGAGACCATCCTGGCCAACATGGTGAAACCCTGTCTCTACTAAAAATACAAAAAATTAGGCAGGCATCATGGTGGGCGCCTATAAACCCAGCTACTCAGGAGGCTGAGGCAGGAGAATCACTTAAAGCGGGAAGGCAGAGGTTGCAGTGAGCTGAGATTGCAGCATTGCACTCCAGCCTGGGCAACGAGCAAAAAAAAAAAAAAAAAAAAAAAAAGTGAAAGCAACATAATTTCCCATATAATTAGAAAAACCAACAGTATGCTGGAAAATACACAATGTTTAAGTCAAAATCATCTCAGAAATTGGGTACCAGTTACATAACTATTCCTTATACACAGTTGCCTTTGATACCCTACTCCAAATTGAAGCTGCCAGCTGCTGTCTTTGCAAAGACCCTCAAAGTCTTGCTGTACTAGCTTTAAGAGTTTTATAACAGTTTTACTGCCCTTTATTCCCTGCTCCAAGCCATCCTCCACTCTATCACCAGAGCTATTTTTGAAATCACAAATCTGGTCAAATAATTCTTCTGCTTAAAAATTTACTAGTGCCCCACTTCCTACTATATGAAATTTAAAATCTAGTCATCACTGGGCCCAAAACTACCTTATGTTCAGAATCTCTCTAATCCTTTCCATTCATCAAGTCCCCTACATCATCACCATTATGATAATTATTATTTATTATTATTATTTGAGAGTGCTCACCCCGTCGCCCAGGCTAGAGTGCAACGGCATGATCTCAGCTCACTGCAGCCTCTGCCTCCCAGGTTCAAGCGATTCTCCTGTCTCAGCCTCCCAAGTAGCTGGGATTACAGGCACCCACCATCACACCCGGCTAATTTTTGTGTTTTTAGTAGAGATGGGGTTTCACCATATTGGGCAGGCAGGCTTGTCTTGAACTCCTGAACTCAGGTGATCTGCCCTCCTTGGCCTCCCAAAGCACTAGGATTACAGGTGTGAGCCACTGCAACTGGCCGTCCCCTATATTGTAGCGCAGTGAACAATTGTTTCCTGAACATCACAAGCTCTTTTAGACACTACAGTGTATAAGCAGGTTTCTGTCTAAACCGCTCTCCTCTTCCTCCTCTGCCCAACCAATGTCTGCTCATCCAAAGAATGTATCCCGTGTGTTCATTAACTTAGCAATTTCCAGTAAACCGTTTAATTGATAACTTGTTAAGAGAAGGCAGGAAACCTCCATGAAAGAGAAATCAGTGGGTATTTCCTACAGCATTTAACACATCGTAGGCCTTCAATAAACCCTTGTGAAATAAACAAACCTCTTTACTCTTCGTTCTACCTTGCTAAGAATCTCACCTAAGTCTGTCTACCATGTGAAACTGCAGATGACCTCACAGAAAATTGAAAGAAGTATCTCTAAAAATAAGTTTATTAGGCAACACACTATAGGCTACAGTCCACTTCTGATTTTTTTTTTTTTTTTTTTGAGACGGAGTCTTGCTGTGTCACCCAGGCTAGACTGCAGTGGCACGATCTCAGCTCACTGCAACCTCCGCCTCCTGGGTTCCAGCGATTCTCCTGCCTCAGCCTCCCAAGTAGCTGGGATTACAGGTGCCCTGTGGGGAGGCTCCTGGCTGGTTTCCCGTAGGTAGACAGCTACACTTCCTTGCCCTTCATTGGCTTCTTTTCATGAAGCTCCTGCTGTCTACAAAACATGACCACCTGAGGTCAGGAGTTCGAGACCAGCCTGGCCAACATGTTGAAACCTCGTCTCTACTAAAAATACAAAAATCAGCTGGGCGTGTGGCGGGCGCCTGTAATCCCAGCCACTCGGGAGGCTGAGGCAGGAGAATCATTTGAACCCTGGAGGCGGAGTTTGCCGTGAGCTGAGATCGAGCCATTGCACTCGAGCCTGGGCAACAAGAGTGAAACTGTGTCTCAAAAAAACAAAAATGTTATATATATACACGTATGAAAAATATATACACACATACATATATATATACACATATGTGTGTGTATATATACACGTGTGTGTATATATATACACGTGTGTGTATATATATATACACACGTGTGTGTATATATACATACACACGTGTGTGTATATATACATATATATATACATACACACCCGTGTGTGTGTATGTATATATATATACATTTATTTATTTATTTTATTTTATTTTTCCCTGGTTGGGCACAGTGGTTCATGCCTGGAATCTCAGCGCCTTGGGAGACCGAGGCGGGAGGATTGCTTGAGCCCTGAGAGTTTGAGACCAGCGTGAGCAACATAGTTAGTTCCTTGTCTCTATTTTTTTTTTTTTTTTGAGTCGGAGTCTAGCTCTGTCGCCCAGGCTGGAATGCAGTGGCCTGATCTCGGCTCACTGCAAGCTCCGCCTCCCAGGTTCACGCCATTCTCCTGCCTCAGCCTCCCGAGTAGCTGGGACTACAGGCGCCTGCCACCACGCCCGGCTAATTTTTTTGTGTGTGTTTTTAGTAGAGACAGGGTTTCACTGTGTTAGCCAGGATGGGCTCGATCTCCTGACCTTGTGATCCACCCGCCTCAGCCTCCCAAAGTGCTGGGATTACAGGCCTGAGCCACCGCGCCCGGCCGCCTTGTCTCCAATTTTTAAATATTTTAATTAGAATACAAATTATCCATTTTTTTTTTTTTGCATATGGCTGCGTAAACATGTTAGTTCAGAGATTCTGCCCTGTGAAAAGTGAATAGCACATAAATGCTCATTTTGAGGAATTACAAAGCGAACCCCAGGGTCACCACCTCCCAGGTTGACACACATTGTCACCGCTCCATTCTTTCCACTTAAATCTCCCCCCCCAACCCCCCCCCCCAGGTCCTGATTTTTATGGTAATTATGTCCTGTTTGTGTCTGTTATTTTGTCAACTAAGTATCCCTAAACAATATAGTCTGGGTTTTTGTTTGTTTTTTTTGTTTGTTTTTTTCAGACAGAATCTCACTCTGTCACCCAGGCTGGAGTGCAGTGGCATGATCTCGGCTCACTGCAACCTCTGACTCCCGGGTTCAAGCAGTTCTCCCGCCTCAGCCTCCTGAGTAGCTGAGATTACAGGCGCCGTCCACTGCACCCGGCTAATGTTGTATTTTTAGTAGAGTCAGGGTTTCACCATGTTGGCCAGGCTGGTCTCGAACTCCTGACCTCCAGCGATCTGCCTGCCTCGACCTCCCAAAGTGCTGGGATTACAGGCGTGAGCCACCATGCCTGGCCCCTAAACAATATAGTCTTGATATTGTTGTAACCGAGCGAGTTATAGAGAAACGCCGCACCATGAGACTGATTTAGGAGTCCTTTATTGCCGGTGACTGAGAGATGGCTAGAGCTCAAAATTCTTTTGGCCCCGAAGAAGGGGCTAGATTTCTTTTTATACCGTGGTCTAAATAGGGGAGGGGGAGTTTAGCTGAAACAATTTTTACAGAAGCAGAACAGGGAAAAATTAAAAAGATTAATTGGTTACATAAATAGTTACAGAAAAATAAACAGTTCCAGGTGCAGGGGCTCAAACTACCACAAAGAGATAAATGCAGGGTCTTTTGGTATCATCCACCGAGCGAGTCCCCAAGAGCTGCTGGTTCAGCTTGCCTCGATACCTTATCAGTAAGTGCATTCCTAGACGTGCATGGAGTCAGCTTAGACTAGTTATGCCTTTAAGGGAGGGGGCTGCAAGTGAAGGAACTAAAATGGAGCCTGTCTGGCTCTCTCAGCTAAGAGAGACAATCACGTTAAAATAAGGTAGGGTATCACAATATAGGTAAGCATACAGCGTATATTTAATATGTCTGGCTTTTTTTTTCCATGTAGAGATGGGGTCTCACCACATCTCTACATAAAAGGTGGTTAACGAGATCCAAGGTGGTCTCCATCTCGTGGCCTCAAGTGATCTTGTAACCCCAGCCCCCCAAAGTGCTGGGATTACAAACATGAGCCACTGGTGCCCAGCCCTGGCTTCTTTTTTGTAGACATTATTTTAGAAGTCATTTTATTGTAACAACAGAAGTATTCATTTTCTCTGTAGTATGCTGTTCTATTTCATGACTCTCCACCATATATTTATCCCTCCTTCTTGCTCAGGGACACTGGATTGTTTTCCATTTTAACCTGCTATGAACAATTCTGCAGGGAATATTCTTTTTTTTTGTTTTTTTTGGAGACAGAGTCTCGCTCTGTTGCCCAGGTTGGAGTGCAGTGGCGTGATCTCGGCTCACTGCAACCTCCACCTCCTGGGTTCACGCCATTCTCCTGCCTCAGCCTCCAGAGTAGCTGGGACTACAGGTACCCGCCACCACGCCTGGCTAACTTTTTGTGTTTTTAGTAGAGACGGGGTTTCACTGTGTTAGCCAGGATGGTCTCTATCTCCTAACCTCATGATCCGCCCACCTCGGCCTCCCAAAGTGCTGGAATTACAGGCGTGAGCCACCGCGCCCGGTCTCTGCAGTGAATATTCTTACACAGAGGAGCAGGCATGGGGTATGTACTAATGAATGGGACTGCTGGCTCAGTGGTCCACCTGGCTTTCCACCCTACTAAATTGTTTTCCAAAGTTGTTATACTGGTTTATGCGCTCTCTCACTGCTCACCAGCAGGGTAGAATTCCTGATGTTTGCATCCTGCCTAAAGCTGGTGGGTGTAGCGTGGTATCCTAGGGTAGTTTTAGTTTGGATTTCTCCAGACTTCTCTAAGTTGAGGACCTTTTCATATTCACTGGCCGCTGTGATTGCTCTTTCGTAATGTACCTGCTCAAGTCTTTCACTCTTTTCTCATTGCAAACGTACATCCTAGGTTTCCAGCAGGAGCAACAGGCCTGTCGATTCTGACACAAGATGGGTGAATCGGTAACTTTTCTGGTTTGTTTTCCCACTGCTCATTATCCTTCTGTTTTCTTTAATGGCTTTCTGCCTAGATCAGGAGGGATGGACTTTCTTTTGAAACCCAGTAACACAACTGTTATTTCAGTACAGAGCTAAGACAGGAATAGCAGACATGGTTCAATGGTCCCTGCACCTAGAGAGTGCCGTGGAAACAGGGCCCAGTCACCCTCCAACTGCACTGCACAGTCCCATGAAACCAGAAAGACAACCCAGGTTGGAGAATGTCACCTTTCATTTAAGACCAAGTTTTGCAGGGTCTTTTTAATTTGTTTTTAAGTCTGCTACCTAACTTCCTTTGGGCTTTTATTTGTGAACTTATAACTTAGAGGACACGTAATCTCACTCTTCTAGCAATTTCTCTAGGAGATGATAACAATGTGGACAGACAAATAATTAGCAATAAAACATCTTGGCCAGGCATGGTGGCTCACATCTGTAATCCCAGCACTTTGGGAGACCAAGGCAGGAGGACCACTTGAACCTAGGAGTTCAAAACCAATCTGGGCAACATGGTGAAACCCCATCTTTACAAAAAGTACAAAACTTAGCCAGGTGTTGTAGCACGTGCCTGTAGTCCCAGCTATTCAGGAGGCTGAGGTGGTAGAATCACTTGAGCCCAGGAGGTCAGGGCTGCATTGAGCTGTGATCGTGCCACTGCACTCCAGCATGGGCAACAGAGTGAAACCCTGTCTCAAAAAAAAAAAAAAAAAACAAAAAAAAAGCAATCAAGCATCTCCAGGGTAAATGAGAGCAACATGAAGAATAAGCTGCTTATAAATACTTATAAGTTAAATTGATAAAAACAATATACCACATCATAATCTAGTCTCAGCAAGGAAAACAACAGGCCAACATTAGAAGGCACCAATGACATAAAACAGATCTTGAACATTTTGGTATTAGATCATGAAGGACTAGCTCAAGCTGCACTCAGGGCTTAAGAATCACAAGCCACGTTACACATACAGTACTTCAGACATTCTTCATTCCTGACTGAGTTTTTTTGAGACGGAGTCTCACTCTGTCGTCCAGGCTGCAGTGCAGTGTCATGATCTCGGCTCACTGCAGCTGCCGTCTCCCAGGTTCAAGCAATTCTCCTGCCTCAGCCTCCCCAGTAGCTGGTATTACAGGTGCCCACCACCACGGCCAGCAATTTTTTGTATTTTTAGTAGAGAAGGGGTTTCACCATGTTGGCCAGGCTGGTCTCAAACTCCTGACCTCAAGTGATCTGCCTGCCTTGGCCTCCCAAAGTGCCAAGATTACAGGCATGAGCCACTGCACCTGGCCCTTACTGAGCTTTGAATCCAGTAGATGCATTTTTGGCCCTATTGGAGCAGACAACCTACTGCCATTTGTGGAAATTAGCAAGCTTGTACACAAGCAATGTACAAATACAGGCTGGTTAAGAGAGATTGGAAATATGACTCAGGACTTATCATTAAGTAACAGAATATTACACAGGTAGTAGCCTTCCCTGTCACACACCTTGCTTTCAAATTTATTTTCAGTCAGCACGTAATTTTTTTTTTTTTTTGAGATGGAGTCATCCTTTCACATCCATCAGTAGAGATGGAGTTTCATCGTGTTGTCCTCTCGAACTCCTGACCTCAAGTGATCCACCTGCCTTGCCCTTCCAAAGTGCTGGGATTACAGATGTGAGCCACCATGCCCGGCCAGCACCCAATAATTTAATTGGCATACTTAACTCTGCTCCACCCGGAACAGACTTAAGACTTCTTAGACTTCTAAAGATTTTTTAAAGTCTTCTTTTTCCTTTTGGTTTCTTTAGTTTGTAGTTAAGGCTTTGCAGACTTGCCTCCTATAATGTCTCCTTTTATTTTTTATTTTTTAATTTTTATTTTTTGAGACAGAGTCTCACTCTGTCACCCTGGCTGGAGTACAGTGGTGCGATCATAGCTCACTGCAGCTTTGAACTCCTGGACTCAAGCAGTCCTCCCACCTTAGCCTCCTGAATAGCTGAATACAGGCACGTGCTACCACACCTGGCTAATTAGTATTATTTTTTTTGTAGAAATGGGATCTTGCTGTATTGCCCGGGCTGGTCTTGAACTCCTGGGTCAAGCCATCCTCCTGCCCTGGCCTCCCAAAGTGCTGGGATTATAGGCATGAGCCACGGTGCCCAGCCTTTGTCTTAGTTTTTGGTCCCCCTCACCTGACCCCACAGTTCTAGAACCATTCCCTTGCAAAGAAAGGGACTGCTCACGGCTGGGGATGGAGAAGTGCTGTGGTAGGAGCCCTTTCTTCTCTTTCTTCCCCAGCTGGATTGCCAAACCTACCCTGCGGTCCTCGTCTTCCTGGCCCCATAGCTCCTCCTCGCCAAGCATGTCTTCCCCACTGCAGAGAGCTGCGGGAGGTACCAAGAGGGCCTTGTCTGCATCTTCTAGTTCCTCTGCCAGTCTACCCTTCGATGACAGGGACTCAAACCATCCCTCAGAGGGTAAGTAGATGTTGCATTGTGCGGCCACTTCCTGTGTCCGTGGCAGCCTTCCCCCTCTCGTTTTCCCACATTGATGATAATATGCGTGGGACTGTGTGAATACACCAGAAGTGCTGTACTCGTTCAGCACAGTGACACCCTCCCTCCAGCTCCAGGTGTTTTTTTTGGGGGGTCCTAGATGTTGTAGACATCAAAATAGTAGTACATCCTGTTTTTTGTTTGTTTGTTTGTTTGTATGAGATGGAGTCTCGCCCTGTCGCCCAGGCTGGAGTGCAGTGGTGTGATCTTGGCTCACTGCAACCTCCGCCTTCCGGGTTCAAGCACATCCTGTTTTTAATCCATCATCCATCGTGTCTAAACCTCTCTTAAACACATTTCTGTGTTCAGCATGTACAACCCCTGGTGGGGGCTGGGAGGTGGCAGATGGGTGAGTAAAGAGTTCTTTACTTGTTGCCTGGTAAATTGTATAAACTTTTTATCTGGTGTCCCCTAGTTCTTCTGCTTGGGGATTTTGTAAACAGGTCTGTGTATCCTTATTTATTACCACATATGAGTTTATTCTGTATAGTTTATAATAATATATCTTGGTTTTTTAACTTTCCGGAAGGAAAAAAGCTAATGTCATACAGATCTGCTTTGTCCCCTGGCTGTTTTAATTGGCTTTCTCTGAATCATTTCTATTTCTGTCAGTGCTGCTGTGGTGTACCCGATTATATCAATGTTATAAACTTGAATTGATAAGACGTGGTTGATGTTTCACGGGGTGAAATTTAACTCTAGGTCCATATTACTCTCCCGTTTATGGATGAATGATGGATGACTTCCTGGGCCATGATTATTTTTCTCTACAAAGAGCAGTGATCTCTCTACCCGCTAAGTGAGTAGCATTTGATTCTCTTCTTCGGAGAGAATACTGGGAAGGGTTGTCCTTCCCCTCCTCATTTCCTCATTCTTCGTCTCCATTGCTTTCATGTGAAAGTTTTCCTTTAAGACTTTGTCCTGGCCGGGTGTGGTGGCTTACGCCTGTAATCCCAACACTTTGGGAGGCCAAGGCAGGTGGATCACCTGAGGTCAGGAGTTTGAGACCAGCCTGGCCAACATGGTGAAACACCTGTAATCCCAGCTACTCGGGAGACTGAGGCAGGAGAATCACTTGAACCTGGGAGGCAGAGGTTGTAGTGAGCCGAGATCACACCATTGCACTCCAGCCTGGGTGACGAGAGTGAAACTCTGTCTCAAAAAAAAAAAAAAGACTTTATCCCAACTTCCTACTAACAATAAGCTCATTTTTTCTTAAAATCTGAATATGTTTTTCTCATGGAGATGGGGTGCAGTGAGAGACAGAGAAACTAATTCATTAGCCTTTTATATGGAGGGAATTAGGGTGGTTATATTTAAAGAGAACGGTACTTTCTCACAGGAATACTGACTCTTTATTAGCTGATGAAGGCAGTGACTTTGAAGATAGCTTCAATCGCAATGTGAAGAAGAAAGCAGCAAAACGACCACCGAAAACAACACCGGTGAGTCAGCCAGTTTTCTTTTGTTTTTGAATCTTGTGGGGGAAGCAGCCCAGCTACTCGGGAGGCTGAGGCAGGAGAATGGCGTGAACCCCAGGGGCAGAGCTGGCAGTGAGCCGAGATTGCGCCACTGCACTCCAGCCTGGGTGACAGAGCGAGACTCTGCCTCAAAAAAAAAAAAAAAGAAAAAAACTTAAAAGAGGTTCAGGTGATATGGTTCAAAAAAGGACAAGATTTACAAAGTATTAAGGGACGGAAATAGGAAGAGGAGAAATTTTGAAGAGAAAAGAAGAGAAAAGGACGTTAGGATATAGAGATATAGGAAGGGGACTCAAGGACTTTTTTTTTTTAAGGGAAAAAAGTTAAACTTCATAACAGTATAAAAATCAATTATTTCAGGACTGAGTCTAACTCAGACTGTGCTGTGGAATGGGCAGCGTAAGCCTACTTGTGTGATAATGATGAGACCAAGTGTTAATGTCACTGTTACCTTTTTTTCATATTTCTGATCTTTTTATACATATTAGGTGGCAAACAACGAAAGAAAGGGTCCCGAGTGGTACATCGTCATAGCCGGAAACAGTCAGAGCCACCAGCCAATGATCTTTTCAATGCTGTGAAAGCTGCCAAAAGTGACATGCAGGTAAAGCCGTGTCTCACCTCTGTTGATACCATCTCACTTTTTGTAAGGTGGTAAGGACAAGTGTCTACAAACTTGATTTGATGTGAACATTTCAGTGAATGTAACATATCAAGAAAGATAAGATTATGGGGTGAATCCTTGGAGTAATAGAAGGGTAACCTTGAATGAGAGAGCATTTTTTTTTTTTTTGAGACAGAGTGGTGCAACTGACCTCCCAGGCTCCGGTGATACTCCCACCTCAGACTCCCAGGTGGCTGGGACTACAGGTGCATGCCATCGTGCCTGGCTAATTTTTTTGGTATTTTTTTGCAGAGAAGACAAGGTTGTGCCATGTTGCCCAGGCTGGTCTCGACCTCCTGGGCTCAAACAATCCTCCCGCCTCAGCCTCCCAAAGTGCTGGGATTATAGGTGTGAGCCACCGTGCCCGGCTGTTTTCTGTATTTTTTGCAGAGTAGGGTGTGTCTCGTTCTGTTGCCCAGGCTGTTCTTGAACTCCTGGCCTCAAGCGATCCTCCTACCTCAGTCTTCCGAAGTGCTGGCTTACAGATGTGAGCCATTGAGCTTATTCAAATAAGGGATCTTTTCACAGCGCGTCTAGTTTGTTACAGAACCCCAAAGTATCATTCATGCTCATCATTGACTGAAATTACAGTAGTTATGAGGGCTGCTATTAAAGCTTGCTATTTAAAGTGTTAATAAAGAAGCATGTATATTACCACATCACCAGTTTAAAAAATATTTTGATTACTTTTTAATTGTATTTAGTATTTTGACTGAATTTCAGGGTAATTGGTTTTCCTTGCAAGTCTATGTATTTAATTCTGTGCACTTTAAACATTATGCTAAGCAGGCTATAATAGTCTTCCCCAGACTGTCAGGGGCCTGAGGCACAAAAGAGATTAGAAATCCCTGGCTTAGGGCCTTTTAGGGGGAAGGGTGGGCACTGCAGAAAACTTTCTACCTAGCCAAATGCATGTTTTGGCCAAATACATGTTTTTTTCTTATTAAAGGATTTTGAGGCCGGGTGCGGTGGCTCATGCCTGTAACTGCAGCTTTTTGGGAGGCCGAGGTGGGTGGATCACCTGAGGTCAGGAGTTCAAGACCAGTCTGGCCAACATGGCGAAACCCAGTCTCTACTAAAAATACAAAAGTTAGCTGGGCGTGGTAGTGGGCACCTGTAGTCCCAGCTACTCGGGAGGCTGAGGCATGAGAATTGCTTGAACCCGGGAGGCAGAGGTTGCAGTGAGCCAAGATCCCACCACTACACTCCAGCCTGAGTGACAGAGCAAGACTCTGTCTCAGAAAAAAAAAAAAAAAAAAAGGCTTTTGGACCGAGGCAGGAGGATCACTTGAGGATAGGAGTTCAAGGCCAGCCTGAGAAACATAGTGAGACTCCTGGTCTCTACAATAAAATTAAAAATTAGCAGGGTGTGGTGACACCCACCTGTAGTCCCAGCTACTTGGGAGGCTGAGGTGGGAGGATCATTTGAGCCCAGGAGATTGAGGCTGCAGTGACCTGTGATTGCCCCACTGCACTCCAGCCTGGGCAACAGATCAAGATGCTCTTTAAAATAAATAAGAAATAAATATAGGATTTGGGGACAATGAATGAGATTCATTACTCAACATTCACATTAGTGTATCGCTTTGCTTTTTTTTTTTCTTTTTGAGACAGGGTCTCACTCTGTTGCCCAGGCTGGAGTGCAGTGGAGCAATCTTGGCTCACTGCAACCTCCACCTCCCCAGTTCAAGTGATTCTCCTGCCTCAGCCTCCTGAGTAGGTGGAATTACAGGTGCCGCCACCACGCTGGGCTAATTTTTGTATTTTTAGTGGAGATGGCGTTTTACCATATTGGCCAGGCTGGTCTCGAACTCCTGACCTCAAGTGATCTGCCTGCCTCGGCCTCCCAAAGTGTTGAGATTACAGGCATGAGTCACCGCGCCTGGCTGCTTTGCTGTCTCTTAATACTAGGGATGTAAGAGCCCCTCGCCATCGCAGGAAGTTTATTTCTTCTACCCCAAATGGGCTAGAACTTTTCTAAGTTAGAAGTGCCCAATAGGGTCTAAGGTGATCTCAGGGAGGACAAAAAACCCTTCCCCGGAGCAGGAAGGCAGAAGCTCGATTGATGTTGATTTTCAGTAGGAAGACAGACCATGAAAGCACGGTCACACCATGCCCCCTAAAAAAAAAAAAAGAAAAATATAACAGAAACGCCCACCAGAAGGAACTGATTTTTATTGTACTGTATTTGATTTTGTTTTGTACGCCAGTTCTATTTATTTATTTATGTATTTATTTAGAGACAAGTCTCTCTTTGTGTCCCAGGCTAGAGTGCAGTGGCATGATCTCGGCTCACTGCAACCTCCACCTCCTGGGTTCAAGCCATTCTCTTGCCTCAGCCTTCCGGGTAGCTGGGATTACAGGCACGTGCCACCACACTCGGCTAATTTTTGTATTTTCAATAGAGACGGGGTTTCGCCATGTTGGCCAGACTGGTCTTGAACTCCTGACTTCAAGTGATCCACCCGCCTTGGCCTCCCAAAGTGTTGGGATTACAGGCGTGAGCCACCACACCCGGTTGTGATCTTTCTTCCGTCACTGTCCTCCTGCTCTGCTGCCCTGCCCTGGCCCCTTGCCCCTCACCCAGACCCACCACAGCCTCCCTGGCCCCCCGCCTCATTTTGCCGCCTTCAATCCATCCTTGCCCCAACCCTCTGGCCACAGGGTGATCTCAGCTCCCATTTTAATTGGCACTGGCTCTCAGCACCTTCCAAACTCCCTGGCCTGGCATTCAAGGCTCTCTCTACCTTGCAGGTCTCATATCCCACCTCGCTGCTCCTGCGCCTGCAGTCCCCCATGTCTGCGACACCCAGTGTCACAGGTCAGCCAGGGCACTTGTGGTCCCAAAGCTTGGCTCAGCTACCCCATGGGCCTGGCCTGGCGCAGAGCAGGCATCTGAAATGCTTGTTGAGGAACAAATGAAACCCCCTTGAAAATGTTGCTGCCGTCTGTGCAATGGCTGTGATTTCGCCAGAGCCACTGAGTCTGGGCTATCTGGAACCACCCTCTTGAGTGACAGGCTTGAGGATCTCACGCTGGTGACCATACTGAAGAGAGAGCCCCCTTTTCACTGACCTCCTGGGCCTTCCTGCTGCATCCCTTGGGAGAGCCCGGGGGGGGGCAGTCACCGTATCAACTTCTGCTGTCCCCCCCCGAATTCACTTTAACCTGGGAACACCCCAGGAACAGCGCCTGCCCCCTTAGGATTGGCACAGACCCTCTCCCACAGTCTTATACTCTATGTGTGTGCATATGTGCATGAGCCCCCCATTGAGCAAAGGTGACAGTCAATCAGTGCTTTTGCCTGCTTCTGTGCTGATTCTGTTTTGAGCATTCGGCATGGAGAGTGGCCTCTGCTGTGGCTGACGACATCAGGAGGAAAGGACAGGAGGGCCTGAAGGCTTGCACACTCTGTGTCCAAGTCTTTTTTTTTTTTTTTGAAATGGAGTCTCCCTCTGTTACCCAGGCTGGAGTGCAGTGGCGCGATCTTGGCTCACTGCAACCTCCACCTCCCGGGTTCAAGCGATCCTCCCACCTCAGCCTCCCAAGTAGCTGGGACTATAGGCACGCACCACCACGCCTGGCTAGTTTTTTTTTTTTTTTTGTATTTTTGGTAGAGGAGGGGTTTCACCATGTTGGCCAGGCTGGTCTCGAACTCCTGACCTTAGATGATTTGCCCGCCTTGGCCCCCCAAAGTGCTGGGATTACAAGCGTGAACCACTGCCCCCACCTGGTGGGTCTAAGTCTTAAGTCTGCCCCTGTTCGTCTGCCCAGCCCAAGCCTCAGTCCAGAGCCCGCTCTGTTCTTGTTGGAGTGGAATGGGGACTTGCACTTGGCCTAGCATAGACCCCAAACCACCAGGGCACGGGGGCAGAAGGACTCCAGCCACAACCGAATGAAGGTGCTAGAAGCAGAGGTAGCAGGGTGCTCTCCTGATCGCTGAATTTGTATTCTTCCCTCATCATGGTGGTAGCAGGGGGCCCTACTCTGTCACTTCCTGATGATGTTGTGCATGGGGACTGGGTGGCTGAAAGCCCTGGGAGCCACCCAAGGGTGTTCATGCCCCTTTTATGGGGAAGAGGCTGTGTCTTAGTTACAGTCCTGAGAGCTTTAGATGTCTAGGGATCTGAAATCTGCATCATTGGCCAGGTGCAGTGGCTCATGCCTATAATCACAGCCCTTTGGGAGGCTGAGGTGGGTGGATCGCCTCCCACCCAGGATTACTCGGGAGTTCGAGACCTGCCTAGCCAACATGGTGAAACCCTGTCTCTACCAAAAAAAATTAGCTAGGCGTGGTGGTGCACGCCTGTAGTCTCAGATACTTGGGAGGCTGAGGTGGGAGGATAGTTGGAGCCCGGGAAGTTGAGACTGCAAGTGAGCCAAGATTGTGCCACTGCACCTGTCTCAAAAAAGAAAAAGAAAGAAAAGGAAAGAAAGAGAGAAAGAGAAGAGAAAGAGAAGAGAGGAAGGAAGGAAGGAAGGAAGGAAGGAAGGAAGGAAGGAAGGGGAAAGAAAGAAAAATAGATGGATGCATCATTGACCCAAGCCCTGCAAGGCCAGTCTTGGGCAAGGGGACTGTGGGTCTGTGACCCCAGGTCTGGGGTGTTGTGGGGAAGGCAGAGGTTTGGCTTAGTAGGAACAGGATCTTTCTTGAACACTGCCTGGGGACTGGGGTCCTGGGACTGCCAGCAAGCAGTGTCTCCAGAGCCTGGGGTCATGGGAGTCACAGCTGGAATTCCACTTGTGGGTAGGTGTGGGGTGGGAATGAGACGGGGTGGGGGCTGGGTGTGAATGAGGTGGAGCGCGGTGGGTGGGAGGGCTCTTTAAGCTTCTTCCAAGTTTAAGTCTACCACCGAGCTGGGAAATCCAGCCTCTTCCATTGCCCAATCCCCTAAGGGCTAATATGGAGACATCCTGCCCTGCCGCCCTGTCCACACCGCCAGGCTTCTTCCTGCCCTGCCGCCCTGTCCACACCGCCAGGCTTCTTCCTGCCCTGCCGCCCTGTCCACACCGCCAGGCTTCTTCCTGCCCTGCCGCCCTGTCCACACCGCCAGGCTTCATAGATCTGTCTAAAAACGCCTTTACCCTCCCAGTCCGGGCCTCGACTCCTCCTCCTGGCATCCAAGCTCTCCGTATGACTTGGGCGTGCTCCCCATCCCTCACTGTGTCCTGAATGCCCCCTCCTCTCTTTTCAGCACCCCTCATTGTTACCACCTCCCATCTCTCTCCCTCACAGCTCCAGTAAAGCCCCCTCCCGATCCTAAGCCCTAACCCTTGCTGTTGGGCCCTCTTTCAGGTGCTGCCCGACGCCCCATGGGGAGTCCCTCAGCTGTCCCACCAGAGACAGAGCTGCAAGGGGGCCTGGCAGGTGTCAGGCCACACTGGGCTGGACGGGGGTCCCTGATGGACGGGTGTCTCTGAGAGTGGCTGCCCCGCAGTCCCCGCCTTCCCCGTGGGAGAAAGGACGACAGGAGAGCCGGGTGCAGTCCCTAAAACAGGCTTTTAATAACATCGTGTCTTCACTGAAGAGCTTGGCGTGTCCCACCCGGGCGGCGCCGCGGGCTAGTAGAAGGAGTACTGGTTCTCCACGGCGCGCGCGCGGCCGGGCGCGGCCTCCGGGGGCTCCTCGGCGGCGGTGGCGGCCACGGCCTCCAGCAGGCGCTCGGCGCTGTTGCTGCGGCTCCGCGCGCTGAGCTGGCCCTCGACGGGGCGCGGGGGGGCGGGCCCCGACGCGGCAGAGGACGACGAGGCGGAAGACGAGGAGGCGCCGGCGGCGTCGGAGGGCGAGGCAGGCGGGCAGGCGGCCGCGGCGAGGCTGGAGAAGTAGTGCTGGCCGGGCGAGTCGCTCCAGCAGGCCGGGGACGCGGGCGCGGCAGGGGGCGTGGGGCCCGGCTCTGCAACAAGGCGACGGCAGGGCGTGAGTGGGGACCTGGGCTGGCCACATCCTGCAGGGAGGCCGGGATCCCTCAAGGGGCCAGGGCCCACGCTCAGGTTTCCGAGTTGCAGCCCATGTCCTCGGACACATATGCAAGCACACCCGCCCACATGCATAAACAGAAGCACACACACATACATGTACCTAACCACGCGTGTGCACGCCCATATAGCCACATGCACAGGAGTGCACACACACGCATACATAATGCACACGCTCGCACACAGGCACACAAGCACACGCGTGCCCATGCACGCATGCACACGCTCATGCATATGCGCACACACGCACACGTAAGCGTACGCACACGGGCACATGCACACATACACTCATGCACACACACAAGCACACGCATGCACATGCACCCATGCCCTTAGTGCTCGGTCCCAGCAGCTTTGCTCTGAGCCTCCCCAGTGCAGGGCTTAAGAATCCATATGCCCAGCTCCTTTCATCCCACTTGCCCCAATCCACACCCCTGTCCCCACCCCCATACACCCACCTGCACTGCTGTTGGGCGCCCCCTTCCCCTTGCCAGGAATCATTAGGGACCTGGCTGCCTCTAGGCTGCCACTTCTGCCTCCATTCCTTATGACGTGACTGCTTGAAATTGCTGTGGCTAGGCTAGGGTGGGAGGGACACGGCTGAGGCTATGGGACAGGAGACCTGGGGCTCATCCCACCCCAGGGACCACCTTCTTGAGTAATCAACGGGAAGTCTTCTTGAGTAATCACACCAGCCAGGTGGCGGCATCTTACCTGGTGGGGGGTCCTGGGCCCGCACATAGCTGCGAAGGGTGATGTCGGCCGAGCCCCCTGACTCCAGTGGGATGGGGTGTGTGTGGAAGTGGCGGAGCATGTCAAGCACAGACTGGAACCACAGATGCTGTACGTGACACTGGCCGTGGCCGTTCAGGGACAGGCGCAGGTGCTGTGGGTACAGGTGGGTGTGGTCAGGGGCAGGTCCGGGGCTGGGCACCTGGGTAAGCGCCTTTGGGGGTTGATGGAAGGACCAAGGCTCACAGGGGCTGTATGGGGCTGTGTCAGGGCCGGGGGCCCCTCACACATGAGCCCCATCTGGAGATGGGGAATGGGGGCAACGGACCCAGGCTGAGATGGAAGGCATCAGGCATTGTCCCCATGCTGGGAGCACCTCCACTATGGGCCCATGCCCTACACACCTATAATCTCTAATCCCCTCCCTAATGCCAGAAGATAGGGATTACTGCCCCCATGTTAGAGATAGGAAAACCAAGGCCCAGGGAGGGGGAGTGACTGGCCCATGGTCACAGAGCACAGAGCAGGGAAGAAAACTCCTGTTTGGGTGGTTCCCCCAGCCCAGGAGGCTAGAGGTTGGCCCTCTGTCCCTGCAGAGCCAAAACCCGGAGGCATGGAAAGCTCCCCAGGGCTGGCTGGGGAGGAGTGACCGCACGCTGTGGGAACAGCTGGAACAGGGCTGGCTTCTCTCTAGGTCTCTAGGGCCTGTGTGAGGCAGGTGCCTCAGGGTAAGAAACCATAGGCCTGTGGTGTCTAGTGGAGAGCTGCAGGTCTCTGACTTAAGCCCTATTTTGCTCAACATGTATCCCACTGCAGAAACAAGTGGCTATCTCTGGGGTGTGTGGGGCAAGAGGGGAGCTAAGAGGAGTGGTTTGAGGGTACACGCATAGCCCCAAGCCCAGGAGGGGGAGCTGGTCTGGCCACCTGCATAAAAGACAGACAATCTGCTAGGTGTGGTGGCTCACGCCTGTAATCCCAGCACTTTGGGAGACTGAGGGGAATGGATCACGGGAGGTCAGGAGTTCAAGACCAGCCTGGCCAACATGGTGAGATACCCCCCAACCCTTTAAAAAACAAACAAAAAAATACAGACAATCCCTGGAGCGGGGTGGCGGTCCCACAAGTGAGCTCTGCCACTTAGCAGAATAAGTTGCTAGGACAATGCAGGGACTCAGCCCGAAAGAAACAGCACAGAGGGGTCCCACCACAGCCTCATAGCTGGGCAGAGCCTGCGCAGGGCACAGCTGGGTCCCTGGGGAGAGAAGAAGCAAGTTGGACGCATCCCAATCTTCTGCCAGACCTTCCAGACATTTATTCTGTGAAGGTGGAAAGAGTTGCCTCTGGGAAGGTAGTGATCTTCCCTCCCAGGAGGTATGTAAGCTGGAGGCTGGGGTTCCTGCTTTGTCCCACCATTTACTTATCAGGCCTGGGGCAGTCATCTCCACTCTGGGAGAAGAGCAGCTGGGTAGAGAGGTGAGAGGCAGGTTCAAGGCTGGGTCTTGTTCCAGGAAGGAGAGGAGCTTGCCACCCACCCTTTGTTCCCCCATCCTAGCCTCTGGCTTGGGCATGAGTCAGATCCAGGCCCTCTGGGAGGCTGCCTGGAGCAGCACTGGCTGAGAAGTAAATTGCACGTCACCAGGGATGGCCTTAAGCACCTGGTTGTCGGAGGAACTGTAAGGGTGGCTGCTTGCCAAGGAAATGTCCCTGGTGGAGGTGCTACCTCCTGCATGGTGGGGCCAACCTGGAGGAGGAGAGAAGCCACCAGAGGTTCTGCACTGAGCCACTAGGGGTTAGGGCAGCCGGGGTCCCTGCAGAGAGACACTGTCCCCCAGCTGCAGGCCTGGAGCAGGAGTCCTAAGGTTCTCCCTCCTCTAGTAGGGGCCGCCAGGAAATCCGTCCTGGCAGGAGCCCAGGCTGAGTGTTTCCTTATCGGAAACCTGGGATGCGGGGGTGGGCACTGAGGTTCCTGCCCCCTCTGGCCACATTGCACCCCCCCATAATCATTTGCCTTTGCTGTCAAATTTTCCTTTGAATTTCAGGTCAATAGGCCGGGCGTGGGGGCTCACGCCTGTAATCCCAGCACTTTGGGAGGCTGAGGTGGGTGGATCACCTGAGGTCAGGAGTTTGAGACCAGCCTGGCCAACATGGTGAAACCCTGTCTCTACTAAAAATACAAAAATTAGCCAGGTGTGGTGGTACGTGTCTGTAATCCCAGCTACTTGGGAGGCTGAGGCACAAGAATCGCTTGAACCCGGGAGGCGGAGGTTGCAATGAGCTGAGATTGCGATGTTGCAATCCAGCCTGGAGGATAGAGCGAGACTGTCTCAAAAAAAAACAAAAACAAAAACAAAGCATTTCAGGTCAATATAGCAAGGAATCCTCTTCCTTGAAAGCACACCGCCTGGGTGTACCATCATGCCTCTGATCCAGCTGGGTGCTGTTGGGATCGCCTTCCTGACTGTCTTCCCCTCCACAATTCTCCCTCCCCTGCAGGTCTCTGATCAGGCTGTCCCCTCCAATGCTGAACCCCACCCCCTAGACCCTGCACAGCTCTCCCACCCAGCCCAGCTCCTCCTCCCCTGCTGGGTCTCTAGGGTTTGCCCGTGTGTGTTCCTCAGGGGTTGGTGACCTAACCTGGGCAGGGAAGAGGGGCTGTCTGAGGTCGGTGGGGCAGAAGGTGGGGCTCTGAGGGCCTTGGTTGGCTCCCACCCCCCACTGGGCGATCTCTGGGTGGAGACCCTCCGAAGCTCCAGTGCTATGAGATCCCCCGCGCGCAGGAGCTGAAAGGATTTGCAAATTTGGGTTATTAGAAGGGCCCAGCCTCCTGAGGGCTCAGCCGCCAGTAGGTGGCCTCCCCTTCTGGAGAATGCAGAGGCTGAAATAGGGCTGACTGCAGTCCCTCAGTGATGTGTAGGAGGGACGCAGGTGGCTCACGGAGCATGGCTGGGGTGAGTGGGGCCCGTGGGAAGTCATGCCACACCTGTTCGCCTGCAGCTGCTTCCAGGGCACAGCCTCAGGACCGGGGTCACCATGACCCCTCTCCCTCAGGGCTGGCCACTGCACCCCCATGGCGCCCCCCACACACTTGCCTTGGCCTTGCCCTGGAAGTTGAAGGTCAGCACGTACTCCCCAGGCCGAGTCTCACTTTGGCGGATCACGAAGAGGCCGTGGTTCCGGGGCCCCCCTGCCAGAACCAGTTGAGCAGCCTTGACCCGGGACAGTGTCCCGTGGAACCATGGGTAGTCGGATAGCTCCAGCTCGGGTTCAGCCTCGGGATCCGTCTCTGCACCCTGTTCCCCTGAGGTGGGGATGACAGTGTGAGGAACATGGGGGGAAGGAGAAAGGGGGACAAATAAATAAATGTGAGAAGAGAGGTGACGTCTTGTTGGTTTTTTTACATGCAAAATGCTGTTGGAATAATGTTTAAAAAGTTGGTTGGTTTTTAGTTTTTATTTTTTTTTTGAGACGAAGTTTCGCTCTTGTCGCCCAGGCTGGAGTGCAATGCTGCAATCCCGGTGGCTGACTGTAACCTCTGCCTTCCGGGTTCAAGCGATTCTCCTGCCTCAGCCTCCCGAGTAGCTGGGATTACAGGCGCCCACCACCACACCCAACTAATTTTTGTATTTTTAGTAGAGATGGGGTTTCACTGTGTTGGTCAGGCTGGTCTCAAACTCCTGACCTCAGATGATCCACCCACCTCGGCCTCCCAAAGTGCTGCGATTATAGGTGTAAGCCATTGCGCCCAGCCTTATTTTTTATTTTTTAGAGATGGAGTCTTGCTGTGTTCCCCAGGCTGGTCTCAAACTCCTAGGCTCAAGTGATCCTCCTGCCTTGGCCTCCCAAAGTGCTGGGATTACAGGTGTGAGCCACTGCACCTGGCCTGAATATTTTTTTGTTTGAGACAGAGTCTTGCTCTGTTGCCCAGGCTGGAATGCAGTGGCGTGATCTCGACTCACTGCAACCTCCGTCTTGCAGGTTCTAGTGATTCTCCTGCCTCAGCCTCCCAAGTATCTGGGATTACAGTCATGCACCACTATACCAGGCTAATTTTTGTATTTTTAGTAGAGACAGGGTTTCACCATGTTGCTCAGGCCGGTCTTAACTCCTGAGCTCAGGCAATCCGCCCGTCTTGGCCTCCCAAAGTGCTGGGATTACAGGTGTGAGCCACTGCGCCCAGCCAAATAATTTTATTTATTTATTTATTTTTTGAGATAGGGTCTTGCTCTGTCACCCAGGCTGAAGTCTAGTGGCACAATCATAGCTCACTGCAGCCTTGGCCTCCTGGGCTCAAGCAATCCTCCCACCTCAGCCTCCTGGGTAGCTAGGACTATAAGCCTGTGCCACAATGCCTGGCTAATTTTTGTTTATTTTTTGTAGAGACAGAGTCTTGTTGCCCAGACTAGTCTGGAAGTCCTGGGCTCAAACGATCCTCCTGCCTTGGCTGCTTGAAGTGCTGAGATTACAGGTATGAGCCACTGTGCCCAGCTGGAATAATTTTAGAGTTGGGCAGGGAGCTGACCCAACCCACTGGTGAAGTCTATGAGGTAAACTGAGGCACAGAGCTGTGAAGGACTATCCTGGAGTTACTCTGTAAGTCATCAGCAAACTTAGGAACAAATCCAGTCGCCTGTTCCCAATCCCTGATTCCAACCCTATGGACCCTTTTCTGTGAGCTCCTTCCTTCCCTCCCTCCCTCCCTCCCTCCTTTCTTCTTTTCTTTTCTTTTTTTTTTTTTTTTTTCTTTTCACAGGGTCTCTCTCTGTTGCTCAGGCTGGAGTGCAATGGTGTGATCACAGTTCACTGTAGGCTTGACCTCCTGGGCTCAAGTGATCCTCCCACCTCGGCCTCCCAAGTAGCTGGGACTACAGGCACAAAAATGTTTGTGGCCAGGCGTGGTGGCTCACACCTATAATTCCAGCACTTAGGGCAGGAGTTCAAGATCAGCCTGGCCAACATGGCAAAACCCCATCTCTACCAAAAATACAAAAATGAGCCAGGCGAGGTGGCGGGCACCAGTAATCTCAGCTACTCGGGAGGCTGAGACGTGAGAATTGCTTGGACTTGGGGGTGGAGGTTGCAGTGAGTTGTGATCCGCCACTGCACTCCAGCGTGGGCAACAAAGTGAGACTCTTGTCTCAAAAATTTTGTACAGATAGCGTCTTGCTATGTTGTCCAGGCTAGTCTCAAACTCCTGGCTTCAAGTGATCCTCAGCCTCAAAAAACACTGGCTGGGATTACAGGTGTGAGACACTGCACCCAGCCCCTGTGAGCATTTTCTTTTCTTTCTTTTTTTTTTGAGACATAGTCTCACTCTGTCGCCCAGGCTGGAGTGCAGTGGCGTGATCTTGGCTCACTGCAACCTCCGCCTCCCGGGTTCAAGTGATTTTCCTGCCTCAGCCTCCCGAGTAGCTGTGAGTACATGTGTGCACCACCACACCCAGCTAATTTTTATATTTTTAGTAGTGACGGGGTTTTGCCATGTTAGCCAGGCTGGTCTCAAACTCCTGACCTCAGGTGATCCGCCCGCCTTGGCTTCCCAAAGTGTTGGGATTACAGGCGTGAGCCACCGCACCCGGCCCCTGTGAACATTTTCTATTGAAACTGGGTCCAGTGGGAGGGGCCAGGTTCCTAGACCAGTCTACAAAAGCCAGAAGTACTTCGGAGACGTGTGAAGGACCCAGGAGGATGAGATGTCACAGCTTCTGAGGCTTAGCAAGGTTTAGGGAGCCCATGGGTGGCCATGGCTGGGGGTGGGGGTCCAGGAGAGGTGGGATGGGAAGAGCAGGCTGTCCCCACTGGCACCTGTGTTATTGCTGTCACTGCCGCTGCCGCCCGGGGATTCCAGGGTCTGCAGAAAGGTCTCTAGCGGGACGTGGATCAGGGATTCTCTGACGGCATCTCGACCTCGGCTGTGGGGGGCTGTCACCACTGCACCCACGGCTGTCGTCTCTGGGGGGCGGGGCAGGTCGACTGCTGGGGAAGTGGCAGGTAAGATGCACGTATCTTTATCTGTCCACCCTGAGTGTGCCCCTCCTTCAACCCTGTCCCCCTACCTACCATCAGTCAGGAGCTCACAGCTGCAGGAGGCCACGCGGCTGGCCAGACAGCCTCCTCGGGTACAGGAGAGCTCGGTGTCTTCCTCACTGTCACTGTGGAGACAAGAAATGGAAACCATGTCCTGCCGTGGGACTTGGACTCGGACCACAGGCTACTTATGTGGCCAGGCAGTGGCTGGCAGTCCCATGGCCCAGCATCTAGGCCTCCTGGCTCTGGTCACCTCCCTCTGCCTCCATGTCCCTCTGTCCCACCCTACACTGGCTCTGTGGCCACCGTGTGATTGACCAGGCCACTGTTGGGGCTCAGAAAACAATACCGCAAAACAAAGTCCTCAGCAGCAGCCTCGAACAAAAAAGTTTTTCTCTGACCTTCTCCTGCCTACTTGTCTCTCAGTCCTCTTCTCCCCAGAGGCACCAGAGAAACAAAAGTCCCTTTTTCCCAAGGTGGGTCACAGAAACCAGAACCCCTTTTCCCAAAACGTAGTCATAAAACCTAAAAATATTCTTTTTTTTTTTTTGAGACGGAGTCTCACTCTGTTGCCAGGGCTGGAGTGCAGTGGCGCGATCTCGGCTCACTTTGCCTCTGCCTCCTGGGTTCAAGCGATTCTCCTGCCTCAGCCTCCTGAGTAGCTGGGATTACAGGCATCTGCCACCATGCCCGGCTAATTTTTTTGTATTTTTAGTAGAGATGAGGTTTCACTGTGTTGGCCAGGCTGGTCTCAAACTGACCTCGTGATCTGCCTGCCTCGTCCTCCAAAAATGCTGGGATTACAGGCGTGAGCCACTGCGCCCGGCCAACCTAAAAATATTCTATGTAAAAACTTGTCATAAAGAAATTATCCAGCCAGGCACAGTGGCTCATGTTTGTAATCCTAGCATTCTGGGAGGCTGAGGTGGGAGGATCACTTGAGGTCAGGAGTTTGAGATCAGCTCGGGCAACATAGCGAGACCCCCATCTTTTTTGTTTGTTTGTTTGTTTTGAGATGGGAGTCTTGCTCTGTCACCCAGGCTGGAGTGCAGTGGCACGATCTCAGCTCACCGCAACTTCTGCCTCCCGGGTTCAAGTGATTCCCCTGCCTCAGCCTCCTGAGTAGCTGGGATCACAAGCATGCGCCACCATGCCCAGCTAATTTTTTTTTTTTTTTTGTATTTTTTGCAGAGATGGGGTTTCACCATGTTGGCCACGCTGGTCTCAAACTGGTGATCTGCCCGCCTTGGCCTCCCAGAGTGTGGGGATTACAGGCGTGAGCCACTGCACCTGGCCGCAAGAACACGTCTTTTTTTTTTTTTTTTTTTTTAGACAGAGTTTTGCTCTTGTTGCCCAGGCTGGAGTGCAATGACGCAATCCTGGCTCACTGCAACCTCTGCCTCCCGGGGGTTCAAGCAATTCTCCTGCCTCAGCCTCCCGAGTAGCTGATATTACAGGCATGTACCACCACGCCCGGCTGATTTTGTATTTTTAGTAGAGATGGGGTTTCTCCATGTTGGCCAGGCTGATCTCAAACTCCCAACCTCAGGTGATCCGCCCACCTTGGCCTTCCAAAGTGTTGGGATTACAGGCATGAGCCACCGCGCCCGGCCCTGAGAATCTCATCTTAATAAAAGAAAATTAGCTGGGCGTGGTGGTGAGGCAGGAGGGTCAATGGAGTCCAGGAGTTGGAGGCTGCAGTGAGCTGTGATCATGCCCCACTGCCCTCCTGCTTGGGCAACGGAGCAGAAAAAAAAAGTAAAAACAAAAGGAAAGAAAGAAACGGAAGAAGGAAAGGAAAGCAAGAAAGAAAGAAAAAAAGAAAGAAAGAAATTACCCAATCTGCCTGGTTTGACTGTAGGTCATAAGACCCCCATTCAAGATAGGGTTCTGTCCCACACCCAGAAGGAAGGAATGCTACTCAGAGAGGCCAAGAAGAATCTGGACAGACAGGCCTGGCTGGGTCCCCTGCTCAGTCTATTCCCTTTAGATCCTACCCTTTGTATCCAATCCTCTTTCTACACTGCTGTCCATACTTTGCTGAACCTAAGCATAAAAATGGACCATTTCCCTGTATCCTTTTTTTGAGACAGAGTCTCCCTCTGTTGCCCAGGCTGGAGTGCAGTGGTGTGATCTCGGCTCACTGCAACCTCTGCCTCCCAGGTTCAAGTGATTCTCCTGCCTCAGCCTCCCAAGTAGCTGGGATTACAGGTGCATGCCACCACCAGGCCCAGCTAATTTTTGTATTTTTAGTAGAGATGAGGTTTCACCATGTTGGCCAAGCTGGTCTCAAACTCCTGACCTCGTGATCCGCCTGCCTCGGCCTCCCAAAGTACTGGGATTACAGGCATGAGCCACCATGCCTGGGATTTTTTTTTTTTTTTTGAGACTGAGTCTCACTCTGTCACCCAGTGGAGTTCAGTGGTGCAATCTCAGCTCACTGCAACCTCCGCCTCCCAGGTTCAAGCAATTCTCCTGTCTCAGCCTCCTGAGTAGCTGGGATCACAGCGGGCCCGCCTCCACCTCCAGCTAATTTTTGCATTTTTAGTAGAGATGGGGTTTCCCCATGTTGGCCAGGCTGGTCTCGAACTCCTGACCTCAGGTGATGTGCCTGCCTCAGCCTCCCAAAGTGCTGGGATTACAGGCGTGCACCACCACGCCCAGCCCTCCCCTGTATCTTTGAGTCTTCATTCTGAAGGCTCCTATGTATACACGTTAAATAAATTTACATGCTTTTTCTCCTATTAATCTGCCTTGTGCAGCTAAGCACTGTGGCTCATGCCTGTAATCCCAGTGCTTTGGGAGGCCGAGGCAGGCGGGTCTCTTGAACCCAGGAATTCAAGACCAGCCTGGACAACATAGCACGATCCCGATCCCGTCTCTAAAAAAAAAAAAAAAAAAAAAAAGGCCAGTTGCAGTGGCTCACGCCTGTAATCCCAGCACTTTGGGATGATGAGGTTGTCAGATCACCTGAGGTCAAGAGTTCGAGACGAGCCTGACCACCATGGGGAAACCCCGTCTCTGCTAAAAATATAAAAATTAGCTGGGCTTGTTGGCAGGTGCCTATAATCTCAGCTACTTGGGAGGCTGAGGCAGGAGAATTGCTTGAACCTGCGAGGTGGAGGTTGCAGTGAGCTGAGATTGTGCCATTACATTCCAGCCTGGATGATGGAGCGAGACTCCATCTCAAAAAAAAAAAAAAATTAAGCCAGTCATCGTGGCATGTGCCTACAGTCCCAGTTACTTGGGAGGCTGAGGCAGGCAGATCAGTCGAGCCCAGGAGGTCGAGGCTGCAGTGAGCTTGATTGCACCACTGTACTCCAGCCTGGGTGACAGAGCAAGACCTTACCTCTAAAAAATAAAATAATAAAATAAAAATAAATAAATAAATTTGTATGCCTTTTCTCTCATTTATCTGCCATTTGCAAATTGATTTTCCACTGAAACTTCAGAAAGCCCAGGGGAAGGCTCTCTCTTGGCCCGGATACCACTGAGTGGACAGTCCCCACTGAGGGCCCATGATCCCTGCCCACTATCCTTGAGGGGCTGGGCTCCTCCTGGGATCCCGTGCAGACCCTCAGAGGGTGGGAAGGTTTCTCTCCCGATTTGTGACATGAGGTGTCTGGGACCCTGCCAGCTCGAAAATTCCACTAAGTGAGGTTCACCTTCACAGCGGCTGGGGAAAGAGTTTGCAGAGCAGATGGTCCGGAGGGCGGTGGAGGAGGGATTACAATCACTTTGTGGATCAGGGCCTGGGAGGCGCCCAGGACCTTAATTGTGTTTCTTTAAATGAAGCTGTTAATTAGAAAGCAGCGGCCCTTCCCCCCGGGGCTTGGCTCACCCCATTAGCCAGCAGAGCTGCTGCCAATTGCTCAGCCTGTCGGGCTGCCTATCCCTCCTACTCCTGGCCTGGCATCTCTCCTGGATGGTGGAGCCAACCTTCTTGCTGCTCTTCCTGTTCACAGCTGACCGTAACTGCCCTCTGCCTATTACCTGCCATGGCTCCCATTGTCCCTGACCTACCCGTTTCCTGAGCTCTCATCAAAATCTCCTCCTCACTGGCTACCCCAAAGGCCTTGATGTTCCCTGCGAGTCCCAGGTGCTTGTACACTTGCACACCTTTTAAAATTATTATTATTAATATTTTGAGACAGTCTTGCTCTGTCGCTCAGACTGGAGTGCAATGGCACAGTCTCAGCTCACTGCAACCTCTGCCTCCCGGGTTCAAGCGATTCTCCTGCCTCAGCCTCTCGAGTAGCTGGGATTACAGATGCCCGCCACGATGCCTGGCTAATTTTTGTATTTTTAGTAGAGATGGGTTTTCACCATGTTGGCCAGGCTGGTCTCAAACTCCTGACCTCAGGTGATCCGCCTGCCTCGGCCTCCCAAAGTGCTGGGACTATGGGCATGAACCACTGTGCCTGGCCCCGGCCAAATTTTTATTATTATTTTTTAAGAGTTAGGATCTTGCTCTGTTGCCCAGGCTGGAGTGCAGTGGTGCAATCCTAGATCACTGCAGCCTCCAACTCCTGGGCTCAAGTGATCCTCCAGCCTCAGCCTCCTGAGTAGCTGGGATAACAGATGCATGCCACCGTGCCCAGTTCCATTTCCACTCTTTTTGCTGGGCTTTTCTCTCTGCCCTCTCCCATCTTCCTCTGCCTGGCATTGGTCCACTCTTTATTTAAGCCTTGGGTTAGGTGAGCACGCCTAACAGCAACTCTTCCCTGACCTGAGCCCAGGGCTGGGTTAGGAGCCTCTCTCCAGCTCTCTCTATTTTTTTTTATTTTAAGAGACAGGGTTGGCTGGGCACAGTGGCTCATGCCGGTAATCCCAGCACTTCGGGAGGCTGAGTTGGGCGGATCACTTGAGGTCTGGAGTTCGAGACCAGCCTGGCCAACATGATGAAACCCCGTCTCTACTAAAAATATAAAAATTAGCTGCGCATGGTGGTAGGCGCCTGTAATCACAGCTACTTAGGAGGCTGAGGCAGGAAAATTGCTTGAACCTGGGAGGCGGAGATTGCAGTGAGCCAAGATCACACCACTGCACTCCAGCCTGGGCAACAGAGCAAAACCCTGTCTCAAAAAAAAAAAAAAAAAAAAAAAGAGAGAGAGAGAGAGAGGGTCTGGCTATGTTGCCCAGGCTGGTCTTGAACTCCTGGCTCAAGCGGTCCTCCCAGCTGGGCCTCCCAAAGTGTTGGGGTCACAGATGTGAGCCACTGCACCAGGCCCCCAGCCCTTTGGGGACTCACTGCCATCTCTGCCCAACTCCCAGTGCTCTGAGGCTCTCTTGGGGTGAAGACAAGACCTGGTCCAACTTCCTTCCAGGTCCCCAGGCCCTGGCCCCATAGAGCAGGCCTCACAGAGTCTGCTGGCGATTGGAGGTAGGGGGTATTTTAAAGGAGGGTGATCCTGGCTGGCACCAACCTGAATCGCATTGAATTGCTCATTTCTCAAGCTGAGCTCCCGCCCTGCTAGGAAGCTGCTCCTGGTGAAGGCTGGACCAAGGATATACCCAGCCTGTCCACCCATCTTCGGGCCACTTGGACACTCACCCGGGGTCCACGCAGCCCTGGATGTCAGCTACCCACGAGTGCTTCTGCAGAGAGTCGATGGTCTCCAAGATGTATTCGGCTCCATTCTCTACCTGGGGAGGAAGGTGGCCGGGAGTGCAGAACACGGTCAGCAGATGGGCTCCAGACCACAGGACATAGGGTCAGAGTGGCTCAAATGGCTGATCCCCCTCTCCCACAGCAGGGCTCAAGGGCATGAGCAGCAGGAAAGAAAGTGGGGTCACCATCGGGCACCACCTGGAACTCAGGCCAGGGACCCAGCTCACACTCTGTATTCCCTCCCTTCTGGGCCTCCCCACTGGGGATATGTCCCACCCCACTGATCTCAGCTCCTCTGCCTTAGAGACACAGCCTCTGAGGAGGCCATGCTGGCAGGGGGAGGGATGGGTGGCCCAGCATCCCCAACCCATGCCCTGGCACCCCAGGGGTGGGGTTCAAGTTGAGTGGAGAGACAGGCTGGCCAAGCACACTGAGTAGGGGGGCTTGCATGTCTTAGTGCCTGGAGTTCTACCGGCATGGCCATGCGCTTGAGATACGAAGCCTCTGAAGGGGAAGAGGGCAGGAGACATCCCTGCTGGGGCCAGGCCCAGAGCATAACCCTGCATTCTGCTCAACTCCTCCCAACGGCCCTGTGAGGGAGAGGAGCCATTTCCCCCATTTTATAGATGAGAAGACCAAGGTTCAGGGAGGCCAAGGAACTTGGTCAAAGTCACACAGCAGCCAGTGGCAGGGCCAGGGCCTGAACCCAGGTCTCTGGGACACCCAGGTCCCGTGCTGTTGGCTTCCGGTGGTGTGCCTCTGTCAAAATGCAGTTGCTGGGCCGGGCGCGGTGGCTCACGCCTGTAATCCCAGCACTTTGAGAGGCTGAGGAGGGCAGATCTCCTGAGCTCAGGAGTTCGAGACCAGCCTGGGCAACATGGTGAAACGCTGTCTCTACCAAAAATACAGAAATTAGCCAAGCATGGTGGCGTGTGCCTTTGGTCCCAGCTACTCAAGAGGCTGAGATGGAAGGATCACCTGAGCCCGGGAGGAGGAGGTTGTAGTGAGCCGAGATCGCGCCATTGCACTCCAACCTGGGTGACAGAGTGGGACCCATCTCCAAACAAAGAAAAAAAAAAAACAAAAAAAATGTAGTTGTTGGGCTCCCAGGATGACAGAGCTGGGAGGGTTCTCGGAGACTGCCTTTAATCCCGCTCTGAACAGATGGGGAAACTGAGGCAGGTGAGCCCCTCTGCCTCAAGGCTGTCATGCATGATCAGCAGTTTAGAGGGTACCAGGTGGGCAGGGGCTGTGTCCCCAGCCCCCAGCCTGGGATGACTCAGGGTCCGGGGTTGGTAAACACTCGCTAAATGAATAAGTGAGTCCGTGACTAAACAAATGAGAACGGGCAGAAACACAAACACAACCAGAAGCTGGGAGAAGAGGGTGGGGGCTTCATGCAGGATGAGTGGGTGGGACCAGGCCTCCCCGGGGACATTGCTTCACCAACACCCTCTGATCCTTTGCGGATGCCCAGGGACCACAGCTCTGGCAGCCTGGAGCCGTGTCCTCAGAAACCCCTGCAGGCCACCCTGGCAGCGGTGTGGGGCCTGGGAAAGGCTGGGCTGCCCCTAGACCCACCGGGGTGCCTCCCCGCCCCCCCTTGATGCCTTTGTGCCCTCTGTGGGAGACCGCCCAGTTCCCACACTCCAGTGCCCTGGGACAGGAACATTTGCATAACTGCTGCCGGCTGGCCACCAGCGAGGTGGGTGTGTGCTAGCTCCAGTGGGGGAAGGGAGGGCAGGAAGTGAAACTGATGAGCTTCGCCCAGGCCCAGGGGTAAATGGGAGCAAGGGGCCCAGATGTTGGGCGACGCCCGAGGCACCTGGCTGTGGAGCCCAGACTCAAGTCTTAGCTATGTGCTAGGCATCTGTCATAGGGTCTGGGAACCCCCCACACCAGGGCTCCCTCCCACTACTGTCCTGCCTTAGGCTCCTTCCCCTCGCTCCCCTAGGGAGCTGTAGCACCTAAAGGGAAGGTGGCCTGGGGCAGCTGGAGGATCTCTGAGGTTAGGGGTGAGACCTCACCTTGAGGACGAATGTGTTATCCTTCTCTGGCATTTCCAGGGGCATGGTGGTGCGGACCTCAATGATGGCTGACAGTGGGATGCTGACCTTGGGCCTGGAGGCCTGGGGGCCAGAAGAAGGATAGTGAGTGGCCCCAGCATTTCCCGACACCCTTTCCATCCCCTCCCCGCTGCCAGGTGTTAGAGTGGCCCTCAAATAGACTGCCACAGCCACCCTGGTACAGAGGTATCCCAATCCCCATTTCACAGAGGGGGAAGCTGAGGAAGGCATTTCTTTGAAACAAGAAAGAAATTTTTCCTGGCTAGGCATGGTGGCTCATGCCTGTAATCCTAGCACTTTGGGAGGCCGAGGCAGGAGGATGGCCTGAGTCCAGTAGTTCAAGGACAGCCTGGACAGCATAGCAAGACCTTATCTTTACTCGAGACCAAAAAATGGGCTGGGTGCGGTGGCTCACGCCTGTAATCCCAGCACTTTGGGAGGCCGAGGCGGGCGGATCACCTGAAGTCGGGAGTTTGAGACCAGCCTGACCAACATGGAGAAACCCCATCTCTACTAAAAAATATACAAAATTAGCCAGGCGTGGTGGTGCATGCCTGTAGTCCCAGCTATCTGGGAGGCTGAGGCAGGAGAATCGCTTGAACCCAGGAGGCGGAGGTTGCGGTGAGCTGAGATTGCGCCATTGCACTCCAGCCTGGGCGACAAGAATGAAACTCCGTTTCACAGAAAAAAAAACGAAACAAAAAGAGACCAAAAAACTTAGCCGAGTGTGGTGGCATGAGTGCCTGTAGTTCCAGCTATTTGGGAGGCTAAGGTGGAAGGATCGCTTGATCAGGGGAGGTGGTCGAGGCTGCAGTGAGCTATGATGGCACCACTATACCCCCACCTGGGTGACAGAGTGAGACGATGCCTCAAAAAAAAAAAAAAAAAAAGAAAAAAAAAAAAGGACCTCCTCCTATAGTCACCTTGCAAGTCCAGGACAGAACCAGAATTGACATCTGAGCCTCCTACCTCCAAGCCCTGAGGAGAAAACCCCACCTGGGCTGCCCTCTGCCCAATGCACCCACGAGATCTGTGGTTTTCTTATTTTTGACCTTGACCCATTGTGAGAAATACATTTAACACTGGGGCCCAATACACACATACGCAGGTAAAAATATCTCTGAAACAAACATCTCACCAGACAATAGTTACCCTTCCTGTGTGGGATAGAGTGTGATATTTTCTATTCTATTCTAGTTCACGTTTTAAAAAATGCTGGTCTTGGCTGGGTGTGGTGGCTCACACCTGTAATTTCGCACTTTGGGAGGCCAAGGAGGATGACTTGAGGTCAGGAATTCCAGACCAGCCTGGGCAACATGATGAAACCCCATCTCTACTAGAAATACAAAAATTAGCCAGGCGTGGTGGTGCGTGCCTGTAATCCCAGCTACTTGGGAGGCTGAGGCACGAGGATCACTTGAACCCGGGAGGTGGAGGTTGCAGTGAGCTGAGATTGCACCACTGCACTCCAGCCTGGGCGACAGAGTGACACCCTGTCTCAAAATATAAAATAAAATAAAATAAAATAAAAAAATAAAAAATGATGGGTCTTAAAACCTGGTTGCTTAAAGAAAAAATGCTGGTCTCCTACTACAGACCCGACCTTCCAGAGCAGGGCCTGGAGCCCCCGACTCAGAACGGGGCTCACTGTTTCCTGGAGTGAGTAAAAGGGACCAGTGTTCCCAACAACGCTGCGGGCAGGGTTGATCCAAGGTGAGCTGGCAGGGCTCTGTGGGACCGCCACTCTGTGCCTGGCCCCACTCGCTCTGCCTCAAAGCTCCCTGCCGTGAGCCTGAGGCCCCCTTGGGGCTGGCCTGAGTGAGATTCCCAGCAGCGCTGTCTCCAGGACAGGAACTTTCTTAGGAGGAAATGGAAAGGCCACACATTTGATGGGCAGGCAGATGGGAATTCCAGGAAGAACTGGCCCCTGTCCAGCGCGTGCAGGGCTAGGCTTGAAGCATGAACGGGGCCTGGCTAACCCCGGTGTGTGGCCATCGTGCCGGCCAGCGGGGCTGGGGACAGAGCAGACAGAGGCCTGCAGTGGAGGCCTGGACTGGAAGCTTCAGCAGGTATCCTGCTGGCCAGAGATGCTGTGGTTCCCCAGTTTGGAATCTGAGGTCCGTCAGTCCTGGTCCAGCTTCCTCCCACCTGCTCCAGCCACAACGCACTGTGCCCACATGCCTGAATGGTCAACTTGTTTACAACTCCAGGCCTTTGCCCACAGAGCTTGAACCTCCAAAAGTGCTGTTCCAGGGTGCTGGCCACCTGGTGAACACTTAGGTAGCCCAAGCTTTTCCTCCGGGGCTCACCCCAGTAAGATTTGCAAGCATCTTGAAAATACCAGGTTTCCCAGTGGTTTCCCTAATGGCGGGGGGCCGGCCTCATTGTTCCTTGGGTCCCCAGGGCTTGGCCTGGCATAGGGCAATGAGGGGACCTGGGGTTCAGGAGGCTCTTCCTGCAGGGGTGAGGAGGCAGGAAGCCAGAGACCTGACTCACCAGGGCTGGCACCTCAAAGGCTGTGTGAGAGGGAAATCTAAGGTGCCAGGCAATGGCTTCTGAGCCTGCAGGCCCCGAGCTCCTGACTGCTCCAAGGGTGCATCTAGGCCTCTTGGAGGCAAGAGATCTGGACCGTGGGTGGGTGCAGAGGCAGTGGGGGTATCATTCAGGGCATCCCAGGGGGCTCACTCACCCTGGGAGCCTGTCTCCTGGGACCAGACACATTTGGGAAACTCAACCAAGTTCTTAGCATGGTAGGAGCTGCCCTCCCATGGGAATGACTCCTGAATACCCACAAATGCCCCCACCTTTGCATGACACAAAGGAGGGGAAGGGCCCAGTGACCCTGCAGGAACGCTGCCCTCTGCCAGCAGCAAAATTAGTGGGCTCTGCTGGGACTAAGCGGTGGAGTGGGGCGGGGGCGGGCACCAGCTGCTCCTTCCCCTTCTCCGAGGGCAGCAGACACTGCTATTTACAGAAGGGCAGCTGTGACTGTCACTCAGGCCCAAGGCACTGGAGCCCTGGGCTTCTGTCCCTGCCCTCTGGGTGACCCCGGGTAAGCCCCACCCCACCCGTCACTGGGCCTCGGTTTCCCTTTCTGACAAGGAGTGGAGTCGGGCTTAGGGGTCTAGGATTTCTCCCAGGGAATTAAAGGCAGGGGCCTGGGCAGGAAAAAAGCCCTAGGGAAGTGTAGGGGTGCTGGGACCTGGGGAAAAAGCTCTTCAGAGAGTAGCTGTGTCCCTGGGAAGTCACTTTTCCAGGGCCCATGTGGCTCATGGGCAATGAGCCTTGGGGAGCCCACACCCCTGCACCCCAGCAGACTGAGAGATGGAGAGAGAGCCAAGAAGCGGCGGGTGACTCAGAGAGCACCCAGGGACAGAGTGGGCCCTGATGCGGGAGGTGGGTGTGGGGTCCCCGGTGGTCCCTGGGGGTGCTGTCGGCTGCTGCACCAGCAAAACCTCCCCCTGCCTAAACCTCTCAGTGCCCAAGGACCTCCACTTCCATGTTCCTTTCGTTCTTGGGACCACCAGGGTGGCAGGTATCATTAGATCGGATTTTTTTTTTTTTTTGAGACAGAGTTTCGCTCTTGCTGCCCAGGCTGGAGTGCAATGGCGTGATCTCGGCTTACCACAATCTCTGCCTCCTGGGTTGAAGTGATTCTCCTGCCTCAGCCTCCCAAGTAGCTGTGATTACAGGCATGTAATCCTGTATTTTTATTAGAGACGGGGTTTCTCCATGTTGGTCAGGCTGGTCACGAACCCCTGACCTCAGGTGATCCACCTGCCTCGGCCTCCCAAAGTGCTGGGATTACAGGCATGAGCCACCGCGCTCGGCCCCCAGTTTTTTGTTTTGTTTTGGTTTGGTTTTTTGAGATAGGGTCTCACTCTGTCGCCTAGCTTAGAGGGCAGTGGTGCAGTCTTGGCTCACTGCAACCTCTGCCTCTTGGGTTCAAGCGATTCTCCTGCCTCAGCCTCCCAAGTAGCTTGGACTACAGGTGCGCGCCACCATGTCCTGCCATGTTAGACCAGCTCTGGCACCCGCCAGCTGGGTGACGTTGGGCAGGCCACACTTCCCTCTCTGAGCATCTGTCTGCGCTCTCTTCTGTAATCTGGGGACCATGTGCTCACCTCGCTGGGGTGGGGTACCCAGAGGATGACAGTGTGTCTGTGCAGATGCCCACCAGGCTGGGGTCTGGACACACTGTGGGCTCTCAGAGGGTGGGCACTATTGTTACAGCTATTCCCACTTTCCAAAGCAGGGGGGCCACCTTGGAGAAGACGTGACACTACTGCCAGGGACCTGATGGCCAGCCCCTAAGAGGGGAAGGGTCAGTGCATGCCAGTGAGCAACAATGTTGGTGACAGCCAGAAAGAAGCCTGGCATCCCCCTGGCCAGAAAAGGACCCCCTGGGCAGGGGCTGGGCTGGAGTCTGGCAGCTGAGCTGGGGAAGAGCAGAGCCCCATGGAGTCAGACACAGACCTCCCAGGGAGCCCTCTGCGAATGTGCTCGGTCACTCCTGCCCTCATCCCTGCAGGCCTCGGCTCTGGGAGGTGCCAGGCACCCTTGGGCTGCAGGAGAGGAGGGCAGGTAGCCAGGCTCTTGAACAACATCAAGAACGGTGCCCTGGGCTGGGCACAGTGGCTCATGCTTGTAATCCCAGCACTTTGGGAGGCCAAGGTGGGGGAGGATCTCTTGAGCTCAGGAGTTCCAGACCACTTGAGCAACATAGTCAGATCCCGTCTTTACGAAAAATAAAAAACATTAGCTGGGAGTGGCGGTGTGTGTGGTCCCAGCTACTTGGGATGCTAAGAAAGGACTGCTTGAGCCTGGGAGGTGAAGGCTGCAGTGAGCCATGATTGTACCACTGCATTCCAGCCTGAGTGACGGCCCCTGTCTCAAAACAAAAAGGAAAGAAAGGCTGGACATGGTGGCTCACGACTGTAATCCCAACACTGGGAGGCTGAGGCAAGCAGATCACTTGAGGTAAGGAGTTCAGGACCAGCCTGGCCAACATGGCAAAACCCTGTCTCTCCTTAAAATACAAAAATTAGCCGGGCATCGTGGTGGGTGCCTGTAAATCCCAGCTACCTGGGAGGCTGAGGCAGGAGAATCCCTTGAGCCTGGGAGGCACAGGTTGCAGTGAGCCGAGATCGTACCACTGCACTCCAGCCTGGGTGACAGAGGGACACACACACACGCGCGCGCACACACACACACACACACACACGGACACACACACACACACACACGAAAAGAAAAAATTAGTGCCCCAGAACCCTTTGGTGTAGCCAGAGGACCCTTCCTCGCAAAGGAAGAACCGGGGTTGAAGGGGTGACTTGTTCAAGAGGCATGACAGGCCCACCTCCCAGGGTCCTGGCACCAAATACTTCACCCTGTCAACCAGATTAGACCACGCGGTCCCCAAAGGCAGTCCCTGGCACCCTCAGCTGCTGCCCAGGTGCCTCCTCTGGTCCCCCCAGGCTAGGTGGGATTATGGGGTAACTCACTTTGGGCGGCACGAAGAACTCCAGGCGGAAGCGTTCCTCGGCCACAGCCCTGCGCAGGAGCAGGCGGCACTTCTGCCACTGAGCCGAGCCCCCGGAGCCCGCGGCCGCGTCGTCGGCCACCATGAAGCGCAGCGCCCCCTCGCGTTGAATGTCCACCAGCTCCACCTTGGCAGCCAGCGTCCGCGACAGCCTCAGGCGCCGCGTCCACTTGTCGCGGGGCTCGGCGGTGCGCGGGGCAGCTGCCGCGTCGGGCTCGGGCGAGGCGCGCCGGTGCCACATGTCGCGCACGCCGTCCACCACGCACAGGCTCATGTTGCGCAGCGAGAAGCCCTTGCGAACGCGGGCCTTGGTGGCCGCGTGCGTGGACACGTCCTCCGAGCTCCGCGAGTGGCCGTAGGGCGCCGCCTTGAGTGCAGAGGTGTCCGCGAGCTCCGGCTCCATGGCCTCTGCGCTCACGGCCGCGCCCCGAGTCGTCGGCCCAGCCACCAGCACGCGGCGCACCTCCTCGCCGAAGACGTCCAGGAAGTTGGCGGCGAAGTGGCGGGAGAAGGAGGCGCCGGCGTCGGGCGTGTCGTAAGCTGGGTTGTCCCGCAGGAAACGGCAGAACTTGTGCGCAAAGTCCACGGCGGCCGCCTGCGCATGCAGCTCGCAGAACTGCCGCCAGTCCGGGACCGGGACCGGGACTGGGACCGGGGCGGCTGCGGCGGGGCCAGGGCCGGCACCATTCATGGCTTCCGTCCCATCGCAGCCACCTGCGGCTTCGGGCGAGAAGAGCGCGCAGTGACTTTCAGGCCTGTGATCAATGCGCCCACCTGTCCCCTCCTTCCAGCTCCCCTAGGACTCTCTGGGGCTGTGTGGGTGTGTGTGTACATGCACACGTGTGTGTTGTGGGACTACAGCAGGCAGCCATTCCAAGCAGCATGGATGTGTGTAAAGAGAAAGACAACTGGGGCCGGGCGCGGTGGCCCACGCCTGTAATCCCAGCACTTTGGGAGGCCGAGGTGGGTGGATCACCTGAGGTTGGGAGTTCGAGATCAGCCTGGTCAACATGGTGAAACCCCGTTTCTACTAAAAATACAAAAATTAGCCGGTTAGCCGGGTGTGGTGGTGCACGCTGTAACCCTAGCCATCGAAAGGCTGAGGCAGGAGAACTGCTTGAGCCCAAGAGGCAGAGGTTGCAGTAAAAATACAAAAATTAGCCAGGAGTGGTGGCACACGCCTGTAGTCCTAGCCACTCCGGAGGCTAAGGCAGGAAAATCACTTGAACCCAGGAGGCAGAAGTTGCAGTGAGCCGAGATTGCGCCACTGCACTCCCGCCTGGGCGACAGAGGGAGACTGCAAAAAATAAGAGAAAGACAACTGGGGAGGCAGGAGGTGGTGTCTGCAGAAGGGGCAGTCCTGCATTCATTCTCTCCCCAAATAGTAGTCTCAGGGACCTCAGGGTCATTCCTGGGGCTGGCAGAAGAGGCTGGGATGATGGATGCTTTCAAGTGGGGTCCCCATGAGCCTCTGGTGACCTCACTTCCTCAGTGACCTCTTCTGATGTTCCCCAAAGCCCGGTAGAAAGGAAGAAATCACATGGAATCCTGCTGGCTGGACCTTTGAAATATACCGAGGACTCAGCTCCTTCCTCCAGGTCCAGGCTGCCGTCCTGGGATTCGCATAACTATTTTTCCTGCATGCAGCACTCCAGCAGCTGCTTTATGGTCCCCGGGATCCTGATCTTACTTCCTCTAAAGTCTGTTCTCCTCCCAGGAGCCCAGTCATTTCCAAAACTCAAGACTGCCATGTGCGGTGGCGCATGCCTGTAATCTCAGCACTTTGGGAGGCCGAGGCGGGTGGATCAGGAGGTCAAGAGATTGAGACCATCCTAGCCAACATGATGAAACCCCGTCTCTACTAAAAATACAAAAATTAGCTGGGCATGGTGGCATATGCCTGTAGTCCCAGCTGACTGAGAGGCTGAGGCAGGAGAATCGCTTGAACCCAGGAGGCGGAGGTTGCAGTGAGCCGAGATCCCACTACTGCACTCCAGCCTAGGTGACAGAGCCAGACTCCACCTCAAAAAAAAAAAAAAAAAAAGCCAGGCGCGGTGGCTCATGCCTGTAATCCCAGCACTTTGGGAGGCCGAGGCGGGCGCATCACGAAGTCAGGAGATCGAGACCATCCTGGCTAACACAGTGAAACCCCATCTCTACTAAAAATACAGAAAATTAGCCGGGCGTGGGGGCAGGCACAGGCTGAAGCAGGAGAATGGCGTGAACCTCGGAGGCGGAGCTTGCAGTGAGCCGACATCGCGCCACTGCACTCCAGCCTTGGCGACAGAGCGAGACTCCATCTCAAAAAAAAAAAAAAAAAAAAAAAAGAGAAGAAAGAAAGAAAAAGTAATAACAAAAAAATTGTCTTGGCCGGGCACATTGGCTTACACATTGGCCTGTAATTCCAGCACTTTGGGAGGCCAAGGTGAGCAGATTGCTTGAGCTCAGGAGCTCAAGACTAGCCTAGGCAACATGGCAAAAGCCTGTCTTTACAAAAAATACATAAAATTAGCTGGGCAAGGTGGCACACACCTGTAGTCTCAGCTATTCAGGACGATCACCTGAGCCTGGAAGGTTGAGGCTACAGTGAGTTGTGATGGGGCCACTGTACTCCAGCCTGGGGACAGAGCGAGACCCTGTCCCAAAAAATAAACAAAAAAAGTTGATCTGAATGTGGTGACATGCCTATAGTCCTAGCTACTCAGGAGGATTACCTTAGCCTGGGAGGTTGAGGCTACAGTGAGCTGTGATGGCACCACTGTACTTCAGCCTGGGCAACAGAGCAAGACTCTGTCTCAAAAACAACAACAACAACCAATCTGGATGTGGTGGCATGCCTACAGTCCTAGATACTAAGGAGACTGAAGTGGCAGAATCGCTTGAGCCCAGGATTTGGAGGCTGCAGTGAGCTATGATCGTGACAATGCACTTCACTTGGTGATAGAGACTCTGACTCAAAAACAAAACAAAACAAAAACAAAAACCCAAAACCAAAATACAAGACAGATCACATCCCTCCTCTGCACAAAATCCTGCAGTGGTTCGTATTACAGTCAGAGTAAAAGCCAAAGCCCTATCCACAGCCCCTAGGGTCTGACATAATCTGCCTCTGTTTACCCCTCTGGATATACCTCCTGCCACTCTTCCCTGGCTGGACCTGCCTCCTTGCCCTCCCAGAAGCATAGCAGCCAAATTTCTACCTCAGGACCTTTGCACATGCCTGGAATGCTCTTTCCTCCACATTCCCTCACCTTCTTCAGGTTTCTGCTCAACCAATGGCTTGGCGGATAGCCTTCCCTGACCACTCTTGAGAATGACAAATCCCTCTGATGACAATACTCCCTCTGATGCGTTCATGCACTCTGCCTATTTTCACCATTATCCTTATTGCCGGCTGTCATATCATATATTTAGTTGCTTGGTTGTGTGTCCCCTCCACCCCCTTCCCCCGAGAATGCCAGTTTCACAAGGCAGGGATTTTGCCAGTCCTAGAAGCGGCTGTGTCCTCAGTGCTGGGCATACAGCAGGCGCTTGGGAAACACTGACTGAATGAACAAATGAATGAGTTTGGCACACCAGGCATGTCACAGCTGTCACCGCCTAAGCCCTCACTTGGGGCCTAAGGACAAACAGCTTGTTAGTGACAAGACAGGTCCAGGGTTCTCGCCCAGGTCTGCAGTGACTCCAGGACTTGAGGGGTCTCCTCCTAGTGTGGATCAAATATGGTAGTTCCCTCTCGTTCAAGGGGTATATGTCCCAAGAACCCCAGCAGATGCTTGAAACTGGCTAATACTGAACCTCTGTATACTGCGTGTGTGTGTGTGTGTGTGTGTGTGTGTGTGTGTGTAGAGATGGGATCTCACTCTATTGATGAGGCTGGTCTTGAACTCCTGGGTTCAAGCAATCCTCTGGCCTTGGCCTCCCAAAGTGCTGAAATTACAGGCACGAGCCACTTGCACCTGGCCCGCTACATTTTTTTTGGATCTAATAACCCAGACAACTCCTAAGTGGCGAGCGGGTCGTATCCAGAGTGCGGATATGCCAGACAAAGGGATAATTCACATCCCAGGCAGAACAGCGGGATGGTTTGAGACTTCATCCTGCTACTCAGACTGGCCTGCAATTTACATTTGTATTTGTATGTTTACTTCTGGGATTTTCTATTTAATATTTTCAGACCTCTGTTGACCACGGGTATCTGAAGCCTTGGAAAGCAAAGCTGTGGATAAGAACCAAGCGTTTTTTTGTTTTTTGTTTTTTTTTGAGACAGAGTCTTGCAGTGTCTCCCAGGGTGGAGTGCAGTGGCGAGATCACAGTTTACTGCAGCCTCCAACTCCTGGGCTCAAGCGATCCTCCCGCCTCAGCCTTCCGAGTAGCTCAGACTACAGGCAAGAGCTACCATGCCTGGCTAAAGGGACCAAGTTTTTGTACGGACATTGAAGACCTTGCTTCTTTCCATCACAATGGCCTGCACGCTTCTACTTACATTCCCACGTTCTGGAATCTGGCTTCCCCCAGAATTCCCATTCAAATCCGATTTTGAATCCCCAATCCAGGAATCCCAGCTGTCTCCTCACCCCAGCTTCATCCTCTTATTCCCAGGCCCCTCCATCCTTCACAGCTCTGGATGGCTAAACTGCATGGCTTGGGCCCAGCCCATCACCTGGGGGCCTTGCCATTGCCTCTGGGGACACAGGTCCAACCTGCTGTGTGCTTACAGCCCCCATCCAAGCCAGGGGGAAAATTACCAATAGTGATAAAGTGCGGTGATGTAGTGCCTGGGGAGTCCCTGTCTAAGGAGCCGGCTTAGTGTTGGGGGACAAGCGACCATCCTTCCAAGGAAATGAGTTAGAGGATCATGCCCTCGCCTGTCCTCCCAGGGTCCCCACAGTTTCCGGAATGCCCCTCCCTCGCAGCTCCTGGGATCACCATCTCATCTCTCCTCTGGGATCCAAACCATGTAATTAAATGCCAGGTAAAAATAGCTGCCCCATTTCTGTGAGATCATCTGCGAGGCCTCTGGGCCATAGGGCACCGTGGGAATTCCCTCTCTCCTTGGGGCAACCTCGCCATCAATCTGCAGTCAATAACCAAGGGACAGCCCCAGGGACAGAACAGGGCTCCCGGCTGAGCCTGCTTAGCTTCAAGGACAGGTTTCCAAACCAGCGGTCTCCTAGGAGACTCCTGCCTTGGTACTGGGGGAGGGGAGTCGGGAGTTTGGAAGGTTTCCTTCAAGAGGTGGTTATTGCGTTGGGCTTCATGAGTGCAAAGAAAATAAAGAGGGTGCTGGGGGCCTGAACAATGAGTTGGGGGCAGGACTTATCAGGACATTGGCAGTTGGGTAGTGGTGGTGGTGGTTAGAGTTCACGAAGGTGGGGGAAGGATGGGGACTGAGGAACCCACGAGCTTTGCTCATGCCTGACCTTTTCCCTGCCCCGTGCTTCCTCCTTTCTTCCCTAACTCCTACTCACACTTCAATAATTAATCCAGAAGCCACTTCTTCCAGGAAGCCTCCCGACACCCCTCCTTTCTCCCTGATCCAGGCCAGCACAAGTGTCTCCTCTGAGCTCCCACAGTCTCCTCCTGCCTGTCTCTCTTGCATGGTGCCAGTTATAGGGTACTTCAAGTGTCTGTCCTCATGGCTGTCTCCCCATCTGACACAGAGAGTGCGCAGGGCAAAAGTCCAGGCTCCTGGAACTTGCTTCTTCCCTGAGGGGTGGAGACGGGAACACACCTGCCACCACCACCACCACCACCATGGCCTCCAGGGAAGGTCACGAGCCCAGGCCCAGGCCATGACCTGCAGGGGTGGTATTTCCTGGGGTGGGGGTGGGGCCACAGCTGAACCCATGAAACCCTGTCCCTGAGCTCCAAGCCCATCCATTTATCCAGTAGGCTAGTGCTCCTGACGGTGGCCACCTCTCTCTCTATACCATTAGGACCCCCAGGGGGCTCAGAGCCAGTGACTTGGCAGCCTGGGAAGGGTAGGTGTGGGGTCCCTGAGTGAGATGATTATGCCCCCACATGGGGCAGGCAGCGGCAGGCAGGAAGTCAGCCCCAGTGCCGAGTCCTAGACATCAATCCCTGTCGCCCCCAGCTCTTCCTCCTGGCTGGAGGAACCCTTGGTAGGGAGAAGGCACAGAGATGGGGGACAGGGCCCTGGGGGAGGCTCTCGCAGGTGGGTCTCAGGTGGCCCTCACTGGAGTGGGAGTGGAACTTAGAGAGGAATCTTCCAAGGGCATGGCAGGTGTGGCCAGGTCCTAGGCAGGGACTGGCCTGGGAGGCACTGGGAGGTTGGGACTGCCCTGACCTCTCCTACCTAACCCTGCAGGCCACCCAGGAGCCTGTGGGCCTGATGCCTGGCACAGAAGCCCTCAGTAGGTCCAGCCCCGGATGCAGAGGAAGCAGGTTGAGCAGCTAGAGGTATAAGTCTCCAAACAGCAGTGCCAGCAGGGAGGCCCCCACCTGGCTACAGATGGAGAGAGGGAGGCCCGGACATGGTTCTCTGTAGAGGGGAGGCTGCAAGACACAGGGAAGGGGGCCTGGCTGTGGCAGGGGCAGGAGTGCACTGTCCCCACCCATCTTTGGGACCAGAACTGGGGAGGAGACCCCATGTAGGGAGCTTGGCTGACCTGGGCTCAAGACGTGACCCCGTGGGTGCTCCCTGAGTGAGTGACACTGACCACACTCCCAACCTCTGAGCCCACTCTTCTCACTTTCTGACCACTCACTGGCAAGATGGCACAGGAGGTGGTGTCTGCAATGTTATAACCCATGTGCAGGCATGGGCAGGGCGGGAGCTCCTCCAACCTTGGTGCTGCCAAGGTTGGTGTTTCAAGCCCTCTCTAGGGACTTTGCTCTTCCGACTATTCAACATCTCCCCTCCCTTTAGACCGTGCAAAACCCTCTCTTCTGGCTGGATGTGGTGGCTCAAGCCTGTAATCCCAGCACTTTGGGAGGCCGAGGCAGGTAGATCACTTGAGCTCAGGAGTTCGAGAGCAGCCTGGGCAACATGGTGAAACCCCGTCTCTACTAAAAATACAAAAATTAGGCAGGTGTGGTGGCACACGCCTGTAGTCCCAGGTACTTGGGGGACTGAGGCAGGAGGACTTTAACCCAGAAAGTTGAGGCTGCAGTGAGCTGAGATTGCACGACTGCACTCCAGCCTGGGCAACAGAGCGAGACTCTGTCTCAAAAAACCAAACCGAAACAAAACCTTCTCTTCTCCCAGGAAAACTTCCCTATACTGCTCTCCCCCTCTGATCTCCAAGACCCTATGGTCTTTAACTCTCTTGGTGGTCAGCTCTCCTCCTATGGTCCCAAGGTGTCCAAACAGACCAGCTGAGTTGGTGCCAGGCAGTGCTGGACTGGGCTCTGGGAGATCTGGACTCTATCCTGGGCCGGGCCCTGTGTCTCTTGGTGCCTCCACTTCCCTATCAGTAAAATGGGATTGCTGGAGCTGTGTGTGGCTTCTAGGGGCTCCTGATTTTGATGCAGAAGTGATGGCCTTGGACATTGAAGACTGGGCTGTCATTCCATTGGGACTAGGGACAGGTAGGGGGTTGCCTCTCCCCCTCACAGGCTGCTTCTCTGAGGACTGGCGTTGGAGACAAAGGAAGCCCAGCCAGGGCCCCCTGTGGTGCTGGCCCTCCTCGGAGCACTGGGCGGGTAGACCACCCTCCCCCCATCCATTACACCCCCCCACCTCCGGTTTTTCTAGGCTCAGCTGGGCTGTCTGCCTTCTCCTCCTGAAAAAATGTGTTTTTTTTTTCCCCATCTCTGATGGGATGGGGGCTTCAGAGTGGTTTTTGGTGCTGGGGGATGGAGCGAGGAGGGCAGGGGAAGTCTAATGGAGTCCCTGCTCATCGCCTTTCCAGGCCACGGCCTCTCCTAACCCCACGACCAGCAACCCAGACAAGAGACCCCAGCCACCAGCCCGGCTAGACAGTAGGTCCAGCCGGCATGGGGGAGGGGGCGGCGGCTTTCCGGCGGTAAAAATAGCGCTGACAATTGGAGGACCAAAAAAAAAAAAAAAAAAAAAAAGCCGGTCTTCAGCCCCCGCCCGCGCAGCAATTCCGCACCCCAGGGCCGGGTCATTCCTTAAAATATTTATGAGTCGGACTCGCCGCCCCGCCTAATGGGCCCGCGACCAATCGATGCGCGGCACAGTGGGCGGTGGCCCTGGGGGCGGGGAGAGGCAGGAGCCCCGCCCACCTCCAGCTGGCACCCCCCACCTCCTCCCCAGCACCATCCCAGCCACAGGAGGCCAGGAGCACCGGGAAGAGGAGGGATGGTCAGTGGTCCCACAGGTCAAACTAGCTATGCAGCACCTCAAAAGGCTGCGCCCCACTGCCAAGAGACCCCCCCTTCCTCCTGCACCCTCACTTAGCTCCGTCCTCAGAGCAGCAGTCAGAGAACCAAGTGCATGAAGGGGGAGACGGTCAGAACTAAGGGTTCTCTCCTATGTCCTGGGGTGGGCAGTGCCACCTACCCCCCAATGAACCATTCGCTATGGGGAAACTGAGGCCTTTTCTTTTTAGACAAAGTCTCACTCTGTGGCCCAGGCTGGGGTGCAGTGCACTGCACTTTGAACATAGCTCACTGCAGCCTTGAACTCCTGGGCCCAAGCAATTCTCCTGCCTCAGCCTCCCAAGTGGCTGGGACTACAGGCACAAGACGCCATGGCCAGGTAATTTTTTTTTTTTTTTTTTGAGACGGAGTCTTGCTCTGTTGCCGAGGCTGGAGTGCAATGGCGTGATCTTGGCTCACTGCAACTTCCGCCTCCTGGGTTCAAGCGATTCTCCTGCCTCAGCCTCCCGAGTAGCTGGGACTATAGGTGCGTCCTACCAAGCCCGGCTAATTTTTGTATTTTTAGGAGAGGCAGGGTTTCACCATCTTGGCCAGGCTGGTCTCGAACTTCCGACCTCAGGTGATCCGCCCACCTCAGCTTCCCAAAGGGCTGGGATTATAGATGTGAGCCAGTGCACCCGGTCCCAGGTAATTTTTTGATATTTTGGTAGAGATGGGGGTCTCACTATGTTGCCCAGGCTGGTCTCATGCAGCCTCTTCTTGGGGTACCTCCTTGCCTGACACAAGAGACAAGGCCTCACTCTGCTCACCTCCACCATCCTCAGAAAACCTGCCCAGCCATGCCTTCTCATGTCCACTGCCCTTAGGGGTCCTCAGGACCTTAGCAGCACTGGCCTGGCCCACTCAGCCTCACTCTGGACAACATAGGCTCCTTCAATCCTGCTGTTCCTCAAGCACCCTCCTGGCCTCGGTGGGGCAGTCCCTTCCACCCCTGCAGCCTCCTCTCTGCACCCCTCCCTGGGCAGGACACAGATGCTCTTTGGGCAGGTCATCCCTCCGGCCTGGAGTGACTCCCACCCGCTGACTAGGTATGAGTCTCTCTCTCCCCTGCAGATTCAGGAACACAGCACACAGCGCAGTCTCTGCTTCACTGCTGAATACGTGGGCGTTGGTTTTCAAGCCCGTGTTACTGCTCACCTCCGCAGAGACCACATCCCCACAAGGTAGGCTCTGAACCAGGGCCTCCTGCCAGATGTGGCTGGAATTCCCCAACTCTCCCCTCCCAGAATATCTGAGCTCACTCCACCACCCCGGCAGAAGGCAAAGTAGGCATGGCTTCTGGTCTTAACTTAACCCTTGAACTTGCTGTGACTTTGCTGCAGAGTGGATGGGTGGGGGCCTTCTGGCTGGCGATGGGGACAGGTGTGGATTCAGAGCCCTTGGGACTTGTATGCCTCTGTATGGGTGATTAGGTACTAGTGGTCTTGGCTGTTCTGAGCATTAGTTTCCCTAGCTGCTCTTCCGTGCAGATAACTTTCTAGTCCAAGGCTCGGCCTGAGCAGCATCGCTTGGAGGCAGCTATTGCAACAGCCCTGCACCCAGGACAACCCCAGGCCTCTCATGCCACGCTCAGCCTTTGCCACCGCCACGGGAGGGTGGGAGCCCTTCTGCTGAGCCCCCCGGCTTTTGCAGACATCCCAAGCTTGACAAGCCCTGCTGGCACCGGCGTCTGCAGACCCTCAGTCCCAGGGGTTCCCACAGTTGCCTTTGACAGTTGTTCCCCAGCAAAGGGAGCCCCACTGCCTGGGCATCTCCCTATGGCCACCTCTGGTCATTTGACATGCTGGGACAGTGTTAAAAGTCTGAGATCTGGAGCCAGACTGTCTGGGTTTGGATCCCAGCTGCCTTGCTACCCAGTGAAATGACCCCTTGGACTCTGGAGCCTCAGTTTCCCCATCTGTTAAGATGGAGGTGACAGCAGTGCTAAACTTAAGGGGCTGTCATGAAGATTAAATAAGCAATTTGTTTAAAAATCACAGCTCTATTCATTCCCTTTTCCTCCAACTGCTCTTGGCAGGCAGCTGCAGAGGTACCCACTGCCCCAACACATAAACCCAGCCTCCAATGTGGCCAAGGTCAGCGTTCTAGAACCCACATTTCAGTGGGCCATGCCCCTGTTAAAACCCTTCTCCCCTCACATCTTCCCTGTAAGAAAGAGTTGTTTCTCCATTGCAGAGATGAAGAAATGGGGTTCTGGGGAGGGAGGTGACTACCCACCATGCTCTGGCCACCACGCAGTGGTGAGCTCCCACTGTGTGTCAGACGCCAGGTGGGAGGGTCCAGGGCTGCAGAATGGACAAGAGGGGAGGCCGGGTGCAGTGGCTCACACCTGTAATCCCAGCACTTTGGGAGGCCGAGGAGGGCGGATCACTTGAGGTCAGGAGTTTGAGACCAGTCTGGCCAACACGGTGAAACCCCATCTCTACTAAAAATACAAAAATTAGCCAGGCGTGGTGGTGCACACCTGTAACCCCAGCTACTCAGAAGGCTGAGGCATGAGAATTGCTTGAACCCCAGAGGTGGTGGAGGTTGCAGGGAGCGGAGGTTGCAGGGAGCTGAGGTTGCACGCCACTGCACTCCAGCCTGGTCGACAGAGCAAGACTCTGTCTCAAAAAAATAAAAAAAAAAAAGGGGGGTATGGAGCCAAGTTCCAGGCTGGTCCCTTTCTGAGACCTGTTTCTGGGGAACTCCGCTTCCAAGGGCAGAGTGGGAAGACTGAATCCCTGTTTCAGGAAAGGAAATGACCACCTTTAGAGGATGGGGCACTCTGAGCGGCTGGGTGGGGGGGCGGGGGAATCCACAGCTGGGCTCTGCAGGAAGTGCGGGTCAGATAAGCAGGGAGTGGGGGCCAGGACAACAAGCTAAGCCAGGGCCTGTGGGCTCAAGAGGCAGACTCAGCCTCCTTCAGGAGCACCCAGTGCTGGACAGTTCCTGGATGGGCTCTGCAGGTGGAGGACAGGCTGAGCTGGTTCCAGCTGCACTGGCCCTGGTTACTCCCACCCCACCCTGCCTTTCTGGGGTTGCAGAGCAGAGGTTCCCCCCTCCCATCTCCAGCCTTGGCCTGAGACACTCAGCCCCTTCCACTCCCCCAGTGTCATAACTCTCACATGGGCCCTGGCCCAGCCCCCTAAACCTGCAGGATACCCCCTTAGTGCCCCTCACCAACTCATCCCACCCAGCTGCCTTCTGGCTTTTCCAGGACACTCATACCAGTGCCTCCTGAGACCTCTGGTGGCACCCCTAAGATCTGAGCATCCCCGAACTCTGGAGACTACAGGTGCTAATAAAGCTTCCCTGGGCCTTTCTCTGAGCTCAACTCCCAGCCTGGCTGATCTCCAGGTACCTCAAACTCACCACATCCAAGTTCAAATACATCCTCTTCCTCCAACTCCTGCCTGTCCTCTGCACAGAGCCTCAGCACCCAGCTGGGCACTGCCTACTTCCCCTGTTCTGCCCCAATAGCAGGCAGGCCCCCAAGCCCACAGAGGCCTCGGGAACGCCCCTTGATCCTCTTCCCACCTCCACCCTTGCCCCCTGCCCCTCCACCACACCACATGGCTGTGGCCTGTCTCTTCCACCGAACCGTGAGCTCCTGGCTGGTTGTCCTCCCCACCCCCCAGGTGGGCGCTACCCTCAGATGGCCCGGAAGTATGTGGAGAATGGGGCCCAAACCCTGCTTCACCCAGAGGAACCAAAAGATGCTGCACGCCCACACAGCGATGCCCTGCCTTGCTCTGCCCAAACAGGTGTGGGCTGTGACCTCGTGTTGAGGGGTCACACCTGCTATCCCCCTAGACAGAGCATAGCCATAAAACGGCACCCAGCCAGGTGAGCAGGGAAGAGAAACCTCCCCAGGCCCCAGGGCTCTGACCAGTCCCCTGGCCTCACTTGGACAGTAAGAATGAGCGTAGCCCCGGGAAGACAGCAGCCAGGAGGCCTGAAGCCCCTAAACCCCCAATTCCTTGCAACCCAGGCTGGGTAGGCAGGGCAAGAAGTGCCAGCCTCTTGTCAGAGAGGAGTGGTTGGGAGGCCTGGCTCGTTGACTGCGGGACTTTGGGCCAGTCACTTCCCCTCCCTAAGTGTGTGGGGATAATAATAGCACTAAACCCACAGGATTGTTGTAAAGATGACACGAACGGCGATCCTGATGCCCTTAGCTTGGCACAAGTAAGTTTGAAACCAAAAGCTCAGCCCTGGGAGGCCCAGGATCACTTGGGTGGAGATCCCACTTCCAAGACCCCCAAGGGAAGCCCACCCCTGGGTATTTGTATAGAAGTCCTCCCTAGGAGATTCACGCTAAGTAGGGAAGAGGGATTTAGAAACTTCAGACAGATTTTTCACAACAAGGGTAAAAAGAAAAGCGTGTGCATTAACCCTTGATTACCTAGAAGCATTCAACCAAGCAGCATCAGAAGCCGGCCTGCCACGGGGTGGGGCTGTTCTTGTATGTTGGTAGGACAGACCTCTAAGGAAGTAGCTGGTGGGAAACTGTCTCTGAGACCCCCAAAAATGCCCTGATCCACACTAGCCTAAAAGAAGTGCCACCACCGCCACCACCAGACCTCTCCCAAAGCTCCTGGAGCTGAAAAGTTCTAGGTCACTCTCCCAACCTCTTCCTGCGTGGAGTGGGGAGGCCAGGAGGGAAGAGGTTGGGAGAGTTCAAGGTGGGACACAGTAGTGGGGGCTTCAGCTCAAGAGGCAGTCAAAACCTCTTGGGGAAACCACACCCCCTGCCCCCAGTCCTCCCAGAGGAGCTCCAGGGACCTGACTCTGGGACGCAATTCCTGCCGGGAGTTGCCGGTCCCTTAGCCAGGAGGCAGGCAGCACCATCCCATTTTACAGGGTAGGTGATGTTGGCTCGGGGGCATTGGTAGGGCTCCACCCAGGTCTGACAGCCTAGCCTGAGGCTCTCCCTTGCACTAGCTCGAAGTGCACGTAGATCCTGGCTTATTCGTGTTCAGAGTCTCGCCTGGGGCTGCCCGGTCTGCCTTGCGTGGCTCCTGAGAGGCTCCAGTCACTGCAGACTTCCCTCCCTGAAGGCCCCCACTTCGGGGCTGCAGGGGGCCAGGATGCGTCCCTGCCTCTGCCCGGCTTCAGCCCGCTGGGCTGGCGCGGTTCCGGCCCGCGCAGCCCGCAGGTTCATCAATGGCCGAGGCCCAAGGGCCTGAATGGAGGGCACGAACCCGCCCCTTCTTAAAGGCGCCGGCCTCTTGGGCACCCTCCACGATCCTCCCGGCAATCGGGGGCTCCGGGGAGCTCCCCGGCTGGGCAGGTCGAGAAAGGGGGGCCTGGGCCAAAGGGAGGGCGTGCCTGTGGCCTGGAGGAGGTCCTCCCCGATCCCATCCCGTGGCCCTCACCCTCATTCTAGGTTGACGCCCCCTCCCAGCGCTCCCAGCGTAGGGAAGAGACCTGGGCACCCCTTCCCCCAACCAGAGACCCCTCCTCTAAGGACCCGGCTGCTCTCGCCCCACTACCCGGCCGGGGCCCTAGCAGGGGGCGGGGGCGCAGCTGCTCCAGAGGCGGCTCGGCCCCTCCAGCGGCTCCCCGCCCCGCCCGGGATGGGGATCGGGGAGCAGATCCCAGCCGGGGGCGCCTCCCCTCCCTCGCGCGCCCTCCTCCCTCCCACCCGCGCACACAAAGACGACACGCGCGGACCAAGGCGCGTGCGGCCGCTCTCCTTCGGGCAGCGGTGCGCACACAGCGCACGTCCCCGGGGACAGACAGGGGTCCCGGGGGAAGGACCAGGGAGCGAGGAACTGGGTATAAGGAGGCCATACCTACAGGCGCGCAGCTGCGGCCGAGCGGGCTGGGGCGCCGGCTGAGCGCTGCCCGGACCGCGGCCGGGCTCCCCGGGCCCGGTGGCTCATGGCCCGCGGCGGACTGGGCTCCCTCCCTCGTTCACCGCCTCGAAGGCTCCTGCGCTCCTCGCGGTCCCGGCGCGTCCCCCGCGCGGCTCTCTGGCAGCCGAGCTCCGCGCGCTCCAAGCCCAGCCCCAGCGCGGCGCGCCCCTCCGCCCGCGAGGCGCGCGCCTCCCGGCCCCGCCCCGCCCCCGCCCCCGCCGCGAGCCCCGGCCCCGCCCCCCCTCGCGCGTCCTGGCCCCGCCCCCTCCCGCCCCCACTTGCGCCGCTCAGGCCCCGCCCCCGGCCATCCGCGGAGCCCGAGCGGCGCCGGTGGCCGGTGCTTGCTGGCTCCCCGCAGCTGCGGTGCCGAGACTGCCCGGTCCTGGGGCCCGGAGAGAGGGGTTAGGAGCCGGCTCCGAGTCGCCCCATCTGGGCGGGGGTCCCCATGTCGCCGAGCCGGCCCCAGGCCAGGCGCGGGACTCCCACTCCTCCTCGTGGAGGCCACCCCTCGAGCCCGCGGTGGTGGTGGCCCCGGGAGCGCGGAGCGTGGGGCCGGGGGAATGTCCTGCGTGGCGGGTGTATGGGACGCGGACGCCCTCGAAGCGCCCCTCGCTGACGGGTGCTTCGCGGGAGCCGCCGCTGTGGCCAGACTCTCCGCAGCAGGGACAATGGGAGCCTGGAGGAGGCCTGGATGTCGCAACGGAGGAAGTCGACGCCTGGTTCTCATAAATCTCGAGGGCGCCACCACGCCCCCTCCCTGCAGCCCTCCGGTGCGGGAAATCGCCCCCGGGCCACAGGGCGGGACGGCCCCCCTGAGCGCAGTGCCCCCACCACCCAGCCTTCGCTGTGATGGGGGCCTGATGCCACCCGGAGAGGTGTCAGAGATCATAGAGGGGCGATGAGGGGCCACAACCCTGGCACCTTCCTCACCCCTGCCTGGCTCCAGAACTCGCCTGCTTTAGGGCAGAGACCAGTGGGGCTGAGGAAACAGTCCCGCTGGGCTTTGCGGGGCATTTGTAGCCTGACCCCTGGTGCTGAGGGCACAGCGCGGGGGCTCTGGGAGGCTTCCTGAAAGAGGTGCAGGGGGCTCAGCAGGCCTGGAAGGGGTCTGAGAGGGGAGGGAGGGCTTCGGTGGGGGCAGAGGTGTGGAAAGGGCCGCTCAGAGAAGAGAGTAGTCTTGCTCCTGGAGATAGCAGGGGGGGACCCCTGGGTGTCTTCTCCCCTCATCTCCCTCCTTGTCCCCTGCCCCCACCTCTGGCAGTTCTGTCCTGGTCTCCTTGCCAGCCGGAGCTGCCTCCATCTGTCGCCCTCCCGGGCCCAAACTGACCTCTGACTTTTCCCAGAGCCATTTCCCATCTCTAATTTACAGACAAGGGTTTTTATCAAACCCTTCTTAGGGATGGAAAGGTGGGGCTTCCAGAGTTGAAGGTGGAGGGGACAGAGCCTTCACCTGCTGCCCAAAACCCCGGTGCTGCCCTCCACGGGGGCACGGAAGACAGGCAGACCCCTTCCCTGCCCCACATCTCGGCTCTGTTCCCTCCGCAGGACCAGGCCAGCAGACACTTTAATGAAAGCTTCGGCAGTGGGCCAGCCCTCGATCGGAGCTGCACACAGGCCTGCACGCCTGGTTGGGAACCAGGACACCTATGAATGAGGCCGGGAAGGGGGAGGAGGGGGTGCCCGAGAGTGGGAGAAAGGGAAGCTCCATACATGGCCTGGTTGTGGTCTCCACCCTCCTGGGAGAGGGGAGAGCCTGACCCGCGGTGGACTAACCTGGTTCAGAGTAGTGGGCTGAACTCCACTGCTGGGATGATAGCGGCCAGAGAGGGTCCTGAGATGGGAAGCCATGGGCAGGACAATAGCTTGGATCCATCCCCAGGGAGGAAGAAGTGAGGAGGGGCCGGCGGCAGAGCGCCTCGGACCCACAAGGAGGAACTGATGGAGATGTGGAAGTGGCTGTGGGGGTGGAGGGGGCGTGGTTGGCCAAGAGCAGCTGTCGCCTCGCTGGGGATAGGAATGAAGGTCAGGGAGGAAAGGTCCATCCTGGGTCCCTGAGGGCAGGAGGCTTGAGGGGCTTGGAAGAAGTCCTCATGGGGGAGATGAGGGGTGCTGGGACGGGGACCCCAAAGAAAGGCCCCTGGATACACATGCTTTAGACTGTTCAGAACTAAAATGGAGACAGAGGTAGCACAGGGGACCCTGGCCTGGTGGGCTGCAGTGGGGGACCTGGGTTTGCAGCCAGTCTTGTGACAGCTGGACAATGAGTTAATGCACCCACTCCAGACCCAGAGAATGCGCTCCTCTATCTGAGGCTGGGCTGGAGGTGAGGTGGCCCAGAACCTGTGTCTCGGGGGGTTCCCATGCGAGGCTGGTGCTCAGGGAGATTGATGGGCACGGGCTTTGCAGCCCCTGGCAGGCGGGGGCCCATGGGAAAGGGGAGCACAGAAAGGGAAGCAGAGATTCCCCAGGAACTGACGTGGACCAAGACACGTCATACACCCAACCACAGCCCGACAGGTGGTTTTTTTTTTTTTTTTGAGATGGAGTCTCACTCTGTTTCCCAGGCTGGAGTGCACTGGCACGATCTCAGCTCACTGCAACCTCCGCCTCCCGGGTTCAAACGATTCTCCTGCCTCACCCTCCTGAGTGGCTGGGATTACAGGCATGCGCCACCATGCCCAGCTAATTTTTGTATTTTTGGTAGAGACGGGGTTTCACCACGTTGGCCAGGCTGGTCACGAACTCCTGACCTCAAGTGATCCACCTGCCTCGGCCTCCCAAAGCGCTGGGATTACAGGTGTGACCCACCGCGCCTGGCCCCGGGTGGTTTTTGAATAAAGGAATGGGTTTCCCTTTTTGATGGTGCTACTTGTCCTCTCAAAAGCACTCGGACACTGGATCTGGGTTTCAGCAGAGCTCTGAATGTACTCATGGAATTCCTGGAGATGAGAAGAGGGGGAGGAATGTTCTGTGTGCCCAGCTGTGAGGCCAGCCCCAGCTCCCAGGGGTGGCACCGCAGGCATCCCCACCAGCCTCCAGTCCCTCCAGCGTCCCAGAGCACAGGGCACCAGGGTGGCTGCAACCGTGGTTTATTTCAAATGTGCAAAGCTAAATATGCAACTACAAATCTAACTCAGGAAGGCCTGCCAGTGGCCCTGAGAGGTGGCCGTGCTAGGGTGGTCCACAGCCAGTTCTGATTGGCTAGGAGACGTTCAGACCCCTCATACCAATCCATGAGTCTGAAGAGACTGGGGCTCGGGGGCTCATTAGAGACTCTTCCTTATCTAGAAACCAGAATATCTTGCTAAAGAAGAAAGCAGAAATCACATGGGTCTGGGGGCAGGGAGGGGGTAATAGAAACTGTTCCGCTGGCTGGGGCTCTCTCTCTTGGGGTGCAGTGGGGGAGGGGGCAGACTCTGTCAAGCCTCATATACTCTGCAGGGTGGGGCTGGTGGCAAAGGCAGGCTGGGGGTGCTGGACTCAAAGCCTGCTGTCCTGGAAGGAAGCGTCTTCCACCTCTTACGGGGCATGGGGGGATCCTAGGAGAGCCCAAGAGGATCGCAGTGCAGACAGGCCCAAGCTGGATTAACCGCAGCTGGAATCGGTGGTCACCCAATTAGCCTCGCAGCTGAGGGACCTCTGCCACCAGGGCTAGAGGTCAGGCTGCGGGCAGAGCCCTAACCTGAGGTGGGGGCTGAGAGGGTCTCTGCGGCTTAGCCTGGCCGGGCATTGGGGGCTCGCTCTCTGGACCTAGCGGGCCTGATGTGACCGAGACATTCTTTCAAGGGGACCCGAGGTGACCTGGGGCCTCTGGCAGCTGCTGGACAGCGGATAAGGGCAGTTTCCATGGGGGATTCTTCAGGGGAGTCTAAGTGATTAGATGCACTGAGCAGTCGGGGTGGAGGCGCAGCCGTCACTGTCACGGGGGAGGCCCCGGGGTATCACTGCCACAAGTCACCAGCCGCAGCCCCGTTGTCATTCTCGTGGAACTTGTGCAGGTGGTCAGCGAACCTGGGGGACACGGGAAGCTTTGCTGAGGCCGAGTGTGTGTGTTGGGGAAGGGGGGTGTGTACCATGTGATGGGGTGGGGCTAGGGGGTAGTGGATACCGGGAGTAGGGGTAGGGGGAGGGCCAGAATGGGGGGCTGTGATGGAGGGCTAAGGAGTGGGGGACATGAGGCAGGAACTCGGGGGTGTTGCGGGGGTGCTGGGAGCTCGCTGTGGGGCTGAGGGGGGGCCCAAGTGGGGGTCCTCACTTCTTGGCGCAGAAGGTGGCACAGTCCCTCTCCATGCTCTCGCTCCATGCCAGCTTGTAGAGCACCTGGCCAGGTGGAGACACGGTGAGCTGCCCGTTCGCCTCAAGGCCACCCCTGCAGCCCACCCATGGCCCCTGGGCCTGGCCTGGAACATAAAGGTTCTCGAGCCCCAGACTCCGGGGCGGGTGGGTCTTAGACATGTTCCTGCACCCACTGCTTCTGCAGATGATCAGATGGGCCCAGACACGGAGGCACCTCCTCTAATACTGTGGGCCAACCCTTGGAAGGGCCAGGAGCCGCTGGACCCTGGGGTCAGAACTTGAGCCCAGGTTAGCTCTGTAGGGGCCATCTTGACTGTGCGGGGGACAGGAGTCCCCAAGGCTGGATCCTTCCAGAGACACAGCCTTCCACCCCTCTTCTCCCCCAACTTGGCAGACATGGAGGCCCTTATCCGCTAACTAGAACGCCACCTCCACAGCTGGGGAGGTTAGTTCAAGACGCCCCTTCTCTGTGCAGTCTTCGTGACTGTCCCTTGGTGGAGTTCATTAGACCTGCTCCCTTCCCACTCCATCCCTTCTTCCTATGAAGCCCGTTCAGGACCAGTCCCAGATGTGATCAGCCAGGCCTCTTTCACGGAGCGGCCCGGCTGGTGCCCTGGCCAGAGGTCCCAATGGGGTGGGTCCTTCTCGTCCCTGGGGTGGGCCAAGGCTCTCGAAGGGGAGAGGCATGGCCGCAAGCTAGAGATGCAGCTTGGGGTAGGCCCAGGGGCCAGGCCACCGTAACAGGCCCCTGCTGCCCTGGAGGTCAGGGCTGGGGATGGTGAATGTGCCTCTGGCCCGCCCGTGTGCACACTCACCAGGAAGACCAGGCAGTGCAGGAACAGTGTGTAGAAGAAGCCGATGGTGCGCGCCATCTTGTTGGAGAGAACCAGACGCCCCTGGGAGCAAGGAGGGGGTGAGTGGGGATGGGGCCGGCCTCACCCACCCCTGCAGGGCTGCCTGGGCTTCACAGAAAGGGCCCTAGGGTGGCAAGGGGAGGGAAGGGACAGGAAGCTGGGGCCCCTATTCCATCATTATGGGCCAGGGACATGGGCTGCTGGAATTCTTTTTTTTTTGAGACAGAGTCTCCCTCTGTCGCCCAGGCTGGAGTGCAGTGGTGTGATCTTGGCTCACTGCAACCTCCACCTCCTGGGTTCAAGTGATTCTCCTGCCTCAGCCTCCTGAGTAGCTGGGATTACAGGTGTGCGTCACCACGCCCAGCTAATTTTTGTATTTTTACTAGAGATAGGGTTTCACTATGTTGGCCAGGCTGGTCTCGAACTCCAGACCTCAGGTGATCCGCCCAACTTGGCCTCCCAAAGTGCTGAGATTACAGGCGTGAGCTGCTGTGCCCGGCCACCGGAATTCTTTAAAAACGTTTTTTTAGACAAGGTTGCCCAGGCTGGAATGTAGTGGTCACAGCTCACTGTAGCATTGACTTCCTAGGCTCAAGTGATCCTCCTCCGTCAGCCTCCTGAGTAGCTGGGACTACAGGTGCACACCACTGCGCCTGGCTAATTTTATTTTTTGTAGAGACAGGATCTTACTGTGTTGCCCAGGCTGGTCTCGAACTCCTGGGCTCAAGCAATCCTCCCACCTCCCAAAGTGCTGGGATGACAGGTGTGAGCCACCATGTCTGACTCTAGGCTGCAGGAATTCTGAGGAATGCCCCCTCTACAGCCCAGTTCAGAACCATGCTGTGAACCATGCTCTCAGAGGATCTGCCCGGGAAGGGGAGAGACCCTGTCCCAGATCACACAGCCACTCTTGGCAGGGCTGGCGGCTCCTCCAGCCTGGGCTGCAGGGCAGGTGAAGAGGTGCCTGGAGACAGAGGCTCAGGCCTGTCCAGGGAGGGGGTGGGTAGGGGCAGGGACTCACCATGCTGAGGGTGGCCTTGTCCCAGGGACTCAAGCTCAGGTACTTCCTCTGCCGCTCCTGCACAGGGAGGGACAGTCAGGAAAGGACCCCAAAGGACCTCACAGGCCCTGGCTTGTGGCAGAGAGCAGGGCCTGGCCAGCCACAGGACACCCTGCCCGCTGTTCTTGCAGACCCCCAGGGGGCTGCCAGGGTGCTGCCAGGGGCTTCCCTGGGTGCACAGTCTACTCAGTGTGACATTCTGGACTCCCCTGACATCTGTGAGAGCCCCTCCCCGCCTCTGCAGCCGTCCATTCTGCCCATGGGAAAGTACTCCACGGGCAGAACTTCTGCAGTCTGGGTGGGGGAGGGGAGTTGTGGGGTGGGGTCCCCACAATGGATCGCCCGATTCTGGGAGCTGTAACTGGTTTTTCCTTGTCTGCCTGTCCCGCAAATGCACTCCAGGTTAACCCGGTCACTGCCACACACCCTCGGGTAGTCCTCGGCAGGTGTTCCTGAATGGGCCCTGGGCCTACATTGCACTGAAGCGGTGGGGAGGCTGTCTTGGGGGGGCTCCTGGCCTGAGGGGCCAGGGTGTGCAGGGCTGGCGTGGCAAGGCTGGCCGAGAGCACCCAGACAAGGGCAGGTGGAGGGGAGCCAGGGAAGGCCGAGTGCTCAGGGATAGGGGCCAAGTGATGGGGGGACCCCTGGGCTTCCCTGGGCTGATGCCCCTCCCCTCCCCTGCCCAGGCTGGGCTCACGAACCCGCTTGCTGAAGGAGGAGAAGGGGTCCAGGCGCTCCTCGTACTGGGACGAGTACCGCAGCTCCGTGTCATCACTGCCGCTGCCCTGCACAGACAGGGAGGGGAAGAGAACCAGTCAGTGCCTTGGGGCCCAGCGGGAAGGGCAGGAGCCCAGGGGAGCCTCAGTTTCCTCATCTGCAAAAAAGGGAAGTGGGGGAGGGAGCCCTAGATCTCAGAGGCGGGAGGAGAGGGTGCTGGGGTGACAATGTGAATGTGGCTGGTGCCTCCTGCCACAGGGGCATGGAGTTACCCATGGGGTCAGGGCCACAGTGCCTCCGGGCACAGATGGGGAACTGAGGCCCAGGCAGGGCCGGGCGCAGCTGCAGGAAGGTGGGTTTGCTGGGAGTGTGGGGTGGTCATGCGAGCAGGCAGGCAGCTGGGAGAGGAGACGCCCCCCAGCTGGCCACCCAGAGCCAGGCTGGTTTGCAGAGTCTGAGTGCCCTCTGGTGGCCAAGGAGCGGCTCTGATGGGTGGGGACAGGGCTGGGGGCTGCTGGGCCCCAAAGGAAGAGGGAGAGGTGAATCCCTGCCCCACTATGCCCCACGCTCTTCTCTCACTCATAGAAAGGGTTTCCTGGCACGGGGTGGCCCCTGGGAGGCCTGGGGGCTGAGAGAAGCCACGCACAGGCCTCCCTAGCCCAGAAAAACTCGGCAAGTGAGTTTCTGATCCACTCTCTTGGTTGCTTTTTGGAGTGTGGACCAAATTCTGTTTACATTTTTTATTATTGCTTATTTATTTATTTGAGACAGAGTTTCGCTCTGTCGCCCAGGCTGGAGTGCAATGGTGTGACCTCGGCTCACTGCAACCTCCACCTCTCAGGTTCAAGCGATTCTCCTGCCTTAGCCGCCTGAGTAGCTGGGATTACAGGTGCATGACACCACGCCCAGCCAATTTTTATATTTTTAGTAGAGACGGGGTTTCACTATGTTGGCCAGGCTGGTCTGGAACTCCTGACCTCAAATGATCCGCCCGCCTCAGCCTCCCAAACCGCTGGGATTACAGGCCTGAGCCACCATGCCCAGCCTATTTATTTTTATTTTTTGGAGGCAGGGTCTTGCTCTGTCACCTGGGCTGGAGTGTAGTGGCTGGATCTCAGCTCACTGCAGCCTGTACCTCCTGGGCTCAAGTGATCCTCCCACCTCAGCCTCCTGAGTAGCTGGGACTACAGGCACGTGCCACGATGCCTGGCTAATTTTTGTATTTTCAGTAGAGATAGGGTTTCACTATGTCGGCCAGGCTGGTCTCAAACTCCACCCGCCTCGGCCTCTCACGGTGCTGGGATTACAGGCATGAGCCACTGTGCCTGGCCCTTCTGGCTAGTATTTTCTTTTCTATTTTATTTTATTTTATTTATTATTATTTTATTTTACTTTACTATTTTATTATTTTATTTTATTTATTTTATTTTATATTTTATTTTATTTTTTTATTTTATTTTATTTTATTTTATTTTAATTTTATTTTATTTATTTTTATTTTATTTTATTTTTGAGACGGAGTTTCGCTCTTGTTGCCCAGGCTGGAGTGCAGTGGTGTGATCTTGGCTCACTGAAACCTCCGCCTCCTGGGTTCCAGCGATTCTCCTGCCTCAGCCTCCTGAGTAGCTGGGACTACAGGTGTGCACCACCATGCCCGGATACTTTTTTTGTATTTTTAGTAGAGACGGGGTTTCACCATATTGGCCAGGCTGGTCTCGAACTTCTGAGCTCAGGCAATTCTCCTGCCTCGGCCTCCCACAGTGGTGGGATGACAGGCATGAGCCACCGTGCCTGGTCCTTCTGGCCAGTTTTTATGAATGAATCTGGACAGGGGCTCCACTCTGTGAGCTTCTCCCGGCTTAGGGAGGGCAGCTAGCAGGCAGGTGGGTGGGTGGGGAGATGTCGGAAGGCCTCAGGGGTCTCTGGGGCCCAGTGCTGCCCAGCAGGTCTTGGTCCCCGACCCTCCCATCTCCAGAGCCCTGATCGGCCTCTCTCCCTGCCTGGTCCACCTGGAGCTGAGGCCAGGGGAGGGCCCTCACCCGGCCAGGGTAGCTCTGCAGGAACTTGATCTTCTCAAAGAGCTTGATGTTGTCGGCGCGCAGGCTGTCCAGCTCACTCTGCAGGGCCTGGAGGGTGTGCTGGGCCAGGCGGTTCTCCTGGGGGGGGAGGGGCAAGGAAAGGGGTGGGGGAGAGGCCTCCGTGCTGGCACAGGTGCTGCTCCGTCTACCTGGAGCCCCTTCTGTGCCCACAGCCTTCTCCTTGACCTGCCTGACTCTGTAAAGCTGCCCCTTCCCCCACTGTGGCCCCACCACAGGCAGAAGTCAGGGATCTTGGGTCAGGTTTCTTCATATGTATCACGTTGGTGCAAATGTAATCGTGGTTTTTGCCCTTAAAAGTAATGGCAAACACCATGATTACATTTGCATCAACCTTAATATATGACAGAGCAAGACCCTGTCTATATATTTTATTTTATTTTTTATTTTTATTTTTATTATTTTTTTGATATGGAGTTTCGCTCTTGTTGCCCAGGCTGGAGTGCAACGACGCAATCAATCTCGGCTCACTGCAACCTCTGCCTCCCGGGTTCAAGCGATTCTCCTGCCTCAGCCTCCCAAGTAGCTGGGATTACAGGCATGTGCCACCATGCCTGGCTAGTTTTTTTGTATTTAGTAAAGACAGGGTTTTACCATTTTGTTCAGGCTGGTCTCGAACTCCTGATCTCAGGTGATCCACCCATCTCTGCCTCCCAAAGTGTTGGGATTATAGGCGTGAGCTGCTGCGCCTGGCCCCTGTCTATATATTTTAGAGACAGGGTCTTGCTCTATCACCCAGGCTAGAATAAAGTGGCATGACCAGAGCTCACTGCAGCCTCAGCCTCCCGACTCAAGCGATCCTCCCATCTCAGCCTCCCAGGTAGCTGGGACTATAGGCTCACACCACCATGCCCAGCTACTTTTTTATTTTTGCAGAGTCGGGGTCTCACTGCGTTGCCCAGGCTGGTCTCAAACTCCTGGGCTCAAGCAATCTTCCCACTTCGGCCTCCCAATGTGCTGGGATTACAGGCATGAGCCACGATGCCTGGTCAGATTTCTTCATACTTTTTTTTGTCATTGGTATTAGCCTTTTAAAAACTATTATTGAGATATAATACCCATAACATAAACATCAGCATTTCAAAGTGTACAGTTCGGTCATTTGTATTCACAATGTTATGCAACCATCCCCACTACCTAATTCCAGAACATTTAAAATCACCCCAATAAGAAACCCCAAACCTGCCAGCAGTCACTCCCCATTCCCTCCTCCCCTACTGCCTGGTAACCGGCAGTCTCTTTTTTGTCTCTATGGATTTGCCTATACCGAATGTTCGTATTCATGGAATCACACGCTGTGGTTTTAATATTTGCCAATCTAAAGGCAACGTGAAATGGAATCTCAGTTTTCAATTTATTCAAATGCTTGAATAAGTGTTTCTTTCACACTATTCAAAATTCAAGCAGTGGCCAGCGCGGTGGCTCACGCCTGTAATCCCAGCACTTTAGGAGGCTGAGGTGGGCAGATCACCTGAGGTCAGGAGTTCGAGACCAGCCTGGCCAATATGGAGAAATCCTGTCTCTACTAAAAATACAAAAATTAGCTGGGTGTGATGGCAGACGCCTGTAATCTCAGCTATCCGGGAGGCTGAGGCAGAAGAATCGCTTGAACCCAGGAGGTGGAGGTTGCAGTGAGCCAGGATTGTGCCACTGCACTCCAGCCTGGGCAAGAGAGCGGGACTCGGTCTCAAAAAACAAACACAACCAAAACTTGAGCAGTACAAAAAAGTATATGGCAGTATGACGCTTCCTCTAAAAACGTTAAACATAGAATTACCATAGGATCTAGTAATTCCACTTCTGGGTAGATACCCAAAAGAATTGAAGGCAGAGACTTGGAGAGATATTTATACACCCATGTTCACAGCAGAATTATCCGCCACAGCCAAAAGGTGGAAGCAATGTAAATGAATAGGTGAATGGATAAACAAAATGTGGTCTATATGCACAATAAAATATTATACAGCCTTAAAAAGGAAGGATTTTTTTTTTTTTTTGAGATGGAGTCTTGCTCTGTCACACAGGCTGGAGTGCAGTGGCACGATCTCATCAGCTCACTGCAACCTCTACCTCCCAGGTTCAAGCGATCCTCCTGCCTCAGCCTCCCAAGTAGCTGGGACTACAGGTGCCCGCCACCATGCCCGGCTAATTTTTGTATTTTTAGTAGAGACGGGGTTTCACCATGTTGGCCAGGCTGGTCTCAAACTCCCAACCTCAAGTGATCCACTTGCCTCAGCCTCCCAAAGTGTTGGGATTACAGGTGTGAGCCACCGCACCTGGCTCACCCTGCATTCTTGCAGTGCCACTGCCTGGCTTAAATCCTTCCTTGGTGCCCCTCCCTGCAGATTGAAGGCCACGCCTCCCAGCCTGGCAAGAGGGCACTTGCCTGGCGACTTGTTTCACCTGGAATGATCTATGCTCCCTTCTGGCTCACTGGCCCCCGTGTCTCCTCTACTGTGAGCATCTGAGTCTTCTTTCAAAGCCCAGTGTGGCATGACCTCCTCCAGGAAGCCCTCCCTGACTGCACAGAACAAATCTCTTCCCCCTGAGGTTTACGGTCTGTGCCACATCTCTCTCCTGAAAGCCTGTGTGTTCCCCAACTGTGTCCTTGGGCCCAAGGAGCATCAGGGAGAGAAGGATGTGACTCACGGCCTCAAGCTCCTGGTTCCGGGCACGGAAGCGCTCCCTCTGGCTGGAGATGATGGAAAGCAGTGAATCCACCTGGCCCTCTGGGAGGGCACCGCTGGCTGGTGCTGCAGGTCCTAGCAGGTAGAGGAGGGTGGCTTGGGGGGTGGCAGGAGGTGGAACCCAGCAGGCGGCCCTTTGGGGTGGGTCCCCCAGCCCTGGGGGATTTCTGCCAAATGCCATGGGGTAGAAGCCACATGGTGTCTGACTCCCTGGTGCTGGGCAGGTCGGGGAAGGGGAGGGGACAGCCAGGGGAACCGGGGAGCGTGAGAATGGATGGCAGGGGCTGACCTGACAATACGCACGCTGGGGAAGGGCCCAGCACCCCCGTCTGCGCTGTCAGAGGGCCAGGCCCAGAACTCCCCTCCCAGTCACTCTGTCCTTGAATCTGAGACCCTTGCAGCTGTCAGACTAGGCCTATATCCCCTGGGGAAGCAAAGGGGCAGGAGGGGAACTGGGGAGGCATGGGCACACCCCCAGTATCCCAGTCCAGCAGCCTCAGTTTCTGTCCTCAATACCCAAGGAGGCTGCCTTCCCCTCACTGCACGGACCTCCGGCTGCACTTTGGCAGTGAGGCCTGGCTGACCACCACTCACCAGCCTTTCACAGGCCACCGGCAGGGCTGAAGGGTCAGGGCCCCAAGGTGGGGGGTGTCAGTCTAAGATCCAGAAAGGCAGGTTGAGGGCTCATTCACCTTTTTGTTTTTTAGAGACAGGGTCTCGGTCTGTCGCCCAGGCTGGAGTGCAGTGGCACCATCATAGCTCACTGCAGCCTCCAATTCCTGGGCTCAGGCGATCCTCCCACCTCGGCCTCCAAAGTAGCCGGGACTATAGGTGTGCGCCACCACACCTAGCCTTACCCGACCCTTTGAAGGTTGCTGCTGCATTGCAGGCGTGGGGGCCTGACCTTCTTAGAGGAAGGGACTACTCTTTGGGGATCTGTGTTCTCAGGCGGTATCACCTGTCTCCTCTTCCCTCCTCCTCCCTCCTCCCATGGGTCAGGCCTCTCCTTACCGTAGAATAGGGCAGTGGCCTCTTTGATGGGCTCTGGGATCTTCTCCAGGCGGTGCTCAGCGGCACCCTGCAGGTGACAGGAAGCGATGAGGAGGTGCCTCCGCACAATGGGCACGGAATATTCCCTTTCAGCATGGCCAAGGCAAATGGCAGGGTGGGTGTGGCAAGGAGTGGGTGGGGCCATCCGGGGTGCAGGCTGGCTGCAGGAGGGCCCGGACCTGGACACGTGACATGAGCTACCAAAGAAGAGATGGCTGGGCCCTGAGTCACTCCTGAGGCCAGAGTTCAGCAGCAGTGCAGCTCTCCTCGCAGCCACTCAGCTTTGACATGCATCAGACACCTGGGCCTCCCTGGCCCTGCAACCAGCCTGCCACGTGACCTGGGACAGCCCAGACTTCTCTCCCGGAGTCCCACTGTGGACTCTACAGAATGGGAGGTGGGCGAGGAGATGCTCTCCCTGGGCTGTTTATGTCCCAGCCTGCTGTGATCTCTGGGCTCCAGGTCCTTTAGCTGGGAGATGGGTGCATGGTCCTGGCCTTGCCTCTGCCTCTGCTCTCAGGGCAGTGCCTGGAAAGACGGGCCTCTGTGCTACCGCTAGGAAGCCCTGTGGCCTCTGCCCCATGGCCTGTCACCCCAAATCGGAGGCAGGGTGGTATTCATGGAGTAAGCAGGGAGAACCCAATGGTTTTAGGTGACAGCCCTTCTGGGTTGTCACCAGCTGCCTGATACACAGGCTAATCTGGGAAGTCAGTGTTTGCAGAGGCTAAGTCAGTTGGGCAGGTATCGAGATGGGCATGGGGCAGGGGGGTGGGCTCACCTCGGCATCGGGCCGCTGGATGGACTGAATGATGCTCAGGTCCTGCTCCAGGCGGGCGATCAGCTCTCTCTGCTCAGTGGCTGTGGCCACAGCCTCAGTGATACGGACTTGCAGCTCCGCACAGCGTCCTGTGGCCAAAGGAAGACATGGCCGTCAGAGGGAGCCTGGTGGGACCCTTGGTGCCCTCCCCTGGTTCTGCCTCTCCAACCCACGGTCTGGAAGCAGGGCTGCCTGGATGCTGTGAGAGTGCTGGCTATTCCCTCCCAACTCACCACTGCCTAGAAGACCCCATTAGACCTAGGGCCTCCTCCAGGAAGCCCTCCCTGACTGTCAGAGGCACTCCTGGCCCCAAGCACTCTCTGGATTGATGAAATCCCCTGGGTAGGAGAAGGAGCTCAGGTCAGGGATTAGGAGAAACCGGTGCAATGTGGCTCTGCCCACGGCTGTTTGGGGGGCCCTGGCCAGCCCCTTTCCCTCTCTGGGCCTCACTTTGCTTGTCAGGCAGGGGCAAGGAGGCTCAGGTTGCTTCCTAGCTGATGTTCTGGGATAATGTCCAGTGGGAAGCCTGGGGGTAGGAGAGGCAGAGAAAGCCGCGGGGGTGCAGTGGGGCGCGTAGGGGTGCCACCTCTGGGCTGACAACAGAGGTGCTTGGTCCCGCCCCCAACAGAGGCTCCAGCTGCAGTGGTTGGGGTGGCGTGGTCCCCAAGGAGTCCCCCGACCCACAGCCCTGTCTGTCTCTCCCTCCTCCAGGTGCCAGGGTCATCTTTATAACAAAGCATCCAAACTGTGACTTTCCTGCCCTGCAGGAGGGTGAGAGATGTCGGGGAAGGGACCCAGACCCAAGCACGCATTGCCAGGCAGGACTTCAGTGACCCAGGAGCCAGGCAGCCCTGAGGGTGAGGTTTGGCCCTGTTTCTGGTTGACTGTGCGGCTCAGGGCCACTGGATCCCCCTTTCTGGTCCCAAATGGTGACATGTAACATGGTAACAATAAACCTTGTTTAGGGTGAGCTGTTGGGGCCGCAGAGAGGGAGACTGAGGCCTGAGACCCAGGACGCTGTCCTTTGGGGTAGGCTGCACAGCCGCCAGGGGGCACTGTGGCCTCAGAAATGCACAAAGGCTGCAGGCTGTGGGCAGTGCCAGGGAAATGGTATGTGCGGCCTCCTCCGTGGACTCATCCCTGACTGCGCGGCCTGCTGACCGGCTGTCATACCTGCCCTGGCTGGGCTTAGTGTCCTGGGCCAGGATGGGGCAGCCCAGCCTCACCCCCACATGCTCCTGGGTTCCCACTGCACACCAAGTCCTTATAGATGAGTCAGAAAAGACGATTCACATTTTACAGTCAAAGAACGGAGGCTTCCCGACCTGGGACCAAACCCAAGGCATCCACCCCCAGCTCTGTCTAAGCCCTTGCTCACACCAGAGTCTCGCCTCGTTCAGGCCCCGAATGGATTTATTTTATTTTATTTTATTGAGACAGAGTCTCACTCAGTCACCCAGGCTGGAGTGCAGTGGCTCCATCTCGGCTCACTGCAACCTCCGCCTCCAAGGTTCAAGCAATTTTCCTGCCTCAACCTCCTGAGTAGCTGGGATTACAGGCGCCTGCCACCGTGCCCAGTTAATTTTTGTATTTTTAGTAGAGACGGGGTTTAGCAATGTTGTCCAGGTTGGTCTCAACCTCAAGTGATCTGTCCGCCTCAACCTCCCAATGTGCTGGGATTACAGGCGTGAGCCACCGCACTGGGCCCCTAAATGGATTTCTTCCTTCAGACATTCACTGAGCCCCTGGGTCCCTGGCAGGAAGGTGGTATCTGCGGAAGTGAGGAGGGGATGAGGGAAGAGGCAGGACCTGAAGGCAGGACCCGGCCTTGGAGGGAGGACTGTCGGGGGCAGGGTTGGGGCTGGCCCTGGGCCACCTGCAGGGACTTTAAGGAGACCCCAAAGGGGAGAGGTCCAGAGAGACGATAAATACCATGCCCTCCTGGCCTGAGTACAGAGTCCTTGGGTCCTGGCCTGTGGGATGGGATGGCAGAGCCGGCCACACATGCTTAGGATGGGAGGTGGACAGCGGTTGTGAGATGTAGGGAGAGGAAACCACCAGAAAGCTAATGGGGCCTTGGGTCACATTAATAGAGGTGAAGGTCCTGGACCAAGGGAGGGGATGCTTCAGTTTGGCCACAAACAGGAGCACATCCAAGAACCGTGCTGGGACCATGGGGACAGACTCCTGGGATAAAAAGAGGGCGTTAAGCTCCAACAAGGCTCAGGGAAGCCACATTCCACCTCAGGGATGAGGGCCTGGGGGACAGAGAGACAGGGCTGAGATGGAGAACCTTTGCAGAGGTGACTTTTGCCTGGCCAGAGTGAGCCCTTTTCCCTGGAGGTGTGCGCCTGGCAAGAGGGGTGGATAAAAAGCTGCTGAGATGATTCCTTGCACTGCCTGTTTTATCTGCCCCCAGTCTGTGACCACCCCAGTGTGGTCTTGGTCAGGTCCCTGGGGTGGCAGCAACTTGCAGCTCCCAGCACCATCCGTGGGCACCAGGGAGATGATGGGGTGCGTGGGCCTGGTCCCCGTGCACTTGTTCCTGTGTCTGCTACTGCAGGGGTGGGCACACAGTCCTGCCGTGTATGTAGGTGACATTCTGTGCAGGTGTGAGCATCCTGGCTGCAAACCCTCTATCCTAGGCTGCCCCGGTTCCCAGCTGGTGGCCCGCTATCCTGGAAAAGGCCCATGTGTTAAGCTGGCCTGGAGGCCTGGCCATTGGCGCTGCTGCAGATGCTCTGGGCACTGGGTTAGCTCCTGAGGGGATCTGAGGGTGCAGGGCTGAGTGGTTGGGGGAGGCCATCCCTGAAGAGGTGGCTTGGGGTGATAGGAGCACAGGCCAGTTGCACGGGCAGCAGAATTGGGGGATGGCTGCTGGTGAGGCAGAGAGAACAGGCTGGGTAAGACAGGGCAGCAGAGGCTGGCAGACGGTGAGACTGGAGGGAAGGCTGTGGGTAGAGGGGGGTGGACAGAGAACTGGAGGCTGCAGGGGACAGGATCTGGACACTGTCCCAGAGCCCAGCTGGATCCCAGCAGCAACCAGAGCTGTGCTTTGAAACTGTCACTCCACGCTGGGAGGAAGCGAAGGCCAGGAGACTGGCTGTGCGGGCTTCCACCAGAGAGGGGCCTCAGTTAGATGTACTTAGAGAAGGACAGGGCCTCACCGGCCACGGGAGGGTCCCCTATCCCCCACCGGCTGCCTCACCCTGCCTTCTCTGCTGGAGGCTGGAACACGCAGGTGGGGAAGCTGGGGTGACATCTCTGGTGGCCACTTGATGTCAAGTCCAGAACCGGGCTTGCATTCTGGCCCTGCCTTTTATGAATTTCACGATCTTCGGCAAGTTCTTCAACCTCTGGAGTACAGGGCTCTGGGGCGAGGACACAGAAGGAGCTGGAGAGAGAGCTGTGGACCCCATCGCTGTACAGAACCCAGGTGGGGAGGCCCGGGCCTGGCCCCCTGTGGGGGAAGGGGTGGGCAGCTGGCTGGCTCGGTTCTGGTAAGCACGAAGGTGCTTGTGAACAGCTAAGGGCATGTGTGTGGTGGGGTTTGGACCTGTGGACCTGAGGCTGGATATGCTGGTTGAGGAGATCTAGGGCCCCAACGGTCAGAGCTTGGAAGCGTTTGGGGGGGGCATGGAAGAAGACAGTAAGATGAGGGAAAGTTTGGAACTTCTTAGAGACTTGTTCGATGGTTGTGACCAAAATGCTGTAATGAGTTAAGACTGTGGGGGTGGGCGTGGTGGCTCACGCCTGTAATCCCAGCACTTTGAGAGGCCGAGGCGGGCAGATCACCTGAGGTCAGGAGTTTGAGACCAGCCTGGCCAACATGGCGAAAACTCGTCTCTACTAAAAATACAAAAAAAAAAAAAAAAAAAAAAATTAGCCGGGCATGGTGGCGGACCCCTGTAATCCCAGCTATTTGGGAGGCTGAGGCAGGAGAATGGCTTGAACCTGGGAGGCGGAGGTTACAGTGAGCTGAGATGGCACCATTGTACTCCACCCTGGGCAACAAGAGTGAAACTCCATCTAAAAAAAAAAAGACTTTGGGGTACTGTTGGAAAGGCATGATTGTATTTTGCAATGTGAGAAGGACATGAGATTTGCGTGAGGGGGCAGGGGTGGAATTATATAGTTTGGATATTCATCCCTGTCCACATCTCATGTTGAAATGTAATCAAGCCAGGTGCAGTGGCTCTTGCCTATAATTCCAGCACTTTGGGAGGCTGAGGAGGGAGGATCACTGGAGCCCAGGAATTCGAGACCAGCCTGGGTAACATGGAAAAACCCTGTCTCTACACAAACAAACAAACAAACAAACAAACAAACAAACAAAAAAACCCACACAAAAAATTAGCTGGGTGTGGTGGTGTAGCTGTAGTCCCAGCTACTAGGGAGGCTGAGATGGGAGGATCACCTGAGCCCAGGAGGCAGAGGTTGCAGTGAGCTGTGATCACACCACTGCACTCTTGCTTGGGTGACAGAGTAAGACCCTGTCTCAAAAAAAAAAAAAAGTAATTAATCCCCAGTGTTGGAAGTGGGGCCTGGTGGGAGGTGTTTGGGGGACAGGGCGGGTCCCTTGTGGCGCGGTGCTGTCTCTGAGATAGGGATCTGGTTGTTTAAGGAGCGTGGCACCTCCCCCACCCCCATTCTCTCTCTCTTCCTCCTGGCCTCGCCATGTCTCACACCTGCTCCCACTTCGCCTTCCACCATGAGTAAAGCCTCCAACGCCTCCCCAGAAGCCAAACCGACACCAGCGCCACGCTTCTGGTACAGCCTGCAGAACCATGAGCCAAAGAAACCCCTTTTCTTGATAAATTACACAGCCTCAGGTATTTCTCTATAGCAATGCAAGAACAGCTAATACAGAAAATCAGGGGTGGTGGACAGGTCCTGAGACAGTGCTGCTGTGAGGTGGCCAGAGCTTCAGGGGGTGATCCACAAAGGGGGTCCCGCAAAGACCCTGAGAAGAGGCAGCAGGAGGCAGGGGAGACAGCAGGAGGATGCATGTGAAGGCACCAAGATGAGGCAGGAGGGTCAATGAATATGGAGGGTCAGGGGGTCAGAAGCTACAGAGAGGCTGAGCGAGGCGAAGGTGTTGTCGTCGAGGTGGTGGGGGCATGCAGGGCTGCAAGGCACAGCCCGATGGGCAGAACTGGTGGAAGAGCAGTAACGTGTGCCCGAGAGGGGATCTTGAGAAGCATAGAGTGTGTGGAATGGACCATCTGCAACCCAGAAACCCAGGAGAGAGGGACAGATTTTGTTTAGGGGAGAGAGGGATGACAGGCGACGGGTGGATAAGTGAGCATAAGACAGGGAAAGGGGCTCAGAAAAGGAGTCTGTGGTGCAAGGGCCCAAGACGGTCCCCTTCCCCTCAGGAAAGACTGGGACCTCATCCTCTGGGAGAACCCACAAAGACATCCTAGAGGGGGCACCTCACAGAGGGGAGGAGGGAATCAAAGCATCTTTAAGGTCAAGACTTCAGGAGGGCCCGGTGCAGTGGCTCACGGCTGGAATACAGCACTTTGGGAGGCAGAGGTGGTAGCATCGCTGGAGCTCAGGTGTTTGAGACCAGCACGGGCAACATGGCAAAACGTCATCTCTACAGAAAAATACAAAACTTAGCCGGGCATGGTGGTGTGCACCTGTGGTCCCAGCTACTCAGGAGGCTAAGGCGGGAGGATCGCTTGAGTCCAGGAGTTCCAGGCTGCAGAGAGCTACGATTGCACCACTGCACTCCAGGCTGGGTGACAGAGCAAGACCCTGTCCCTCTCTGCACCACGCCCAAAAAAAGTCTAGGCATGATTTCTGACTGCAGAAGGATTAAATGCAGAGACTTATCATAGCGAGGCCAGCGGTGTTGTACCTACGGTTTTCCTGAAGGCGCGAGGGGCCCCTGTCTTTTTATTTTTTATTTCTTTTGAGACGGAGTTTCACTCGTCACCCAGGCTAGAGTGCAATGGTATGATCTCGGCTCTCTGCAACCTCTCTCTCCCAGGTTCAAGTGATTCTCCTGCCTCAGCCTCTCAAGCAGCTGGGATTACAGGCATGCACCACCATGCCTGGCTAATTTTTGTATTTTTAGTGGAGACAGAGTTTCGTCACGTTGGCCAGGCTGGTCTCGAACTCCTGACCTGAGGTGATCCACCCACCTCAGCCTCCCAAAGTGCTGGGATTACAGGCATGAGCCACATGCCCGGCTGCCCCTGTCTTATTAAATCACTTGCAGGCCAGGTAGGAATGGTGGAGACGCTCGGTGCACATGGTATCTCTGCTAGGAGGACACTGAGGGGGCCAAGCTGCTGCCTCATCCACCCCTCCCTGCCTCTGCACCTGTAGATCCTGCAGGTAGCCTCAGGTGACCACTGAGCCCCCCCAGCCGGCTCCCCATGCCTGCAGGTGCTGGCCCCCACCCCTATGCAATGGGGTCTCCAGCAATGCCACCCTCTCCTGCAGCACCGGCTCTTGCCTTCTACATGCATGCAAGCATGTTCTCCTAGCAGGCATGTACACATGCACACACGCCCCTTCCCTTGACCCCACTCTGGCAAAACTCCTTGAAGAAGCTGTCTCTTCTCAAGCGTCTAATTCCGCTCCTCCAATTCCTCAAGCCCTTCCCATCAGACTCTGCCACCCCTCACGCTGACTGTCCTTGCCAAGGTCCCTAATGACCTCCGCACATTGCCACGTCCTTGTTTTTCGGCTCTCATCTGAGCTGCTGTGTTAGCAGCTAGTTTCCAGGTCACCGACCCTCCTGGGCCTCCTTCCCCGGCTGGCTGCTCTGCCCTGTTTCCTTGACTGGTCCTTGCCCTCCCTGCTAAGCTTCTTGCCGCTGCTGCACAGGGACCATCCGCAGATGCCTCACTCTGCCCCCTCATCCGCTCTGGCCATGCGGGATGCCATTGACAAGCCGATGCCTCCCCAGTGTGGGACTCCAGTCCACGCCTCTCCTTGGATTTATCTTCTACTTGATCTTCTACTGGCATTTCAACCTTCACAGGTCTGAATTTCAGCCTGATCCCTTCCTCCCCAAGTCTGTACTCCCCAAGCCCAAGTGTGGACCCCTGTAGTCCAGCCTCGGGAGGTGACATCTGCAGGGATAGGCAGAGACCCCCTTCCCGGCCTGACCCAGCTCTCTGCGACCCTTCGGTGGCTCAGACCAAACCCCGGGAGGTAGCCTCACTCCTCTCCATCACTCCTGATGCTGAATCTGTCTTAAGTCTCTCTCTCTCTCTTTTTTTTTTTTTTTTTGAAACGGAGTCTCACTCTGTCACCCAGGCTAGAGTGCAGTGGCATGATCTCAACTCACTGCAACCTCCACCTCTTGGGTTCAAGAGATTCTCCTGCCTCAGCCTCCCGAGCAGCTGGGACTACAAGCATGAACCACCACGCCTGGCTAATTTTTGTATTTTTAGTAGAGACAGGGTTTCACCATGTTGGTCAGGCTGGTCTTAAACTCCTGGCTTGAAGTGACCCACCCACCTCGGCCTCCCAAAGTGCTGGGATTACAGGCGTGAGCCACTGCCCCTGCCTTAAGTCTCATTTTTGGCTCTACTTTCAAAATATCTCCAGAATCCAGTCTCTTTTTACCACTGCTGCCACCTAGTCCGAGTCATGACCACCTCTCATTGTGATGATGGCATCAGCCTCCTCATTGGCCTCCCTCTGCAACCTATGATCTGGGCACCAAGCAGCAGCCAGAGAGAGCCTTTTAAAAAGTTGGTCGGGTGCAACTGTCTCATGCCTGTAATCCCAGGACTTTGGGAGGCTGAGGCAGGAAGATTGCTTGAGTCCAGGAGTTTGAGACCAGCCTGGGCAACATAGCCAGACTGTCGCTACAAAAAATTAAAATATTAGCCGTGTGTGGTGGTGCACGCCTGTCCCTGCTACTTGGGAGGCTGAGGCAGGAGGATTGCTTGAGCCCAGGAGGTCAAGGCTGCAGTGAGCGATGATTATGCCACTGCCGTCTAGCCTGGGCAACAGAGTGAGACCCTGTCTCTTAAAAAAAATAGTGACCTTGTAGGGTGCAGTGGTTGCAAACAGCAGCCTCCTCAGTAAAGTACACAGTCTGTTTCTTTCTTTCTCTTTTTTTTTTTTTGAGACAGATTTTTGCTCTTGTTGCCCAGGCTGGAGTATAGTGGTGTAATCTCGGCTCACTGCAACCTCTGCCTCCGGGGTTCAAGCAATTCTCCTGCCTCAGCCTCCCAAGTAGCTGGGATTACAGGCGCCCGCTACCATGCCCGGCTAATTTTTGTATTTTTAGTAGAGACAGGGTTTCTTCATGTTGGCCAGGCTGGTCTTGAACTCCTGACCTCAGGTGATCCACCCACCTTGGCCTCCCAAAGTGCTGGGATTATAGGCGTGAGCCACCACCCCCGGCCACACAGTCTGTTTCTTACATGGGTTGCCCTAAGGAACGTTGGAGACAATTCTTTCCACTGGACATTTGTGTCTCTGACCTCGTGCTGTCTGTGGTCTAGGCACCAGGCAAGTATTCGGGGTGCCCTTGGAAAGCCCCAGGGTGTGACAGCCAGGGTTTATGTTGGCCAGGTCATTGTGTCTATCCGTACTAAGAGCAGAACCATGAGGGTGTGATTGAGGCCATATGCAGGGCCAAGTCTAAGTTCCCTGGCTGCCAGAAGATCCACAGCACAAAGCAGCGGGCCTTGACCAAGTTCAATGTGGAAGAAATCGATCCCACGTGGTGGCTGAGAAGCAGCTCATCTGGCATGGCTGTGGGGGTTAAACGCAGCCCCAGTTGTGGCCTCCTGGGTGAGCTTCTGAGGGCTTCCCCTGTGCTGACCCCTCCTTACTCACTCCTACCAATGAATCCTACTTCCTGTTTCCCCACCAGAGCCAGGACCCTCTGTTCAAACCGTCCAATGCCTCCCAGTTGACTCAGAGTAAAAAACAAAGCCTCAGCAATAGCCGACAAGGCCCCCATGCTCCGCCTCTCCTTGGTCTCTCTGACCTCATCGCCTCCCACTCTTCCTCCTGGTCACGGTGCTGCGGCCATGCTGGTTTCCAGAGACATTTGCACCACGAGACCTTTGAACTGGCAGTTCTCACTGCCTAGAACGTCCTTCCTTCTCACATCTGCAGGGCTCGTTCCCTCAGCTCTGCCAGTACTGTTTAGAAGTTAACTTCTGGGCTGGGCGCGATGGCTCATGCCTGTAATCCCAGCACTTTGGGAGGCCGAGGCGGGTGGATCACCTGAGGTCAGGAGTTCGAGACCAGCCTGGCCAAGACGGTGAAACCCCGTCTCTACTAAAAATACAAAAATTAGCCGGGCGCGGTGGTGGGCGCCTGTAATCCCAGCTACTTGGGAGGCTGAGGCAGGAGAATCACTTGAACCTGGGAGGCGGAGGTTGCAGTGAGCTGACATCACGCCACTGCACTCTAGCCTGGGTGACAGAGCAAGACTCCGTCTCAAAAAAAAAAAAAAAAAAAGAAGTTAACTTCTGTCTGGGAATAGTGGCTCATGCCTGTAATCCCAGCACTTTGGGAGGCCGAGGCAGGCAGATCGCTTGAGGCCAGGAGTTCGAGACCAGCCCGGCCAATATGGTGAACCCCGTCTCTACTAAAAATACAAAAATTAGCCGGGCATGGTGATGCACGCCTGTAATTCCAGCTACTCGGAAGGCTGGGGCAGGAGAATCGCTTGAACCCCGGAGGTGGAGGTTGCAGTGAGCTGAGATCGCACCACTGCACTCCAGCCTGGGTGACAGAGTGAGACCCTGTCTCAAAAAAAAAGAGAAAAAGATAATAAATTAAACAGAGAAGTGAACTTCTTAGGGAGGCCTACCCTGACCACCCGATTTAAAACTTTAACCCCTTTCGGCTGGGCGCAGTGGCTCACATCTGTAATCCCAGCACTATGGGAGGCTGAAGCGGGCAGATCACCTGAGGTCAGGAGTTCGAGACCAGAATGGACAACATGATGAAACTCCTGTCTCTACTAAAAATAACAAAAATTAGCTGGGCATGGCAGTGTGCACCTGTAGTCCCAGCTACTTGGGAGGCTGAGGCAGGAGAACTGCTTGAACCTGGGAGGAGGAGGTTGCAGTGAGCTGAAATTGTGTCACTGCACTCTAGCCTGGGCAACAGTGAGACTCCATCTCAAAAAAAAAAAAAAAAAAAGGCTAGGTGTGGTGGCTCGTACCTGTAATCCCAGTACTTTGGGATGCCAAGGCGGGTGGATCACTTGAGATCAGCAGTTTGAGACCAGCCTGGCCAATGTGGTGAAACCCCTGTCTCTACTAAAAATACAAAAATTAGCTGGACGTGGTGGCATGCACCTGTAATCCCAGCTACTTGGGAGGCTGAGGCAGGAGAATCGCCTGAACCTGGGAGGTGGAGGTTGCAGTGAGCCGAGATCACGCCACTGCACTCCAGCCTGAGCAACAGAGTAAGACTTCATCTCCAAAAAAAAAAAAAAAAAAAGTTTAACCCTTTTCACTTGCTCTTCCCATCCTCCTTATAACATTGATCACCTTCGAAGCAACTATCTCATTCACTTATTTATTACGTCTACTGTCTGTCCCTCCCACAAGAAGGTGAGCTCCTGGTTTGCCCTGTAATAACCCCAGCGTGTAAGGCAGCGGCCCACGGTCAGCCTTCGGTATGTATTAGCTCACGGGCGAGTGGATACTACCCCGCGGCAAGCATCTGTTTCCTCAGTTGGAAAGTTGCACCGGGATTCCCACAGCTGCAGGGTCTCCCAGGCTGGGGCACAGCTGGCCCTCTTTGCAATCCGTCTGATGTAAGCATCTACCACGGCTCAGTCCCACCCCATCACAGCCAAACCCAGAGGCCATGTGTGTTAGAGGAGACTAAAGACCCCAGGAGATGGGGCCTGGCCACGGGCAGCAAGACCCTGGCAGGGCCAGCCAGTCCTCTGCTGCTTCCACTGCCAGTAACTGCATAGGCCTCACTTGGATCCTTCCAGGCTCTGCCCTGCCACTGGGTGCTGGGTGAGTGGTTTCCAGGTCTTCTCACTGGGTCCTCTCAGTAACCCTGTGAGTTATCCATCCATCCATCCATCCATCCATCCATCCATGATGGAGTCTTGCTTTGTCGCCCAGGCTGGAGTGCAGTGGAGGTATCACGGCTCACTACAACCTCTGCCTCCTGGGTTCAAGCGATTCTCCTGCCTCAGCCTCCTGAGTGGCTACAGGTGCCTGCCACCACGCCTGGCTAATTTTTTTGTCTTTTTAGTAGAGACAGGGTTTCACCATGTTAGCCAGGATGGTCTCAATCTCTTGAACTCGTGATCCACCCGCCTCGGCTCCCAAAGTGCTGGGATTACAGGCATGAGCCACCTACCTCTTATTTTTTCAACTGGAGACAGGGTCTCACTCTGTCACCCAGGCCGGAGTGCAGTGGTGCAATTATAGCTCACTGCAGCCTTGAGCTCCTGGGCTGAAGCGATCCTTCAGCCTCCCAAGTAGCTGGGACTACAGGCATGTGCCAGCACATCCGGCGAATTTTAAACATTTTCGTAGAGATGGGGTCTTGCTATGTGTCCCAGGGTGGGTCTTGAACTCCCGGCCTCAAGTGATCCTCCTGCCTTGGCTTCCCAAAGCCTTGGGATTACAGGTGTGAGCCATCGTGCCCGACCGAGTTTGGCTTTTTATATCCCCTTTACAGAGACAGAAACAGAAGCACTAGGAAGTTAAACTCATTTATTCTTTCAAAGATTTCCTGAGCATCGACTTAAGACTTGCTCACGGTCATCAGCCACTAAGAGACGCTGCTGGGATCCTGATACAGCCAGTGTCTCCTGACCACAGAGACACTGACGCCTCCCTGAACAATGGGAGGGTTGTCCTCAAATCCCGCTCCCTGGAGGCCACACCACTGCCCCAAATGGGAAGCTCTGCTATTACTTATCCATACTTGATTCTGCTTAAAAAAAAAAAAGGGCTCTTCGTATTGGTATTATTTATTTTTTATTTTTTTGAGCCAGAGTCTCACTCTGTTGCCCAGGCTGGAGTGCAGTGGCGCAATCTTGGCTCACTGCAACCTCCGCCTCCTGGGTTCAAGTGATTCTCCTGCCTCAGCCTCCTGAGTAGCTGGGATTACAGACATGTGCCATCATGCCTGGCTAATTTTTGTATTTTTAGTAGAGATGGGGTTTCATCATGTTGGCCAGGCTGGTCTCAAACTCCTGACCTCAGGTGATCTGTCCACCTCAGCCTCCCAAAGTGCTGGGATTATAGGCGTGACCCACCATGCTCGACCAGGGCCCTTCCTGTTGGTATTCTAAGAGTCTGAACTTCTTGGAAAAGACAGGAACTTCAGCAATGCCTGCCTAAGGCTGGGCCCAGGCTGTGTCTCCCCTGTCTGTGGAGGCCGGTCACTCCACACTGCATGAGTCGGTTGCTAAGCAACGGCCCACTGGCCGGGAGCCTGGGCAACATCACGGTAGCTCTGTGGAGCCCTCCCAGTTCCCTGGTTGGGTCCGTACATGCAGGCCCAGGCCTCTGCCACCTCACAGGAATCAGTGATGAGCTGAAGTAGACACCAGCAAGCTGTGTGCCCCCAAAGCTGGCATGTTAAGACCGTGGAGAGGAGCAGCATGCCCCCAGGCAGCCACTCAGAGGGGCTTTGTAACAGAAGCACACAGGACCATTGCAGACAATTCAAGTGCTCTAATATATCTCATCATCACGTCGCGCCACCCTGTCTACCTGCAATTGTGTTTCTTCAGAGCATCAAATAAGGAACGCGGCTGGGTATGGTGGCTCACGCCTGTAATCCCAGCACTTTGGGAGGCTGAGGCAGGCAGATCACTTGAAGTCAGGAGTTCGAGATCAGCCTGGCCAACATGGTGAAACCCCATCTCTACTAAAAATACAAAAAAAAAAAAAAAAAAAAAAAAAGCCAGGTGTGGTGGCGGGCACCTATAATCCCAGCTACTTGGGAGGCGGAGGCAGGAGAATCGCCTGAACCCAGGCGGTGGAGGTTGCAGCGAGCCGAGATTGTACCATTGCACTCCAGCCTGGGTGACAGAGCCAGACTCCATCTTAAAAACAAAACGAAACGAAACAAATAACAAATAAGGGGCCGGGCGCGGTGGCTCACGCCTGTAATCCCAGCACTTTGGGAGAACCAGGTGGGTGGATCTTCTGAGCTCAGGAGTTCGAGACCAGCCTGGGCAACATGGTGAAACCCCTTCTCTGCAAAAAATTAGCCAGGCGTGGTGGTGCACACCTGTGGTCCCAGCTACTTGGGAGGCTGAGATGGGAGGGTTGCTTAAGCCTGGGAGGAGGAGGTGGTGACAGACTGAGATCCTGTCTCAACTTTCTGAGGAAAAAGACTTTGAGCTAAGTGTTCCTTTTTTTTTTTTTCCCCCCAAGATTTAGGGTCTTGCTGTGTTGCCCAGGCTGGAGTGCAGTGGTGCCATCATAGCTCACTGCAGCGTTGAACTCCTGGGCAGAAGTGATCCTCCCACCTCAGCCTCCAGAGTAGCTAGGACTACAGGCACATGCCACCATGCCCAACTAATTTTTTATTTTTTGTAGAGATGGGGTCTCACTATGTTGCCCAGGCTGGTCTCAAACTCCTGGGCTCAAGCCATCCTCCTGCCTTGACCTCCTCCCAAAGTGCTGGGCCTATAGGAGTTACAGGAATGAGCCACTGTGCCCAACTGTTCTTTCTTCCTTCCTTTCCTTCCTTCCTTTCTCTTTTCTTTCTTTTTTTTTTTTTTTTAACATTTCTTATTTTAATTTAGTTAGCAGATCATGAAATACATAGGGGCATACCTAAACTAGCAAACAGAAAAATTAACCACGTTAGACTTCAGTCTGTCAAATACCAAACTGGCAGAGTTCTTAGGGTTATTTTTTTGTTTGTTTGTTTTATTGAGACTGAGTTTCGCTCTATCGCCCAGGCCGGAGTGCAGTGGCACAATCTCGGCTCACCGTAACCTCTGCCTCCCAGGTTCAAGCAATTCTCCTGCCTCAGCCTCCCAAGTAGCTGGGATTACAGGCACCCGCCACCATGCCTGGTTAATTTTTGTATTTTTAGTAGAGACGGGGTTTCACCATGTTGGCCAGGCTGGTCTTGAACTCCTGACCTCAAGTGATCCACCGGCCTCGGCCTCCCAAAGTGCTGGGATTACAGGCGTGAGCCACTGCGCTGGGCCAGCTCTTAGGGTTTTATGCAGGCCTCTCCTATCTGAGGGGACCAGCATTTTGGGCAACTCTAGAGACACCCCCGGCCCTAAGTGACTGCATCAGACACGGGGCTGCCGAGGGCACCTGGCACTGGGGGGTGTCTCCATCCCATACTCTGGGTTCTCCCACTGGAGGGAGGATTGAATCCAGTTGAATTGGGAGAGGGGCTTACGATTCTGTATCACATGTGGACATTTCACAATCTGAAATCTCCAAATTAATATGCGACCAAGTCATCCCCCACTTCCACCAGACACACGTCGGCCTGGCAGACAGCTCTTTTCCAACCCAAGACGAGCAACAGCCTCTGAGTCACAACTGCGCGGAGAAGCCTAACAGCCACCTCTGCAGAGCTCTCCCCCCACCTCCAGCCCGAGCGCCATCTGGAAAGAGACTCTTCTCAGTAGCCCCGTCATTCCAGAGACCCGCAAGCCACTGTCCCACTCGCAAGCATTAACTGGTGCCTTTCACTTGTCTTTCTGTTACATCAGGAGTCAGGGGCACAGTGAGACCCCCACACAGAAGGCTGAGGCCACGCCACTGACCAGCTGCAGGCCACACGGCAGAGGAGACTGGCCGTAGTCCTGGTCGCCCAAGTGCCATCGATTGGGGCTGCCACCACCAGCCCAGTGCCGCACCAGCACTGGCCACCATTCCTGGTTCCCCACAGCAAGCCTATATGACAGGAGATGGTGTCTCCATTTTACAGAAAAGGAAGCGGACGCCAGGGAGGGTAAGGGCTTGGTTCAAGGGTAGGCAAACAGTGCTGGTGACAACAGCAAGTAGGAACGCAGGCCCTGGCGAAGCCCTTCCTGTGAACCAGATGCAGATTGACAGAGCAGTGCCCGAGATCCCCATGTATCCTAGAACCACACGGTTTTCTGTGTGCCCGGAAGCCACACGCCCGAGGACCTGCGGACAGGTGCAAAGGGGACGACCTCGGGAACGGCGATTCTTGAGGTGCCCTTTGGACCTCGAATGACAGTGTTTGCTGCTCGTCCTCAGGCCAGAGCACTTTAAATAAAAACAACCCACACATTCTTGTGTTTGTATAAAAGATATTTACTTCAATTATCACACCTAGGGTGCTAGTGAATAATAATACATGGTGTGAGTCTCATACAGTGATATTGCTTCTCCGTATTATATAGGGACCGTTGTACAGTGCTGAGAACAAACATCGTATGGCTAACCAAAGACAGAGGGACAACACCAAGGGGCCGACGGGTGCCTCCCCCACCCCCACGCCAGCCAGGTCAACTTTGACTCTTAATGTAGAAAAACAAATAGCAAGAAATAAAATGTTACCAGAGAGATGTCACACAGCAACACACCAGAGGCATCTCAAAGCGATTTGTACAAAAAAAAAAAAAAAAGACGACTTTTTTTTTTTCCTTTTTTCTTTTTTGGTCAATTGGGTCTCTGTGAGGATTGGAGAAAAAAATCTGTGATTGTGAGGATGAACAAACAAGCTCTAGAAAGATCTAAGACTTGGTGCGTTACAGAAAATATAAAATACTGCTAAAATGTAAGACGTGACAAAACGCTAGAGTGGGGGTGGGGTGGGGGGAGCTGAGCTTATAGAGAGTTTTCCGGAAGATTCCGCCACCCTGTGAGTGCGTCTTGTGCTGTTAGTAGTCTGGACAGGAGCGTGGTGCTACCCGCTCTCAAGGCAAGCAGCAAAGAGTTATTGCACAAACGCAAAGAACTAGGTCTCTTATTCAATGCAAAGGGATGTGGGGAAAACCACCTTCTTTTTACCCCCACTTTTATTTTATAACAAGCTATTCTCCAATGTTTTAAGAATTTTGGGTGAATTCTCACATCTCCAGAATACACGGGATTTTTTTTTTCCAAGAGGTCTCAGATGGGGGTACGTGAGATGCCCGTTTTCTCAAGGGAAGAGGCAGAAGATGGTTTGAGAGAGAGAAATGCATAGACTAATTAGAGAAAAATGAAAAAAAAAAAGGCTTCTGGGGAGATGGGGACCATTGTTTCGGTGGAGGGTTTCTTTCAAAGAGAGAACAAAATCAGGGCCCCCGGCAATCTTGGAGAAGGGGAGGTGATGATATGGAAAGAGATGCTCTTCCCAGCCTACCTTGGGGTGAGCAGGGCCCTTGCCTTGGCCTGGGGTAAGTTTCCTTCTGCTGGGCCCATGGGATCAAGGCAGGGCGCCTCACCTTCACACCTGATTGGCAACAACTGGGTGTCCTGCTGGCTGAGCTTGGGGCCACAGCAAGCAATCTCCACACCCAACCTTCCTCCACGTTGAACCACCTATAGGGGAAAGGGGCCCTCTGCCTATGATCTCCTAGGTGAGCCCTCAAGCCACAGCCTGGTACTACAAAACACTGTTGCTTTGAAAGATGGTTTTGACCAACTTTGTACGCAAGAAAAACAACAACAAAAAACCAACCAAAACGTATCAACCCATGCGGGCCTTGCAAGAAATCACTCTCTCGCTTGGAGGTAAAGTCTTGGCCAGGCCACCGCGCCCTCTCTGACCACGGCTCGCCGAAACTTCATGAACCCAGAAGTCTTACCAGAGGCTCTAGGAGGCTTTGGGGAACTGAACTTGGCTTTGCTAAGATTCCTCTGAAGCTCCTCAAGCGAGCATTCTTCAACTCAGCAACTCCCTCACACGTTGGTAAATTTTTTTGTTCATAAACACTCTCATTTAAAAAGTTAGACACATAGAGACCACCAGTTTTTGAGTGGCTACTCTGGAGACAGGTGTTTGATTTTGCTGGGGAAACCCCCTCTGCCCCCCAGTCAATCCCCCAGACGCCTTGGTTCTCTGGGGGAGTAGGGGAGGAGAGGAAGGCAGAGGATAGTAACCACTAGAGTGACAGCAAAAAGCATTTATGACAACAAAACACAAAATAACAATACACTCCTGATAAGTACTTAAATGATTAACCTAATAATAAATAGAAGAGGATAGAAATAATTTTTTTTTTCTCAAGGAAACATCCTTTTATAATCACCCTCACGCACGCCGGCAGGTCAGTAGCAGTCAGTCCATTTCAACAAGACAAGATTAAGTGCTGGAAGGGATGGCTGTGGCCTCAGACACTGGGGAAGGGTCTCAGCTTCTGAATCACGGATACTCCCTATCCTGCCTCGTCAGGCCAGCGGCTCCGGCCAGAGCCCGCGGGCCCTGCACGCCCAGCACAGTGGTCACCAAGAGGCAGGCTGGGAGACTGGAGGGAGTCGGGGAGGCCTGTTTTCCCTTCGGTTCATGAACAAACGGAACTACAGTGAACAAACTCATTCATAACCTGAATCGTCCTGGTCTAAAGCTTACTTTGAGTTCATTTGGTGTGCAATACGTTATTTTTTTAAAATGAAGAAAAATGATTTCAATTGCACAGAGCTTTTACACATAGTCATCTATTTAAGTGCTTTCCGTTTAAAGCAAAGTACAAAAAAAATAATAAAATAATAAAAAAGAAGAAGGAAAAGGGGGGAAAAAAGAATTATAAAACAAAAGCAGCTCCGTGCCACTTCAATGTGTCTTGCTGAATGGTCTCTTGTTTCACCAGCAGAAGTCCCAATGCTTCCGTACACACTGTGCTTCTGATTAATTTCCATAGGGATGTAGCCGTGACATTGGGATATAAGGCACCTTTTCTTTCTGATTACAGAAAGCTTGATACATAGCATATAGCATATTTTGTGGTAGAAATTAAAGCGTAAACACTACAGAAATTACAGTAACGTAGACTAATGCTTTCTTAACATTATCGGGTAAACTAAAAGGATTCATGAAAAGCAACTCAAAGGCATCTTAAGAGTTTAAGAACGGGGGCATGGGGGAAGTGCACATTTATGCATAGCCAAATGTCTTTCTCTCGCCAGCCTTTTTTTTTTGTCTTTTTTTTTTTTTGGGATTTTTCGCCTACAATGCCCAACTTTTAAAGTTAGCATTTTGGAGGAGACTAGGCGCTTTGGAAATGTCTTGTTAAAGCTAAATGTCACTTCATCCAAAAATGAAAACTCGAGATGATGCCACGGATGGCATGGACACGGTTATCTTTGGAGGGAAGGTGGTGGTGGGAGAGGCCTGGGCAGGAGGAGGCAGTTTTTGGAAGTCGGGCAGACAGGCGGAAATTGCATTTCCTTCTATTCCCCTGACCAGGGTGGTGAGGAGCACAGGCCGCCGGGGCCTCTGGGATTGGGAAGACTGGGCTGGGGGGCCGGGAGTAGGGCTGGGGCTTGTTTTACGCTCTGCCCCCCACACCCCCTCCTCTTCCGTCCTGATTAAGCCCAAGGGTTGGTGGACTTAACTTTCAGCCCATCTCTAAGGGTTTCACAGACTGGATCTTTCTAAACTTTATTGGGTACCTGCTTCCCCTTTTCCCTGGTAGTTTTCATCTACAAAAAGTCAAAACCTGATCGAAATAGAAATAAGATCATCAAATTGGACCATTCTCTTAGCGTTCGAGTGTGCCGGCCAGACTGGCATTCAGTACACGCTGAGATCCAACCACATCACACTGGCCTCAGGTCACCACCTCGCCACTCAGGGCACAAGCCCTGCCCTTGTGGTCACAAAGGCTTCCCTAATGTCGTCGATGCCCAGGTGAAACCACAGAAGCACTGAGGGCTTTCTAAATGTGAGCTTTGGCTGGTCAATGCCCAAGCACAGGATGCTGTCCCCATCCTTAGGTTCTTACTTGCAAACTGTCTCCAGCAGGGGAACACTTTGGCCCCCACAGTGGACAGACCCACCTCCAACCACCAGCCCCAGGAGCTGATTTTCTTCGGTGCTGGATGGGAACTGGCATATTCTTTTGGGATAAGAGGGTGATGCCACTGTGGACGGGGCGTGTAGGCTGGAGGAAGCCATCTATCCTTTTCCGTCTTTGAGATGTTTGATGTTTGCAAAGGAGTGTTCGCAGTGACGCTAAAACCATGCCAGAGACAAGAGACACCCAAGAGCTACAGTGTTCCCCAAAGCCAGCTGGGAACTTTGGGGCAGTCCGGGACAAGGATAATGGCCATGATGGATCTTAACAGCTGAGCAGGACTGGACAGAAAGGAAGGCGGACCAAAGACAAGACCCTCGGAGCCCCGAGACCACGCCCTGCCTGCAAAAGAAACAGCTGCTGGAGCTTTGGGAACAGGTGGAAGGGAAACATCCGTGTGCCTTGCAGAGCACAGCTGTTTGTCCGTGTTGCGCTCACAAAAGGAGAGACACACAAAGCCGGCCCACCAGGCAGAGGGATGTTCGTGTCTGCTGCGCTGGCAGCTTTTCTGCTCTCTCCAGCCCACGTGCCTCACAGTTCTGTGGGGTGTGGTTCTGGGTGACATCAGATGGAGAAGACAGGTTAGTGAGGTAGAAGGGACAATGAGGAGTGTGAAGAAGAGGGAGGACATCTGGGGAGGGACAGGGCCCCCCACCGGCAGCACAGGAGCCAAACCTCCAGCCTAAAGTACCACAGCAAATAGCCCAGCACGCCCACCGCTCATGCCCCGTGTTGCTACATCTCGCCCTGTACAGCTGGCTTGTCGGCCTTGGGATGAGTAAGGTCTATGGGCTTTTGTTTTTACTGGTCTGCCAAGAAGCGCCTGTCATACTGCATTTAAGGCAAAGGCTGTCGCCCCTCAGTTCAAAATCTCTCTGCTTTTGTGTGACTCCCAGAAGGACATGCGTCTGTTCCCCTGGCTCTGCTATTTTTCAGTAAGATTTGCTTTGCTAAAATCAGAGGAATGAAAAACATTGCATAGAATGTCAACAGAGTTCATTGATCACCCTTGCATCAAAGGACATGCATGCAGGAGGAACAAAGTCATCCAGTCCAACCTTAGTCGGGAAGGCACCTGCCCGTCAGAGAGCTCACCTGGGGACTCCTGTTCCCCTCTCTTTTTAGGGCCTGGCTGTGGCATAATCTTAAAGTAGTCAGCCGAGGCCCACAGCGATCTCTTTGCAGCCTGTGTAAACTGGTCATGAGCTGCACGCCTGATGCTGGCCCTGGCCAAGGAGGGAGATGGGGTATGAGAGCTGGCCACCTGGGCTTGGGCGGTGGCCAGAAAGGAATATTTAACCCAGAGCTCTGCTGCACTCTGGGCCCGGACCGCCAACCAGCAGACCTGAACGTCCACATCAGACAGGATGGTTTTTCAATGGGAAGAAAACAAAGATGGCGACAGGAAGGAAACTGAGCAGGGAGGTATTTGTACTTTGGAGGTACAAGGGATCTACCCCAGGGAGGCTGTCGACTGGTATCTTTTGCCTCAATTACTTGCACAAAGTAGCAGGTTTTGATGGTGGGTCCCTGTGAGCCACGATCCTGGCATTTCTCAGAGAGTTCTCCCATGCATGCATCCCTGGGCTGTCACCCCAATCCTGTCCCAGGAGACGCTTAGAAGCTGCCTCATGCCAAGATGCCTCCTAAGATCGTCTAGAAGAATCCAATTGAGCTAAGCTCCATGGCTCTGATAACCCTTTCTAAAGAGAGGTCTGGTGAGCAGAAACCACAGATGTCTTCACTGATACAGAAGTTCAAGAGGAGGTTACCAGGGAGCTCGGGGGTTGGGGAGGAGGACAGAAGACTCCTCTGGGGTGGAAGTGAGTTGGGCACAGGTCTAGGACAGAACTCACACACCTGCCATCTCGGCTATCACAAGGGAGCTTGGGCCGGAACTCCGGGTCAAGAGGCTAAATGCAAACACTGATTTTACCCCGAGCCTCTGCTTAGCCAGCTAAGTTAATGGCAAAAGCCTTAAGTTATGAACAATGCCTCCAATTAACAAAAAGAAGCCATTTAAAATGGCATAATGGAGCTTGTAATTAAGTGTTAGTGTTTTATATGGAACCGTTTCCCCCAGGGGAGAGGTACAAATCAGCTTTTTAAACTCATAGAGCGTGAAGAGGAAGGGGGTCGGCTGCCTGCGGGGGCCACTGCTTGGAATGCCAGCCTGCTGAAGGGGAGCCATGCCGAGGGGACACTGTTCAAGGCACTTGAATACTGCTTAGCAAGATGAGAGATTAACCCTTAGACTCCAACTGAGGGGCCCAACCAGGAGGGGGTGCTCCCCTGGCCACGGATTGCTGTATTATTTTAGTGGCAGCTCTTAGAAGTATTACAGACAGTGCTAGCTTCACATCAAAGATCTAAGGTTAGGATCTCTATTTTTTTTAAAAAAATAAATAATAGAGGAAAAAAAATACACAGAACTGCAAGCAAAATTTAACCAACTGATTGTATCTGGCACCAGATGTAAGTCTGGCAAAAAAGACAGAATGGGAACCAACAGTAACCTAGTTAAAAATCTAAGAAGTAAAAACAGAAAAGAGAAAACAACACATATGACTAAATTGCTTGGGAGGGTCAAAATGACTGCATTTTAGACTGTTACTGTTTGGCCACTAGAATGGACAAATCTGTATTTGTCAATTTCCTCAGATTTAACACCTTTGTAAATAACAGTCATGCCTTTAAAACTAAACCCTAGCCTACTATTTCCTGTTAACTTCTTTTCATTCTTATGAAAATTAGACGATATTTAAAGATTCATCACACATGATGACAAAAGTCCCTTGAGGGTTTTGTGGAGAGGACACCACAGTCGTCAGGGCTCTGCCACTCACTGTCCTAAGGGTCACCGATGTGAACTCACTCTTCTCAATGCACCTGAATCGAGCTAGATGTTGACCCGTGTCCCCTTAAGCTCCTCTAATTTTGAATTCTCTTCTCCCTGAACTGGATTTCAAGTTCAGAAATGATACCCCCAACAAAAGACAAACGAACAGCCTGCCTCCCAGCCCCCTAGAGCCTTCTGAAAACTTCTTATTCATGAAAAGGCATTGTCTTTAGTGTAGTGACTCTTGAAATTTGTGAAAACGTGAACTAAGTGCTGCAGCTGCAGGTTAAAAGACTGTAAATGAAATAATCTCTAAAACATCATGCAAGAAACGTGGTTTCACATCTTACAGTCAAAGTCCTACAAGTTAATTAACAAGCACACGGAGGTGGAACAGCCAGAGCATACCTTTAAAATTATAACTCCCTCCCACCCCCCAAATAAAAAAAAAAGTAATATTAATTAAACTTAAGAAATAATGAATGCACCATTAAAATGTCATCCAAAGATGTTGACCTAAGACAAAGGTTTCAATGATACACAATACGGTCAAAAAGTTTTCAATCAGTAATATACAGTATGACAACTACATCTTGTAAATTATACCCAATACTGCCGGCAGTCTATCCCTCTAAAGAATATTTGCCCCTTTCATCCCTTCCTAACAATCAGATAATAAAATACAGCACCTATAAATAAGCAAAAAAAAATATATATATATACCGAAATCATCTATTGTTAGTTTAAAGATATGGCAATAAAGAAGTCTAAATTAGCAAACTTGTAGAAGCCGTAACTGATAAAACAGCTTATTGAAAAAGGTGGCAGTAATGCACTCTACGTGTGCACAGGTACTTAAGAAAATACACAGACGTATAAAATTGCACACACGCACACGCACGCACACTCTCACCCGCCTCTATTCTCACGCATATACACATAGACAAGGGAGGAATCAGAGACAAGTTAGACTTTCAGTTTGTACTTAGACTGCCCTAAAACTGTGCATAAAAAGAACTAAGAGGCGAAATGAAAGAAGGGCAAATGGTAGGTTTGGAAGTTGAAGAGCATCCACGTTTTGGTGTGAGTTTGGGCCATTTCTACAGGGATGGGAGTGGGGAGCCCAGAATGCCACGTTCTCTCTCCTGCAGAGAAAGGAAGTTTCCCACGAGTTCAACAGGGTCATCAGTGCTTGCGGTGGGAAGAAAAAGGGAAAGAAGAGAGAGAGTGCGCGTGTAAGCCCTGCCCAGGCCTGGGGAGTGTCTTCCCCTGGGAGGGCTCAGTTCATCAGGTATCCAGGAGAGTGGTGTGAGGTGAGGTGCCTTCTGTGCCAGAGAGAGATCCGTAGACTGCTATCTACTTGGGGATGGGCCCGTCTGGCCCTGGAACTGCCTGCTGTGCTCGCCCGGACTACTCTCTCCTTTCTTTCAATGCTTGCACACGTGCAGACGCACAGACAGATTGAGACACCATAAATTAAACAAAATTAACAGGTACATGCTACAGTTCTAACTTGTCTCCTAAACCTCCAAGATATGAGGTCTGATCAGCGTGCTCTGCGGTTAGAGGTTAAAAAGCAGATTATAAAATACCTAGATTCGGATCTTTTCTTTTTTTTTTTTCTTTTTTTTTCTTTTTTTTGTCCTGATTTGGCCTAGAATGGAGTGTATTAAACAAACCCTGGTCTGCAAAACCCAGGGTCAGTTAAAGCTATACATCAATGTGCACTACATGTCAGGATTCTATTCACGTACAAGAAAACACTATGTCAGCTACCACAAAATCAGAGTTTCCTGATGTGACGTTTTCTTTTTGTTAAAAAATATGTGGAGTAAATGTGTTTTATTTTAATTCAAAGTTTCAAACGAGAAGATTCTTTTCTTGAAAATATTTAGGAATCCAAACTAGTGTGTTTAGAGTCGTTTTGACTGTGCAATCTCTTAGTGGCAACTGAACAGCTACAAAAACTTTCTTTTTTAATTTTTCTGAAAAATCCCACCCCCCCTTTTATTTTTTCCTGGTTTAAGAAGATAATAGTGTATTATCGCTCTGAAGCCATTAGATGGCAGATAAAAAGCCCCCTTTTAATATGTGGGTTTGATTTTTTTTCTTTTAAAGCCCACACGGAACAGGAGGACACAAGGCAAAGCTGTAAGAGTTATTCCAGAACCTGTGGAAATCACTTAGGGCAATAAAAAAAACACTTCAGGGTACAAAAAAGCTCGACCACACATTTCCGTTTTCTTCCTTGAAAACACGACATAGATTGGGCTTAATGCTCCTTTGTTTTCTATATGCACCTTGGCCTATGGCGATTTTGCCCTGTGGCCCGCAGGGCGGTAAGTGCGCAAAGCGGTCCAGGGGTCCAGGCCGCGGGCTGGGTCTGGGCCGCGGGGTTGGTGGAGGCCGCAGGGTCGGCCCGGGCCGCAGAGTGGGTCTGGGCCGCGGCCTTGGATCTGGGCCTCGGGTCGGTGCAGGCCGCGGACCGTGGAGGGGGTCTGGGCTGCGGGCTCAGGTCCGGCCCGGGGTCGGTGCAGGCCGCGGGCCAAGCCCAGGCCACGGTGTCCGCAGCGCCTGCCCCGTCCGACCCCGTCCAGGCCCTTGCGGCCCAGCCTGGCTGCCCGCCCCAGGGCCGCGGCCCCTCAGAACTCCCATTCGATAGGTTCCTCCCGGCTGGCGGCCTTCTCCAGGCGGTGGATGATGCTGTTCAAGTTCGCGGCCTTCTTCTTGCGCAGGGGGTTGTCGCGCGAGTCCCGGGCGCCCGCGGCCTCGGGGAGGCCGAAAAGGCTCTGCAGCGAGCTGGGCCTGCGGGGGGCGCTGCTGCTGCTGCTGTTGCTGGGCGGCGGCGCGGAGCTCGGGGCCGCGGGGCCCTCCCCCGGCGCGGCGGCGGCTGAGGTAGCGGCGTCCTCGGGGGCCGCGGGCGCGGCGGTGGCGGTCGCGGAGGCGGGGCTGGGCAGGGGCCCCGGGCCTTCCACGGGGCCTCCCTCGTGGTCGTCGTCGCGGGCGTCGTCCGGGCCCGGGGTCCCCGAGGGCGGCGGCTCCGTCTGCTCCGCCGGCCGCGGCACCTCCTCCCGCTCGGCCTCTCCCTGAGACTTGGGCTCCTCGGTGTCGGCGCTGCCTGGGCCCTCAGTGGCCTCCACGCCGTCGCAGCTGTCGCCCTCCGAGCTGGGCGCCGCCCGGCCGCTGCGGGCCGAGGGTGAGTCGCTGGCGCCCGCCTGGCCCTGACTCCCGGCCTGAATTTCCTCAATGAACAGTTCTCTGCGGATCCGAGACCTACAAGACAACAAGCGGCGGGGACGTGAGGGGGGTGCTGCTGGGGAAAGGGCCTCTGGTGCTACCCCAGCCAGACCCCTCTCTCTGGGGCTCCTGCTCCGTCCAGCCTGGAGGCCCCTCCGTGCCCCTCCAGCGACCCTCGGGCCACGGGGCAGCCCCTCTCCAGAGTCACCACCCACCCCTCCGGGCCTGGCCAGGAGCCATCCCAGGGCTGGGACACCACTCCCCTATTCTCCACTGCAACAAATTGCCGCGGGCACTTATTTTAATTTTTATTTTTTGAGACAGAATTTCCCTGTTGCTGCCCAGGTGGAGTGCAGTGGCTCAATCTCCGCAGACTGCAACCTCTGCCTCCTGGGTTCAAGCGATTCTCCTGCCTCAGCCTCCAGAGTACCTGGGATTACAGTCACCCACTACCACATCCAGCTAATTTTTGCATTTTTAGAAGAGATGGGGTTTCACCATGTTGGCCAGGCTGGTCTCAAACTCCGGACCTCACATGAGCTATCTGCCTTGGCCTCCAAAAGTGCTGGGATTACAGGTGTGAGCCACTGCGTCCGGCCACTTATTTTATTTTTCAAAAACCTTTTGGAAACAAGGCCTTGTTCTGTCACCCAGACTGGAGTGCAGTGGTGCCATCACAGCTCACTGCAGCCTCCAACTACTGGGCTTGAGTGATCCTCCCATCTGAGCCTCCTGAGTAGCTAGGACCACAACTGTGTCACTATGCTTGCTAATTTTTAAATTTTTTAAAGAGATGGAGTCTTGCCATGTTGCCCAGGCTAGTCTTGAGCTCCTGGGCTCAAGCAATCTTCCTGCCTGGGCCTCCCCAAGTGCTGGGATTACAGGCATGAGCCACCACTTCTGGCCAGGGTTCTTATCGAGTGACACGTTTCCTCCATCCCATCCCATCCCGCTCCAACTAGACTGAGAAAGGCAAGGTCCTATTTATTCTTTGTACACCCAGGCCTTGCACTGGCGCCTGGTGTGCAGTAACGAAGGCTGGGTGAGTTCATCAGTGAAACTGCCTGATAACCGCTGCATCCATCAGGACTTCAGGAGAGAGGACCAATTATTGGATAGTGGCCAAAGTGACAATTTTAATCTCTGAGCCACAGAAGGTCAGGTTGGGGGCTTGTGGTCCAGGGTAGGGTGGAATTCCACCAAATTCTGTATTTTTTCTTTCTTTTTTTTTTTTTCCTTTCCTTATTTTACTTAGAGGCAGTGTCTTGCTCTGTCACTCAGGCTGAAATGCAGTGGTGTGATCATAGCTCCCTGCAACCTCCACCTCCCAGGCTCAGGTGATCCTCCTGCCTCAGCCTCCTGAGTAGCTAGGACCACAGGTGTATACCACCATGCCTAAATTTTTAAAATATTGTAGAGACAGGATCTCATGATGTTGCTTAGGCTGGAGTGCAGGGGCAAGATCATAGTTTACTGCAAACTTGACCTCCTGGGCTGAAGTGATTCTGCTGCCTTGGCCTCCCAAAGTGTTGATACTACAGGTATAAGCCACCAAGCCCGGCCAATAAGGCTTTCTGAGGCTGGGCATGGTAGCTCACGCCTGCAATCCCAGCACTTTGGGAGGCTGAGGCGGGCAGATGGCTTGAGGCCCGGCGTTCGAGACCAGCCCGGCCAACATGGTGGAACCTTGTCTCTACTAAAAATACAAAAATTAGCCAGGCGTGGTGGCAGGTACCTGTAATCCCAGCAACTCAGGAGGCTGAGGCAGGAGAATCTCTTGAACCTGGGAGGTGGAGGTTACAGTGAGCCAAGACTGCCACTGCACTCCAGCCTGGGCGACAGAGCAAGATCCTGTCTCAAGGGAAAAAAAAAACAAAGGTTTTCTGGGCTCCTACTCTGCGCCGGGTCCTGTGCTGACTGTGGGGACTCCCCTGGGGAAGATCCTACTGTAGCTTAGCCCAGGGTATTGAACTCTGGTGGGGTGCAGGGGGTTGTGAATCTGCTATGGAGTTATTTGATTCCTGCGTGCAGTGAGCTCTGAACCTTGTCCTGAAAGATTTGTGAGCTCTGGTTCAGAAAGGAAAGGTTCTGAGAAGCCCCCCAGAAGTTCCAAGGTGTGTAAGTCTTTCCCCCTTCCCTGGGGCTACCTTGGGAGCCCAGGAAATGGTGGCTTCTGTGAACAGGTTCCTGGGCGCTATGGCTTTCAAGTTCCTTGGCAGTGAGACTGCTAGTTGGGGTGAAACTCTCCACCCCACCTATTCTGGTTGGGGAGGCGGGAGGCTATATGGGTAGTGAAGGTTTGGTCCCAGCCCGACCCAAAACCAGAGTACAGGCTTTTTGGAAGCAGGCACACTTGGGTTGGATATCTGGCTAAGGTGCTTACTAGCTGTGCAACTTGGAGAAGTTATTTAACCTCATAGCCATAGCATTCTGTGAGAAATAAGAAAATTTCATTTTTCATTTTTTTTTTTTTTTGAGAAGGGAGTCTCACTCTGACGCCCAGGCTGGAGTGCAGTGGTGCGATCTCAGCTCACTGCAACCTCTGCCTCTTGGGTTCAAATGATTCTCCTGCCTCAGCCTCCCAAATAGCTGGGACTACAGGTACGTGCCACGACAACTGGCTAATTTTTTGTATTTTAATAGAGACGGGGTTTCACCATGTTGGCCAGGCTGGTCTTGAACTCCTGACCTCAGGTGATCCACCTGCCTTGGCCTCCCAAAGTGCTGGGATTACAGGGGTGAGCCACCACGCCTGGCTACAACTTCAGTTTTCTTATTTCTTGTCTGAAAAATGTGGAGAATGGTATCTTCCTTGCAGAGAAGTTATTAAGATTAAATAAGGTATTAAATGTATGATGTAGGACCCAAAGTAGCCATTCAAAAAGGGGTCACCCTTCCCCCTATCCAGCCGCTGTTTGTGTGCTGTGATAAGCCCTAAGGCTGGGGTGGGGAGCGGACACCGTTAGGCATGGGGCTTGTGTTTCCATGCTCATGAGCTTGGCCCCTGTGTGCAGACTTTGCCTGTAAAATGGGGCCAGCAGCACTGCACTTGGGTGCTGATGGAGGGACTAATAAGATGATATATCTATAAAACTGTCTGCTCAGGCCGGGTGCAGGGACTCATGCCTATAATCCCAGGGCTTTGGGAGGCCTGGGTGGGAGATCACTTGAGCTCAGGAGTTAGAGACCAGCCTGGGCAAAATAGCAAAACCCCATCTCTACAGAAAAATACAAAAAATTAGCCAGGTGTGGTGGCATGCACCTGAAGCCCCAGCTACTCCTGAGGCTCAGATGGAAGGATTGGCTGAGCCTGGGAGTTCAAGGCTGCGGTGAGCTGAGATTTTGCCACTGCACTCCAGCCTCGGCGACAGAGCGAGACCCTTTCTCAAAAAACCAAAACCAAAACCAAAATCAGAAAACAAACAAACAAACAAAAACCTTTTTGGCTCAGTGCCTGGCACATGCTTTGTGCTCCACAGATGTGAGACATCATCCTTTTTAGCCTAGATTTGTCTCCATATTTCTAAGGAATACTGTCTTCTGGCCTAGAAAGATGAGCTTCCAGGAGCAGTTGTGGTTTTTAGGGAAGTCACACAAGGCTCGCAGAATGCCGTGGCTGCGAGGGTTCAGAATCTGAGTTCCTAACTGGGTGGACCTGTTTTTCCAGGGGAGAGCAGTGTCCTGTGGCATGTTGTTCTGGCAATCTCGTCATCAATCCTGGGTAAATGGTCAGCCTGAGATATGTTTTTTTTTGCTGGGGGACAGGGTCTTGCTCTGTTCCCCAGGCTGGAGTGCAATGGCATGATCACAGCTCACTGCAGCCTCAACCTCCTCAAGTGATTCTCCCACCTCAGCCTCCTGAGTAGCTGGGATCACAGGCATGCACCACCACGCCCGCCTGTTTTTCTATTTTTTGTAGACGTGGTCTCACTATGTTGCCCAGTCTGGTCTCAAACTCCTGGGCTCAAGCAATCCTCCCACCTTGGCCTCCCCAAATGCTGGGATTACAGGCCGTGCCCGGCCCAGCCTGAGATATTTTTAATTGCCTTTAGCCAGAGATATTTCTAATTCCCTTAAAGTGAAAGGATAAGAGGAAATAAAGCTCGGTTTTTTTTTTGAGGGGGCAAAAATTGACACCAAGTGTTACTCCCTGAGGGTTCCAGTGGGACAGGAGAAAAGAAAATCTACTTTTCCTGTTTAACCCCTGAGAAAAGAACGTAAAAAACTACGTTCTTGGTTAGGGATTTAACACATCCAGTGTCGGGAAGCTCTGTCGGGTATAACGGCAGGTTGGTCTGTACAAAGCATTTAGTGAAAGAACCAAAGTGTTGGAGAAGAAACTCAGTCTGCATCTCTGCTCTGCCCTCTGCCCTTGGCCTGCTGGGTGAGTGGTCTTTTTTTATTTTTATTTTTATTTTTTTGAGACGGAGTTTTGCTCTGTTGCCCAGGCTGGAGTGCAATGGCGTGATCTCGGCTCACTGCAACCTCCGCCTCCGGAGTTCAAGAGATTCTCCTGCCTCAGCCTCTAGAGTAGCTGGGATTACAGGCATGTGCCACCACACCGGGCTAATTTTGTATTTTTAGTAGAGGCAGGGTTTCACCATGTTGGCCAGGCTGGTCTCGAACTCCTGACCTCAGATGATCTGCCCGCCTTGGCCTTCCAAAGTGCTGGGATTATAGGCGTGAACCACCAAGCCCGCCCCTGCTGGGTGATCTTAGACAAGCGACTTCATGCTAATTTTGAATGCTCACTTCTCCTTCATTTATTTTATTATTATTATTATTATTATTATTATTATTATTATTATTATTATTTTCTGTAGAGACAGGGTCTCACTGAGGCTGGTCTCAAACTCCTGGCCTCAAACCATCCTCCTGCTTCAGCCTCCCAATGTGGTGGAGTTCCAGGCATGAGCCACTGTGCTCGGCCCCTCGTTTCTCCTTCCACCTGTTTCGTTGCTTATAAAATTCTTCTCTACTCCAATCCTCCTTTCAAGAGCCTGCTCATTTCATACCTCTTCCATGATATTTTTCCAGATCTCTGCAGCTCAAACTCATCTCTTGGATCCCATATTTGACTCAGCCCAGCCTGCTTTGTTGTGGAGTTATTTTTGAAAGGAAGCATTTGTTGAGTGTCTACTCTGGATTCAGACCTGGGATTCATTTATTTTTTTGAGACAGAGTCTCGCTGTGTCACCCAGACTGGAGTGCAGTGGTATGATCATGGCTCACTGCAACCTCCACCTCACAGGTTCAGGCGATTCTCTTGCCTCAGCCTCCTGAGCAGCTGGGATTACAGGCGCACCCCACCACACCTGGCTAATTTTTGTATTTTTAGTAGAGACGGGGTTTCATCATGTTGGCCAGGCTGGTCTCGAACTCCTGGCCTCAAGTGATCCACCCGCCTTGGCCTCCCAAAGTGCTAGGATTACGGGCATAAGCTACCACACCCAGCCCAGACCTGTGATTACTAAATTTTACTTACTAAGTTTTGAGGTCCTACTGGTATTCTTCTTCTCTCCCCTTCTCTATCTTTGCCACAGGTGTACCACTGAATTTGCTAGTGCTAAAATGCACAAAAGAGGCATCCCCACAATGACCGCAGACTACAGTGTGACGGGTATGACTGTCAGAAGACCAGCAAGACAAGCAGCAAACTGAGAAACCCGAGGGTGTGTACCCTGGCCAGGGGGCAGTGACTGCCATGCAGCTGAGGCCTGTTGGGGGACTTGGGAAACAAACGTGGCTCCAGCAGGGCCAGGGAACATACTTTTGGAACTGTTTTGTATAATTGGTAGCATCTATGCCCAGATGGTAACCTAGGGCTTTGCATGTGTCTATATTATAGAAAGCGTTATCACACATGCCCTAAAATGGATGTGAATTGCAGGAGACTTCAAAGTGCACGCATCTCTGTGGCTAGAAAGTAGAGATGGCATCTAGGCGTGGTGGCTCACGCCTGTAATCCCAGAACTTTGGGAGGCCGAGGTGGGTGGATCACTTGAGGTCAAGAGTTTGAGACCAGTCTGGCCAACATGGTGAAACCCAGTCTCTACTAGAAATACAAAAAATTAGCCGGGCATGGTGGTGGGTGCCTATAATTTCAGCTACTCAGGAGGCTGAGGCAGGAGAAGCTTGAACCTAGGAGGCAGAGGTTGCAGTGAGCCGAGATCGTGCTGCTGTACTCCAGCCTGGGTGACAGAGCAAGGCTCTGTCTCAGAAAAAAAAAAAAAAAAAAAAAAGAAAGAAAGAAAGTGGAAATGGGATAGCATGGCACCTGGCAAAGAGAAGCTTCAGGAAACCCCTGTCCACGTTTCCGTTCATTTCCTTCATTCTGCTTCATTACTGTTGAAGTTTCCTTCCAAGTAGAGGGACCTCCACTGTTCTAACTGCTGGCCTCCCTCTGCCTCTGTTTTGATCTGATTGCTAAATTTGGAATGAAGAAACTGGCTGTGCAGCTCCTGGACTTTCTTTTTTTGAGACAGGGTCTGGCTCTATCACCCAGACTGGAGTGCAGTGGTGTGATCTCGGCTCACTGCAACCTCCGCCTTCTGGCCTCAAGTGATCCTCCCACCTCAGCCTCCTGAGTAGCTGGGGCTGTAGGTGCGTGTTACCACGCCTGGCTAATCCTGGATTTTGTCCTTGCGGGAGGTAGCTGGAACACGGGGAGGCCTGTGCGGGGCCAGGGCTGCCATTGTGGGGAAGTTTGCCTGAGTCTAGGGTCCACGTAGCAGGTGCGCTCAGTTCTCACAATGAGCAGCATCTTGTGACTTTGCCTCTATGGGCAATAAAGGTGTGATTTGGACTCTGACCTAATATTTTAGTTTCCCAATTTGTTCAGAGCCTGGGTGGTTTACTGGGCCCCTTTAGGAACTCCAGTGGACCTTATGGGGGAGGGAGGGCCCGGTGAGAGACACAACTTCCCCTCCAGCCTGACTGTGACTTTGTGCTGCCCATGACTGTGTCATGTGCACAGCTGGGAGGGCCCCACTGCCATCGGCTAGACCTACGTAGGGTGACCTTGGTTGAACCAGGAGCACCTACCCCAATGTTATCGTGCCCTAGGGACAATGGGAAGCAGCACCTGAGATGGTCAATGGCAAGGCACTAGCTTAGGGATCTCCATCAGGGCCCTGGAATTCTTGGTTTCTAGCAGCAGAGAGTATGGTTATAGCTATGATCAGCAACTCAGGATCCTTCAGTGGGTTTCCTCCATCTACTCCAAACACTTCATCCCAGTGCACTTTGTTCTACCAAGACAGCACTGGGGCCTGACCTCCTTAGCCCCTCTGAGTTCTATATTTTTCATCTGTAGAATGAAGAGAACTGGCTGGGTGCGGTGGCTCATGCCTGTAATCCCAGCACTTTGGGAGGCCGAGGCAGGCGGATCACTTGAGGTCAGGAGTTCGAGACCAGCCTGGCCAATATGATGAAACCCGTCTCTACTAAAAATACAAAAATTAGCCAGGCGTGGTGGTGCACACCTGTAGTCTCAGCCACTCAGGAGGCTGAGGCAGGAGAGTCGCTTGAACCTGGGAGAAGGAGGCTGCAGTGAGCCGAGATCGTGCCACTGCACTCCAACCTGGGCGACAGAGCAAGGCTCCGTCTCAAACAACAACAACAACAAAAAAGGAATGACAAGAATAAGGTATCTCATATACATTTGTGAGCTGTGAGGATTAAGTGATATAACTCGGTGAAATACTTAGCTCAGAATCTGAGATCTAGAAGATGCTCAATCTGTCTTCATTAACTCATGAACTTTCCCAAATGCAAAGGTCTTAAATGACTTCATTTATTTAATTACAGAACTAATCAAACTAATTTGGAAGATAACATGGCAGAAGACCCCGAGAAAGCACTGCAAAATCACTAAGAAATAAAAGTTCAGGCCAGGTGTGGTGGCTCATGTCTATAATCACAAGGCTTTGGGAGGTTGAGGTGGTAGGACTGCTTGAGGCCAGGAGTTTGAGACCAGCTTGGGCAACAGAGCGAGACCCCTGTCTCTATAAAAAATCAGCAGGCATGGTGGTGCATTGGCATCCTAGCTACTCAGGAGGCTGAGGTGGGAGGACTGCCTGAGCCCAGGAGTTCCAGCCTGCAGTAAGCTATGATTGCACCACTGCACTTTAGCCTGGGTGACAGAGCAAGCCCTTGTCTCTAAAAATAAATAAATATGAATATAACTATAAATATAGATATATATAAACTAAACCACAAAAGTTTCACTCCTTTTGAACCATGAATGCCTACACTCTCCCTTATTAAATGATGTAATCGAGAGGTGATTTTCTTTCTGGGTCATGGCAGATACCACCTGTTTCTAACTATGTGACAGTGACGGGAAGGGACGTGGCCTTACATCTCTGCAGTTAAAACCTCCAATAACACCTAAGGAACTGCCAGGCGTGGTGGCTCACGCCTGTAATCCCAGCACTTTGCGGGGCCGAGGTGGGCAGATCACCTGAGGTCAGGATGTTTGAGACAAGCCTGACCAACATAGTGAAACCCCGTCTCTACTAAAAATACAAAAATTAGCCGGGCTTGGTGGTGCATGCCTGTAATCCCAGCTACTTGGGAGGCTGACGCAGGAGAACTGCTTAAACCCAGGAGGCGGAGGTTGCAGTGAGCCGAGATTGCGCCAATGCACTCTAGCCTGGGCAACAAGATTGAAACTCCATCTCAAAAGAAAAGAAAAGAAAAGAAAAAAAAAACCCTAAGGGACCAAGGAACGGACCAATCACCGAGCTCCCAGCGCCCCACCTCCGGCCCCAGCCTCACCCCTGTGCGCCATGGCGGCCTCCGGACAGATCAGCCCCTTCCCCTGGGCCGACCGGCGCTCCCTGTGAGCCAGCCGTCGTACCTGTAGTTGTGGAACCAGTTGATGACGGTGCTGGTTTTCAGGTTGAGCTGGGTGGCGAGGTCTTCGATGGTTTTTGGTGACGGGTATGGCTTTTGCTGATACGCTCGTTTCAGCGCCTCCTTCTCCTCCGGAGCCAGCACCACCCGGGGTTTCTTCAGCTGGTGCTGGGGCTGGGGGCTGGCGCCCTGGCTGTACTCGGTGCCGACAGAGGGCGGTTCGCAGGGCTGGCTGTCACTGACTGAGCTGTGCCGCCGCTTCATGTAGGCTGCGGAGGAAGAGATGGCAGACTAAGGTCAGGCCCAGCTGGGACAGCAGCCCAAATCCCCAGTCCCGCTAGCGGGACGGCACAGTGCCGGCTTGCAGGACTTTGCATAGAGCATCTCAAAACACTAAGATGAGGCTGGGCATGGTGGCTCATGCCTGTAATCCAAGCACTTTGGGAGGCCGAGGCAGGCAGATCACTTGATGTCAGGAGTTCAAGACCAGCCTGGCCAATATGGTGAAACCCCGTCTCTACTAAAAGTACAAAAATCAGCTGGGCGTGGTGGTACGCACCTGTAATCCCAGCTACTAGGGAGGCTGAGGCAGAATTGCATGAACCTGGGAGGTGGAGGTTGCAGTGAGATGAGATGGTGCCACTGCACTCCAGCCTGAGTAACAGAGCAAGATTCCGTCTCAAACAAAACAAAACAAAACAAAACAAAAGAAACAACGCTAAGATGAGAGCCATTCTGTTACCAGCACATGCTCACCAAGGACCTGCTCTGACGGAATGTCAGGTCCTCACCTGTCCCTGCACAACTTAACAGTTTAGTAGGGGAGGCAGAGAAGTATCCAGAGAGATGTTCCCAGCAGAGTGAAAAGTGGGGTGGGGGTAAGTAAGTGCAAGAGACCATGGGGATACTGAGAAGAGTTCCTCGGCCAGGCCTGGGTGTGGGCGGCAAGCCACCCAGGTACCGAGGCAAGAGACCGAGGACACAAGCTGTTCTAGTATAATAAAATATAAAACAAGAATAGTTACACCAGATATAGATCTTAGATATGATTATATATGAATATCATTAATCATTAGTTTGTAGCAATTACTCTTTATTCCAATATTATAATAATCCTTGCTCTATAACCATAACCTAGGAAAAACCAGGCCATACAGAGATAGGAGATGAGGGGACACAGTGAGGAGTGACCAGAAGACAAGAGTGCGAGCCTTCTGTTATGCCCAGACAGGGCCACCAGAGGACTCCTTGGTCTAGAGGTAACGCCAGCGTCTGGGAAGACGCCCGTTGCCAGGCGGACCGTGGTCTAGCGGTAGCCTCAGTGTCAAGGAAAAACACAGGCTACTTAGCAGACCGGGAAAGGGAGTATCCCGGGAAAGGGAGTATCCCTTTCCCCGGGGGAGTTTAGAGAAGACTCTGCTCCTCCACCTCTTGTGGAGGGCCTGACATTGTCAGGCTTGCCCGCAGTTATCTGGAGGCCTAACCATCTCCCTGTGATGCTGTGCTTCAGTGGTCACGCTCCTAGTCTGCCTTCATGTTCCATCCTGTACACCTGGCTCTGCCTTCTAGATAGCAGTAGCAAATTAGTGAAAGTACTAAAAGTCTCTAATAATGGTGTAGGTTGTTTCTCTCTTTGTCTCCTCTCTCTCTCTGCCTCGGCTGCCAGGCAGGGAAGGGCCCCCTGTCCAGTGGACATGTGACCCACGTGGCCTTACCTATGATTGGAGATGGTTCACTCTCCTTATCCTGCCCCTTTGTCTTGTATCCAATAAATATCAGTGCAGCCTGGCATTTGGGGCCACTACCAGTCTCCACAACTTGGTGGTAGTGGTTCCCCGGGCCCAGCTGCCTTTTATCTCTTTGTCTTGTGTCTTTATTTCTATACTCTCTCGTCTCCACACACGGGGAGAGACCCACAGACCCTGTGGGGCTGGTCCCTACACCTGGGGAGGCAGAAGGGGAAGTTGCCTAGAAGAGATGATGTTTAAACTGAATCCTGAAGGACATCGCCGGGCGTGGTGGCTCTCGCCTATAATCTCTGCACTTTGGGAAGCTGAGATGGGAGGATTGCTCGAGCCTAGGAGTTTGAGACCAGCCTGGAGAACATAGAGAGACCCTGTCTCAAAAAAAATTTAAAAATTAGCCAGTGTGGTGGCGTGCACCTGTAGTCCCAGCTACTCGGGTAGCTGGGATGGGAGGATCACTTGAGCCCAGAACACCGAGGCTGCGTGCACCCGAGTAGCTGGGACGGGAGGATCACTTGAGCCCAGAACACCGAGGCTGCAGCAGTGAGCTATGATTGCATCACTGCCCTCCAGCCTGGGCAACAGAGACCCTGTCTCTAAAAAAATAAAATAAACAGCTTAGGCAAGGGATTTCCTTAATTAACTTGCCATTTTGTCATGAGAACTCAGAAGCAATTGAGAAGGTAAATCTTCCCCATAGAAAACCCAAACAGCGGAGTCAAAGCTGCTGGATCCAGAGAAAGGAGTTGGATTGTCCAACCGTGGGGACTCCCTCCAGTTCCCTCCTAGGGGACAGACGACTGACCAGGGGCTGGCAGGGGGCTGGAGAAGGCCTCTCTAGGGAGCAGCCTTTGTGGCCGGCACCCCCAGGAGTGAAGAGAAGGCCATCGGACCACAGCGGCTTTGGATACTAGGGCACCTTTGGAAAGGTCTGGGCCCCGCAGAAACAGTAATTCATTTGTAACACAAGAGGGCGCCCCGAGCCTGTGCCGAGGGAAAGATGGGAGGCCTGGGAAGCCCTGGAGATGTATTTGCGGGGACTAAGGTCCTTTCCTAAGGGCCCCAGGGTGAGAAACACAGCAGGGAGTTGGGTTGTCAGGGCCTCCTCCCTCCTAAGGGCTGAGGGCTGCCTCCTGGCTAGTGCAGGAAGCTTCACGCTGCTCGGGTGAGGGGATCACGGGAAACTCTGCACAGATCTATTGGGTTCATGACAGCATTTTCTCTACTTTTGTTTATGTTGGAGATTTCCCATAATAAGACATTGAAAAGGCCGGGCGCAGTGGCTCATGCCTGTAATCCCAGCGCTTTGGGAGGCCGAGATGGGAGGACTGCTTGAGGCCAGGAGTTCAAGATCAGCCTGGGCAATATAGCGAGACTTTAAAAAACAAAAAACAAAAAACAAAACGAAAAATAAGTTGAAAACTTTTAGGGGGGCAATGTGGCACCAGGCCTCTGCAGCTTACAGCGCTGCCTGGGGCTGCCCAAGAGGCATGGCCTACCTCAGACCCTTAGACTACAGGCCCAAGGGCAGGCCAGAGCTCGCTAGAGGGGCCCTGAATGGGGCAGAGGCCACCACCTGGGCAGGTCATCAGTGGGCAGCAGCAGTGCCCCTGGGTCATCCCAGGGGGGCAGCTCGCAGCACAGAGGCAGCGGATGTATATTTAAGAGCATCTGCTTTGAAATCTGACAGCCCTGAGTATGAATTCCCGTTCCCTACTGATAGGAGCTATTGAAATCTGCTAGGCTGCATGAAGCACCGAGGTTCGTATTTCCTGGATAAGGACATCTAAGCAGAGTCGTGTGGATGAACAGCAGTCTTAGCGCAGTGCCTGGCAAACAGGGCAGTTCTCAGAAAATAGAAGCCTCTATTATTATAAAGGAACCCCCATAGGGTTCCTGGAGGAGGCACCAGACACTCTCTCTCCTTCAGCAGTCCTTTCCCGGGTTGGGTGAGAACGGCGATGCTTGGCTGGAATTTCTGGGTGAATTAAGAACTGACAGGCCTGGGTTCCATACCCACCCCTGGCTCAGATGTTGTGTGCGCGTGTGTGTGTGTGTGTGTGTGGCGGGGACGGGGGTGGGGTGGGCTGGGGCAGAGCCACTCAAGGGCCTGGGATGCCCATTCTTTTTTTTTTTTTTTTTGAGATGGGGTCTCGCTGTGCCGCCCAGGCTGGAGTGCAGTGGTGTCATCTCTGCTCACTGCAACCTCCTCCTCCCAGGTTCAAGCGATTCTCCTGCCTCAGCCTCCCAAGTAGCTGGGATTACGGGCGTGCGCCACCATGCCTGGCTGATTTTTGTATTTTTCAGTAGAGATGGGGTTTCACTATGTTGCTGAGGCTGGTCTTGAACTCTGAACCTCAAGTGATCCACCTGCCTCGGACTCCCAAAGTGCTGGGATTACAGACATGAGCCACTGTGCCCGGCCCCTGGGATGCCCACTCTTAGTTAAGGTCCTCTGCGTTAGCTGATCAGGGAGGCTGCCGCTTCTTACGGTCAGACCGGCAGCAGCTGGTTCCCAGTCTCTGCCCCTAAGGGATGCAGTTCAGCCGCCCAGTGAGCTCCCAGCACCATAGGTGACCTGAGGACTGAGGGTGCTCGAGGGGCGGACTCACTGGCGAGGACCAGCGCTTAGAAACTGCAAACCAAGAGGCACAGCACACCTGGCTTTAGGCATTTTTCCTATGCTGTAGCCTACAGGCTGCAAGAAGAACATGAATCCACATTCGAGATGACATGTGGGTGCACGTGGGGTTATTCCTCTAGGGAGGCCAAATCCCCAGAGGCTGGGAAATAACAGCAAGAGAGAGATCTGTTGTGGCAGGAGTTTGCTTTGTCACTTTCCAGGCCGGGTGACCTTGGTGGAGGCACCGAACCTCTCTGAACCTCTGTTTCCTGATCTACAAAATGCATTTTTTTTTTTTGAGATAGGGTCATGGTCTGTCACCCAGGCTGGAGTGCGGTGGCTCAATCTCTGTTCACCGCCTGCAGGGTTCAAGCGATTCTTGTGCCTCAGCCTCCCAAGTAGTTGGGATTATAGAGGCGCACGCCACCAAGCTTGGCTATATTTTTTTTTTTTTTTTTTTTTTAGTAGTGAGGGGGTTTTGCCATGTTGGCCAGGCTGGTCTTGAACTCCTGACCTCAAGTGATCCGCCTGCCTCAGCCTCCCAAAGTGCTGAGATTACAGGCGTGAGCCGCCGTGCCCTGCCTACAAAATGCATTTCTTATTTCTCTCTCTGATAACAAAGGAAGGCCTCTAGCCACCTGGTACATGCTCAGTAAATGCTGTGATAGCCCGATCAGCCACCCACACAACACAAAAACCAAATGCAGCGCCCCCAGAGCTGTTTCGCTCTCCTTGGTTAAAAGTGCTCCCAGTGCTAAAAAAATCTTTAGATTCAGGCTGCTGGAGAGAAAAAGTTACACAACTTTCCAGCCCTCTTAGGTACTCATTAGCTGATGACCATCCAAAAATATTTTTGCCCTGTCCTCTGGTCCCTTGGTCATGGGTCAATGTCCCTCATCAGCTGTGTGTGAAAGATTTGAAAGAAACAGCCTGTCTATGAATGCGGACGCAGCCGGCCCGGGCGGGGCAGGGAGACTTACCTTTCTTCTCCATCCGTTTCATGTCCATCAGCTTCTCCACATTGTTGGGGTCGTTCAGCCACAGCTGCATCCGGACGAAGGGCTCTCGTCCTTTCAGACTGAGCTTATGCCAGGGTTTGGGGCGGGCAAGGAGGTCAGAGACAGAGCCTTGGGTGAGCCCTAAGATGGTCTCCCCAAATAAGCGCTGGCCTAGAGAGAAAACAGAAGCAAGACAGGTATTGTCACCGAGAGCCAGGGATCTGAAGGGACAAGTACGTGTCAAGGTTAAAATCAGACACAGGAGTTTAAAGGCTCAGGGTTGGGCTGGTGACATCCTAGCTTACAGCAAACATGTGGTAGAAATATATCTTCAACCAGACTTATAATACTCTCCATTGGCCAGGGAGTTGGCATTGCTCTTGCATTCTCCGTACACACAACCAATGACATTTCTCTTTATTATTATTATTTTTTTGAGATGGAGTCTTGCTCTGTCACCCAGGCTGGAGCGCAGTAGTGTAATCTTGGCTCACTGCAACCTCCGCCTCCCAGGTTCAAGCAATTCTCCTGTCTCAGCCTCCAGAGTACCTGGGACTACAGGTGCTCGCCACCACGCCTGGCTAATTTTTGTATTTTTAGTAGAGACGGGTTTTCGCCATGTTGGCCAGGCTGGTCTTGAACTCCTGACCTCAGGTGATCCACCCCCATCAGCCTCCCAAAGTGCTGGGATTATAGGCATGAGTCACCGCATCTGGCCAGTGACGTTTCTCTTAAGCCTTCAGCCTGGTGCGGTGGCCGGAAGGGCCCTTTGGGAGGCTGAAGCGGGAAGATCATTTGAGCCCAGGGGTTTGAGACCAGCCTGGGCAACACAGTGAGACTCAGTCTCTACAAAAATACACACACAAAAAATTAGCTAGGCGTGGTGGCATGTACCTATAGTTCCAGCTACTTAGGAGGCTGAGATGGGAGGATTGCCTGAGCCCAGGAGGTTGAGACTGCAGTGAGCTATGATTGCACCACTGCACTCCAGCCTGGGCAACAGAGAGAGAGACCGTTGTCTCAAAAAAAAAAAAAAAAAGGAAAAAAAAAAGCCTTCAGGCTTTGTATGTGCTGAGGTCACGCTAACACCTGTGGTGTTTCTCAGAGGCAGTGAAATCTCTAAGCCAGAGCTCAGGAGGCCAAACAGCAAACAGGAGACCTCTCTTGTACAACCTCAAATCAGAGGGCAACCTGCGTCTCCTTCCACAATTAGCAAGGTTATCAGGTCTCGCTGAGAAAACGGGGCAGGCAACCCACAATCACAGCAGGACAGAGGAGAGGGAGCTGCCCAGCTCTGCTTTTCTGAGAGGCCGGCCGATTCCAATTCCAAAGTCTGCTTTTGCAGTCTAGGCTGCCTTTGCTAAATAAAGTAACTGGAAGTGGATCAAAACCCCTTTCCTGATACCTTTTCTTCTCCCAGGCAGGGGCAGGCAGCCCGCTTCACAGGCTGATCAGAGGGCATTTCGCTATGGAGAGCACAGCCGCATTGAGTTGGCAATGCTTGTCAGGAGCTTAGAAAGAAAGGCTCACTTCTCTGAGGGCCATTCCGCTGCTGGTTTAGAGGGCCACCGCTTGTAAAGATACAAATTAGGATCAGTGATAACCTGGAAGGCCTGACGGGAGTACTTGAATGAACAGGACTTATTAGGTGGAAGTGGAGACTGGGATCAGAGGGGCCAGCGTTTGACCCCATAAAGTGTACAGAACAGAAGGCACCTCTCCCCATCCGGGGCAGGGAGACGACAGAGGGCTGGCTTGTTCTCTCTGTGGCTTACATCCTCTATGTGAAATAGAAACACCACACACTGGCTTCTAAGAAGGGGGCCTCCAAGTAAAAGTTTACTGCCTAGAAAGCACTGAAGCTGAGACATTAATTTCTTATCAGTCTTTTTAATTTTTTTCCCTAAAGAAACAGGGTCTCGCTATATTGCCCAGGCTGGACTCGAGCTCCTGGGCTCAAGCAATTGTTCTACCTCAGCATCCCGAGTAGCTGGGATTACAGGTGTGCACCACCACGCCTGGCTTAGTCATTTTAAACTTAAGATAAAAAGAAAAAGAAAAAGAAAAAACAAAACAAAACAAAACAAAAAACTTAAAGATAAATTTACTGATTTTGTAAACCTGTGTTTCTCTGCTTTTCAAACTCTTTAGCCTATAAATGTCCCAAGTCCTTATGATTTTTTTTTTTTTAGTTGTTATAAGAAAATTTTGGCCAGGTGCGGTGGCTCACGCCTGTAATCCCAGCACTTTGCAAGGCCAAGGTGGGCAGATCATGAGGTCAGGAGATCGAGACCATCCTGGCTCACACAGTAAAACCCCGTCTCTACTAAAAATACAAAAAATTAGCTGGGCGTGGTGGTGGGCCCCTGTAGTCCCAGCTACTCAGGAGGCTGAGGCAGGAGAATGGCGTGAACCCGGGAGGCGGAGCTTGCAGTGAGCCGAGATCGTGCCACTGCACTCCAGCCTGGGTGACAGAGCGAGACTCCATCTCAAAAAAAAAAAAAAAAAGAGAAAATTTTACTTAATGCTAACATGGTAAAAGAATCTATTTTCATTTCAAGGAGCTTGCTATGTTCGGGAAAGCAATATATATGAATAGCTAGTTGCTCTTTGCTTAGGCCTCCCAGCTGAATGGGGAAAAAAAAATCAGATGATTATTCCTGGAAAATTATCTGTATGACTCCTAGATGTTTCCTAGCCATGACTTTTAATTGTTTTGGGGCTACAGACCCATTTGAGAGCCTGAAGAAAGCTACAAACCTTCACCCAGTAAAACCAACATCAAGGAAAACTCCAGCAATGATGGTGGCATGGATGATAACTTCAGCCTAGGAGTTTTGAGACCAGCCTGGGCAATATGGTGAAACCCCATCTCTATTTAAAAAAAAAAAAAGGCTGGGCGCAGTGGCTCACGCCTGTAATCCCAGCACTTTGGGAGGTTGAGGCGGGCAGATCACGAGGTCAGGAGATTGAGACCATCCTGGCTAACACAGTGAAACCCCGTCTCTACTAAAAATACAAAAAAATTAGCCGGGCATGGTGGTGGGCGCCTGTAGTCCCAGCTACTTGGGAGGCTGAGGCAGGAGAATGGCGTGAACCTGGGAGGCGGAGATTGCAGTAAGCCGAGATCGCGCCACTGCACTCCACCCTGGGCAACAGAGCGAGACTCCATCTCAAAAAAAAAAAAAAAAAAAAAATAGCCGGGCTTGGGGTGTGTGCCTGTAGTCCCAGCTACTCAGTAGGCTGAGGTGGGAGGATTGCTTGAGCCCAGGAGTTCAAGGCTGCAGTAAGCTATGATCGTGCCACTGCACTCCGGCCTGGGCAACAGAGCTAGACCCTATCTGATTTTCAACATTTACACGAAATGCCACTTCCTATAAGGAGGTGGGCAGGAGTGATGCAACTGGTCTGCTTCCTTGGATGTGTGACGAGCTATGAAGTGGGAGATGACTCAAGTCTAGGAATCCCTGCATGATTCAATAACTGATGAACATATGGGAATTAGCCATTTTTTCAAATCAACAGCTACATTTTTATTTTTATGAATTGACTTAATTATATAAGGTCTCATTGATATGACTTTTTCTCTCATTCTGTTTTGTCTGTTGCATACAGACATGGGGATGGGAGGCTTCCACTGGACAAGCTGGCCTAACCTCCAGGCTGTTAGATCACTGAGCAAACTTTAGTGGAACTCAGCTACTCTGTTCTTTTTTTTTTTTTTAATTTTTTTTTTTTGAGATAGTGTCTTGCTCTGTTGCCCAGGCTGGAGTGCAGTGATGCCACCGTGGCTCACTGCTGCCTCAACCTCCTGGACTCAAGTGATCCTCCCACCTCAGCCTCCCAAGCAGCAGGGATTACAGCGGGTGCCACCATGCCTGGATAATAATTTTTAAAAAATTTTTTTTTTGTAGAGACGGGGTCTCACTGTGTTGCCCAGGCTGGTCTCGAACTCCTGGCCTCAGGTGATCCACCTGCCTCAGCCTCCCAAAGTGCTAGGGTTACAGGCCACCTGTCATTCTCAAGTGAGCCACCATGCTCGGCCTCCCTTCTCTTCTCATCCCATGGGAGAAAGAAAAGACACACAAGGCCTTTCCATGAGCAGCAGACAAACTGCAACCACTCGGTAGGGTTGTGCTTACATGCTCTGCAGAGAACACTGCCCCTTTAACTGACTTTCACCCTTGGGAAATAAAGATAGAAAGGGTGGGTTTCCAATCTCCGCGTGCCTAAACCAGGGAACCCTGCCTGGTTAACACCACACTGGAGGAGCACGGTGGTTTAAAATGACAAAATAGGCTTGGCTGGTGTGGTGGCTCATGCCTGTAATCCCAGCATTTTTGGAGGCCAAGGTGGGTGGATCACCTGAGGCCAGAGGCCAATTCGAGACCAGCCTTGGCAGCATGGTGAAACTCTGTCTCTACTGAAAATACAAAAATTAGCCAGGCGTGGTGGTGGGCACCTGTAATCCCAGCTACTTGGGAGGCTGAGGCAGGAGAATCGCCTGAACCCAGGAGGCAGTGATTATAGTGAGCCGCGATTGTGCCACTGCACTCCAGCCTGAGTGAGACGGTGAGACTCTGTCTCAAAAAAAAAAAAAAAAAAAAAAAAGGCCAGACACGGTGGCTCATGCCTGTAATCCCTGTGTTTTGGGAGGCCGAGGTGGGTGGATCACTTGAGGTCAGGAGTTCGAGACCATCCTGGCCAACGTGGTGAAACCCTGTCTCTACTAAAAATACAAAAATTAGCTGGGCACGGTGGCGGATGCCTGTAATCCCAGCTACTCGGGAGACTGAGGCAGGAGAATCGCGTGAACCCGGCATTCAGTGAGCCGAGAGGCTGTAGTAAGCTGAGGTTGCGCCACTGCACTCCAGCCTGGGCGACAGAGTGAGGCTCCATCTCAAAAAAAAAAAAAAAAAAGATGAAACACCGTAACATTCTTACAGCCACAGCAGCTGATGACCAGTGACACAGAGCACAGACAACCAACCCAGGCCGAGCACCCAGGGGGCTAGAGCATGTGCCAGGCCGAGGCCAGGTCTGAGGCACGGTGGGATGCCAGGGTGACGGAGTGAGTTCCCCAGGGGCTGCCCGCCCCAGCTGTGGGCTGTGAAATGGAGATGGCTTCGCAAGGCAGCGGGAACAGCAATGATAAAATAACAATGACTATTATTACCAGTCGGGCCTGGTGCTAGAAAATGCTGCTACTCACTGCTCCCAGGCAGGCGTGGTTACTCCAGTTTCGTGGAGGGGGATCTGAGAATGCAGGCAGCCTGGCCAGCATCACGGACTCAGTGAGCAGAGTGAGAACCGGGGTCCGTTAGACCTTCCACTAAGCCATCCTGGCACTGCCGGGTGGACGCTGCCCAGCTCTGGAGCCCCGAGGATGCCAGGCTCTAATGGGTGTCTACCTCTTTCTTTTTTTGAGACAGAATCTCACTGTGTTGTCCAGGCTGAAGTACAGTGGCATGGTCATAGCTCACTGCAGCCTAAAACTACAGGGTTCAAACGATTCTCCTGCTTCAGCCTCCCGAGTAGCTGAACTACAGGCGTGCACCACCATACCCGGCTAATTTTTACATTTTTTGTAGAGATAGGGTTTTGCCATGCTGCCCAGGTTGGTCTCGAACTCCTGGCTGGACTCAAGCGATCCTCCTGCTGTGGCCTCCCAATGTGCTGGGATTACAGGCATGAGCCACTATGCCCGGCCTAATTTTTAAATCTGTTATAGAGAAGGGGTCTTGCTATGTTGCCTAGGCTGGTCTCGAACTCTTGGGCTCAAGTGATCCTCCCACCTTAGGCTCCTGAGTAGCTGGGACTACAGGTGCACATCAACATGTCCAGCTAATTTTAAAATTCTTTGTAGAGATGGGGTCTTGCTATGTGGCCCAGGCTGGTCTCAGACTGTGGCCTCAAGAAATCTGGACTTACTCAGACTGTCTCTATTGAGATACATCTAAGCCAGGCACGATGGCTCATGCCTGGCTTGGGATCCTGTGATCCCAAGAATTTTGGAGGCTGAGGTGGGCAGATTGCTTGAGGCCAAGAGTTCGAGACCAGCCTGGCCAACATGGTGAAACCCCACCTCTACTGAAAATACAAAAATTAGCCAGGAGTGGTGGCAGGTACCTGTAATCCCAGCTACTCAGGAGGCTGGGGCACGACAGTCACTTGAACCGGGGAGGCAGAGGTTGCAGTGAGCTGAGATTGTGCCACTGCACTCCAGCCTGGGTGACAGAGCAAGACTGTCTCAAAAAAAAAAAAAAAAAAAGAAAAAAAAGAGACAGTCTGTGTGGATCCTCCCGAGTCCACTCTGACTCCATGCTCATCTTCTAACTGGTCCCCGTGGGGGTGCAGGGTGGGGAGGAGGTGGGGACTGACCTGCAGACGGCACGCTCCTTACTGTTCACAACTATAGGATGTTTCATGTTCTCAAAGGGTGCCTACACAAGTTGAGACTCTGTGGTTGGCTTGGCCTAGGGCCCGCCCTTCACCTGCTCCTCCTGCAAACTCCCTGCCACCTCCTGACTCAGCAGCCGAGAGGAGAACCTACCGAGGTTGTTGTCCGTCAGCACCTCCTTCACCCGCTTGGTTATGCCGTAGGTGTCCAGCTCCGGGGACATGGCTACTAATTCTTGGATGCTGAGGGCCGAGTGTCCGGAGAGAGGCAGCGGGGTTGTGGGCTGGGAGTCGGATGCTGGCGGGTCACTGGGCTCTGGTGGCTTGCTGTCCTTGCTCGCCTCGATGGGGGGACAGGGCTGCTGGACCAGCTCGGTCAGGCTCTTCACCGACTCACTGGAACTCATCGGGGACTCAGGGGCAGGGCTGCAGCTGGCGGAGGTCTTTGGAGTGCTTTCTGTAATTAAAGCACACGAGAAACCGTGCCTGAAAATAGCTGTCTTTTACCACGACCATCTACGTTCCTTATCTAGGAAATACTAATTAAACGCTCTGTAGGAGAAGCAGACGGTAGGGTTTTCTGTGGGTCTTAGTGAACTGTTTCATATTTTTTTGACTGAGAGTAACCTCTAGTCTTCCATATTAAAAAACAAAAATAACATCATTGCGAGAAAAACTAGGGGTTTAAAAGAAAGGCTTCGGAAGGCTTAACATGAGGGCATTCTGCTAAAAAAACTCCTATTAATCATGTTATCGCTGTCATTTCTTCTAATGAAACCCCATAATTTGGTAATTCAGAAGCACTTTGGCTAGATCATAACTTGTGTAGTTATGTTGTCCATATTTTCCAGAACAAAAAGCATAGACAGATTGTTTTAAATGAGGGCTGCCCACAATACGTAGTCACCACAGTTAGGAAGACCCTTAGGAGGAAATGTGGCTGGGCGAGTGGATCATCTAAGGTCAGGAGTTCGAGACCAGCCTGGCCAACGTGGTGAAACTCCATCTCTACTAAAAATACAAAAATCAGCCAGGCATGGTGGCTCACGCCTGTAATCCCAGCTACTCAGGAGGCTGAGGCAGGAGAATCACTTGCACCCAGGAGGTGGAGGTTGCAGTGAGCCAAGATTGTGCCACTGCACTCCAGCCTGGGTGACAGAGTGAGAGTGAGACTCCATCTCAAAAAAGAAAAAAAACAACAACTGCGGAAACATAAGGCTATAGCTTCTGGTCCTCCAGCACTGGGTCTCAGGACCTAGGTTGGTTTATTTTTACTTTTATGTTTTTAGAGATGGGGTCTTGCTCGGTGGCCCAGGCTGGAGTGCAGTGGTGCAATCACGGCTCCTCCTGGACCACAGGTGCACACCACCATGCCCAGCTGTTTTTTTGTTGTGAAGAGCAGAGAACTCCACAGCACCCAACTCTAGGGGAAGATGGAGAGAGGCAAGGAGAGGAGGAGCACCCTGTTTCCCCAGCTCTTCCATTTTAGAGTTCTACCTCCAACCTTGGGACTTGCTGGTTCTGCCTGCTTCTGAAAACCGAGCTCTTTGCTGGTATAAGCCATGCTGTAACCAACAGCAGAAGTGACTGGGCTGGTGTGGACAAGCCAGAGTCTACACTCTCCTCTGCCTTGTTGGGGTCGCCGTGGGTGCCCAGTGGGAAATGCCAGCTGGGCTCTGTTGGTGAGTGATCCCTCTGGCCTCTGATAACAGCCCATAAAACCTGATAAAAGAGGCTGGATTCCAGTTCTGGGATGTCTGGGATAAAGACTTAGACCATTTCCTAATTTCTGCAGATAGAAACTGTCCTGGAGGAAGATGTGGCTTCGGGCTGAGGTCCTGCCTGCAAGGCAGAATCTGCCCCTGGCCCAGCTCAGTGTCTTGGCACAATCTCTCCCCTGATGCCCACTGAGGGTGACACAGAGTAAGACCCCACAGTGCCAGGTAAGAGGGCCCAGGCCATGCTCTCTGCTCCCAGGGTCTTGTAAAATTTTTTTTTGTGGAGATGGGGTCTTGCTAGGTTGCCCTGGCTGATTCAAAATCCTGTGCTCAAGCAATCCTCCCACCTCAGCCTTGCAAGTAGCTGGGACTGCAGACTTGCACCACTACACCTGTCTAATTTTTTATTTTGTAGAGATGAGGTCTTGCTATGTTGCCTAGGCTGAACTCCTGGCCTCAAGTGATCCTCCCTTCTTGGCCTCCCAAAGTGCTGGGTTTACAGGCAGGAGCCACTGTGCCTGGCCAAGGGTCTTACTCTTGCTGCTTCTCCCTTGGGCCCTAGCAGGTCACTCAGTCAACATCAGCACCATAGTAGATAGCCCAAAATACTTGTTACCTGGCTGAAAAGAAAATGTAGCATAGAGCAGCAACTTAACTTCAATTTACCATTTATCTTAAGAGTCCTTTTCTGGACATACTGTATCCAGGATACACTAACCTGCCATAAATACATTCCAACTACAAGGAATATTTTGTATTCATACCTAGAAAGAGCAAAACCTCAAATAAAACATTTGCAACTTAAGCGATCAACCCGTTTATCGTCCTGAACCGGCACAAACTTCCGCCATCGCATAAGGCTGTGTCCTTGACCTGGGAAATCAGGTTACAAAGAGAAAAACACATGCCAAACCGGTTTTTGAAAGATGTAGAAGAGACAAGCGTAAGAGGCAGAAATGGTCCGTATAAATCTTTAGGGCAATGTGAATCTTACAAATCAGATTTCTTCTCTCTGCTCACCCCCCGGGTCACCAGAGAACTGGATATAAAACCCCACAAATGTTATTTTTGTGTCTGAAGCCGGCAGAGGAACCGTACCGTAAGGATGGCGTGATTCACCCATGCGAGGGGCCGGCCTGGCAGATCATCCATCTTGCTCACCAGATACTGTCAAGGATGGCATGAATTTCCCAAATGATAAACAGATTTCTCTTCAGGTTTTGTGTCCTTTAACCCACAGCAAGGTCAACATCATGGCTGTCTGGCTAATAAACCGAGTGTGGTGCCGGCTGCTGTGGCATCTCCCTGTTTTGTTCTGGGTGCTGGCGGAGGCAGAGCCACCACGAAACTCAGAGGCTGTACAGTTCTTTCTTCCAGTGCGCCTTGCAAGCCAGTGGCGTGGATTTGTGCCATCATGAACCCCCAGGAGAACTAAACAGGGGCGCTCACTACTGTTACAGGTGTCCCTCTGTGCTCCAGGCTGTGACTACAGACAAAGGCAGGCCCCCTGAGATCAAAGCCCTGTCCGAGCCCTGAGAGGTCCAGGCATGTGAAAGTGACATGTGGCGGCTGGTTGCTGGAGGTGGCTTGTATCTGTCTCTCCACTCTCAATCTGAGTCTAAAATGCAGAAGACCTTTGGGAGGCTGAGGCGGGCAGATCACTTGGAAGACAGGAGTTTGAGACCAGCCTGGCCAACGTGGTGAAACCCCCTCCCTACTAAAAATACAAAAACCAGCCAGGCATGGTGGCGGGTGCCTGTAATCCCAGCTACTGGGGAGGCAGAGGCAGGAGAATGGCTTGAATGGGGGAGGCGGAGGTTGCAGTGAGCTGAGATCGTGCCATGGCACTCCAGCCTTGGGGACAGAGTGAGACTCTGTCTCTAAATAAATAAATAAATAAATAAAATGTAGAAGACAGCTGGAAGCTGCATGCTCTTCCTGGGAGATAGTTTACTCGCCAACAGACATCTGCATGCACAGTTGTGGCTATGGTCTCAGGTCAAAGAAACAGGATTGAGTACATGTTTTTTGCACAGGCATGGAGAGATGCCACAGCAAACAGACGCGTTGGAGACACCGTGAATCCACGAGCTCAGAACATCATGTTGGGGAGAAAGTCATTCTTTTCTTTTTCTCTTTTTTGAGACAGAGTCTCCCTCTGTTGCCCAGGCTGGAGTGCAGTGGCACGATCTCACTGCAACTTCCGCCTCCCGGGTTCAAACGATTCTCCTGCCTCTGCCTCCCGAGTAGCTGGGATTACAGGTTCGTGCCACCAAGCCCAGGTAATTTTTGTATTTTTAGTAGAGATGGGGTTTCACAATGTTGGCCAGGCTGGTCTCCAACTCCTGACCTTAGATGACCCGCCCACCTTGGCCTCCCAAAGTGCTGGGATTACAGGTGTGAGCCACCGCGCCTGACCCTTTTTTTCTTTTTTTATTATTATTTTTAATTGCATGGAACAGAGCAAAGCCTTGTTGTTTCAGAAAGTATCGTTTTAATCACAGGGCTCCATCTGCTAATGTTTGAAAGGAGAAGTAATGTTTCTTTTCTATTGACCATATTTTTGTTCTGTTAGGACAGACAGTGAATCCTACAGGAAGCCAACTCTCCCCGCTGCACAGAGGGTCCCCTCACCCTCGCCACCCTGACAGGGTGAGCCACTGCACCTGGTCAAATGTATTTGTTTCTATAAAGACCTACAGTCAACATAAATCTTATGACTGAGTGCTATTTCTCCCACAATGCCTGACACATGACAGGGACGCTGGCGACAGACTCAAAAGGCCACATCCTGTATGATGCATTTATCTTTTTTAAAACATTAAACTTTTTTTAAACTTTAAAAAATAGAGACAGGGTTTTGCTATGTTACCCAGGTTGGTCCTTAAACTCTTGGCCTCGAGTGATCTTCTCACCCTGGCCTCCAAAAGTGCTGAATTACAGGTGTGAGCCACTGTGCCCGGCCACTTCCCACATTTTACACAGGTAAAATATGGTGCCCTGGCCAGGCGCAGTGGCTCATGCCTGTAATCCCAGCACTTTGGGAGGCTGAGGTGGGCAGATCACCTTAAGTCAGGAGTTCGAGACCAGCCTGGCCAACATGGTGAAACCCCATCTCTACTAAAAATACAAAAATTAGCCAGGCGCGTGCCCAGCTACTCGGGAAGCTGAGACAGGGGAATTGCTTGAACCTGGGAGGTGGCGGTTGCAGTGAGCTGACATCGTGTCATTGCATTCCAGCCTGGGCAACAGAGTGAGACTCTGTCTCAAAAAAAAAAAAAAAAAAAAAAAAAAGATACGGTGCCCCGAGACACACAGCCAGGAGCTAGGTGGATGGGCCATATTCTAAACAGCCCCTGTACAGCTGGTGGCGCCTGCACCCTGCGCCCAAGTGTGCGTTAGTGACAGAGTGACTGTGCCTGCCTTCCCAGGCACAGTTTTTCTACAACCCACATATCGACATGCGTGAATCTCGAAGACTTAACGATGAGTCACAAAAAGCTGATCCACTCATAGGATTGTGGAAGGGAACCAAAACACATTTCATACCAGGCGTGAATGGAGCAGCGAGCTGAGGGCGTCTGCATGTGGCTTCATTCAATTCTCCCAATGGTCCCTGGGGTGGAAATTTACACCCTACATCCCAGGTGAGAAAACAGAGGCTCAGACAGGCAACGTGACTTGGTTAAAGTCACACAGATGGTGCAAGGATCAGGAGGGGAAAACCTCGACCTTCCTACCCATCCTGCTATCTGCCAACACCACGTGATTCTGAATTGCAGCCTACCGTCATTCCTGCGTCATTTCACTCTCATTTTAATTTTTTTTGAGACGAGGTCTTGCTCTGTTGCTCCAGCTGGAATGCAGTGGTGTGATCATGGTTCACTGCAGTCTCGACCTCCTGGGCTTCAGAGACCCTCCCACTTTAGCCTCCTTGCCAATGTATGACCCAAAGTAGCTGGGACCACAGGTGTGTGCCACCACGCCTGGCTAATTTTTGTATATTTTGTAGAGAGATGGGGTCTTGCTATGTTGCCCAGACTGGTCTCGAACTCCTGGGCTCCAGCGAACCACCCACCTCTGCCTCCCAAAGTGCTGGGATTACAGGCATGAGTCACCGCATCCAGCCTACTCACATATTTTTAAAGCACCTACTCTGTGTCTTGGGGATAAGGGAGAAATCAGACAAAAACCTCGCTTCCAAGGACCCTGCAGCCTGCAGGACCAGGACAATTGAAAATGGGTAATTTGCATATTTTAAAAGCCCCACTGCACAGTACCATCCATCCAGTTTTGACAGCAATAGTAAGGTGTTACATTTAAAAAGTCATCTATGTGAATTAATTTTTTTTTTTTTTTTTTTTTTTTACAAGGCACTGAATCTGGCATAAGAGGAGCTTGGTGAGCAAGCTACAGAAAGCAGAGATAGTGACTCAAGGCCCTCTGAGATACACAAGGCATTCACGAACTATAAAAGGATTATGAAAAATATTATATTCCAAAAACAGCAGGCAAACAACAGCTGCCTTAAGTTTTCAATGGGAGCCAATTGAAAACCCGCACCCGCCGTAATTCTCGGAGATACATCTCTCTGCAGTTCTTCCGATCTACTGTTGAAATTTCCATACCCGGCCCTCTATCTGCAGTAATAAGAACCCAAATTCCATTTAGTGTTCATTTGAGCAGTCAGGATAAAGTCGTTTCTTATTATCTCCCCACTGTGTAAAAAACAGCTTGAAGGTGGGAAGTCAGCAAGCATTTTCACCAAAAAGTAATTATTGTAAGTGACATTTTTACTGCTGGCATGCCATAAGGCGAACTGTGCATTCAGAAGGACAAGTTGCTGAAACAAAATGACAGGGTACTCCGTGACATTCTGACAAGAACCCAAACATTATTTAACTGGCGGCTGGTCTGATGCGCCACTTTTCATTCTGTCCATGGTTTCGGCTTTGAGCCCATGCCAAGCCAGGAAATTCCAATGACTATACAGACAGACACGTATGGAAGGGCGGGTGGAAGGAGGGAGGAGGTTAGGGGAGAGGGGAGAGGGGAGGTGGTCGTGGCCTGGCACATTAAGTGTGAATGAGCAGGGGAGCCGGGCACGGTGGCTCACGCCTGTAATCCCAACATTTGGGAGGCCGAGGTGGGCAGATCGCTTGAGGTCAGGAGTTTGAGGCCAGCCCTGCTAACACGGCAAAACCCTGTCTCTACTAAAAATACAAAAATTAGCCAGGTGTGGTGGCATATGTCTGTAGTCCCAGCTACTCCATCTCAAAAAAATAAATAAGTAAATAAAATAAAATACAAAATAAAAAAACACAAATAAAAAACATCAAGGGAGCCCTGGAGGAGAGGAAAGGAGAGCCCGAGGGAGGGATGGGCCTGGAGGTGGCGGGGACTGGTGCAAGATACAAGGATGCACGGCAGGCTCTGAGGTGCCCGGTGTGGGCATGCCGGGGCTGGCAGGAGCCCTAGAGGCTCAGAAAGACTCTTCCCAGCCTGCGGGCCTTTCCAGCGACCGGTGCTGACAGCTTCAGAAGACACAACAGGGTGGCCACCAGCCTGGATACTTCCTAGCTAGGTTTAGAGGGACAGATCGTGATGTGGGCACCAGACCTGCTCCGGAACTGACCCTGTGCTCTAAACAGACCACACCCCCTGGTGGTTTACGCCTGGAGTGAGTTTCTCAGCATCAAAGGGGAACAGCAATGCTCATTTGGCCTCCTGTTTGTTTTTTGTTTTCAGATGGAGTCTCACTCTGCTGCCCAGGCTGGAGTGTAGTGGTGCAATCTCGGCTAACTGCAACCTCCGCCTCCCGGTTTCAAGCAGTTCTCCTGCCTCAGCCTCCTGAGTAGCTGGGATTACAGGTGTGTGCCACCAGGCCCAGCTAATTTTTGTATTTTTAGTAGAGATGGGATTTCGCCATGTTGGCCAGGCTGGTCTCGAACTCCTGACCTCAAGTGATCTGCCTGCCTCAGCCTCCCAAAGTGCTGGGATTACAGGTGTGATCCCACTGTGCCCGGCCCTGTGCCCGGCCCTGGCCTCCTGTATTTTGGTCATACAGGCTCATATCACAAACATGAGACACCCTTGCATGACCAGCTCCGAAATTTCTGAACACCAAGGCTTTCCTCAACCATGGCAGCGACGCTGGGCTCCTCAGTTCCCAAGCCTTGCTTCTGAATCCAGCAGCAGAAGCTCACAGCCCTGCTGAATCTCCATCGGAACAGTCCTCCATCTCCATTAGACATCGCCCATATAAAAACCTACAGTATTCTTCTTTTGAGTAAGACTGGCATCTTGACTGATTAGCAAGAGCTTGAAACAAAATATGCAGCGACTTTAGCAGATGTCACAGAGACACTCATGAGCTTTCTGCACCTCCTTCCTGGGCCACTGGACGTTTCCTTACCATGAAAGAAACAAAAGTAGCCCAACAACATCCTAAGGAATATCAGAGACGTACCCAGCGTGGCCAAACTACAAAATGGCTTTCTTTCCAAGAAGGTGAGCAGCTATGCCTGACGCCAGCGGGGGGCCGACGCGAAGGTCCAATTCCCGAGGGTCCTGGGTTGGCCTTCTGCCCCCTGGGAAGGTCTGTGCCCTTACAAGTGGCAGCATCAAGCTTTGGGCACATCCCTTGCCAGCCCCAAACCTATCAAATCACTGTTTTTCAACAGCAGAAAGAACCTGAGAAAGATTCTGTAGGGGGTGTGGGGGAGGAGGTGGAGAAGGGTTGGAGTGGGAGGGAAGATGCCTCAGAGGAACTAGAGGGGATGGGTGGTAGCTCTGCCCCACTCCAGGAAAGATCAATGTCCCCCCCACCCCCACCAATGGGTGCCAGTTTCTTCTATAAAATGGAACAGCAATGATTTTCTTTCTCTCTCTCTCTCACACACACACACACCCTCTGCAGGGACTAAAGAAAGAATAGGATAAGATGAACTCAAAGTCTCTGGTACCTAGTAGGTGCTGGGGTGTGTCTGTGTGACAACTATATAGCCATAGTGTGTGTGTGTGTGTGTGTGTGTGTGTGTGTGTGTGTGTTTTGAGGCAGGGTCTTGATCTGTTGTCCAGGTTGGAGTGTAATGGTGCAATCTTGGCTCACTGCAGCCTCTGCCTCCTGGGCTCAAGTGATCTTCCCACCCCTGCCTCCTGAGTAGCTGGAACGACAGGCGTGCACCACCATGCCTGGTTATTTTTAATTTTTTGTGGAGATGGGGGGCCTCACTATGTTGCCCAAGCTGGTCTTGAACTCCTGGACTCTAGTGATCTTCCCGCCTCAGACTCCCAAAGTGCTAGAATTATGGGCCTGAGCCACCGTGCCTGGCCAACAATATATGTTTTTAGGTTTGCCCGAGAAACTCTTATAATGACATGGGAGCCAAAATTCTTTCTCTCTTGATTTTTTTCTTGAGACATGGTCTCACCCTGTTGCCCAGGCTGGAGTGCAGTGGCGTAATCACGGCTCACTGCAGCATCGACCTCCTGGGCTCAAGCAATCCCTCTGCCCCAGCCTCCTGAGCAGCTGGGACTACAAGCACATACCACCATTCCAGCTAATTTACTATAATTATTATTTGTCGAGATAGGGTCTCACTATGTTGCCCAGGCTGGTCTTGAACTCCTGGGCTCAAGTGATTCTCCTGCCTCGGCCTCCCAAAGTGCTGGGATTACAGGCATGAGCCACCATATCTGGCCCCAAAGAAAACCTGTTTCAATTAGAGCAAGGTTGTTTAACTTGTGTGATTTGTATTTTACCTCCCCAAACCTGACTTCTAAGTTACTTGAAGATGGGACCTGAGCTTTCCACAATGGGGAAACCCTCCATGTGCCAGGTGTGGGGGTACAGCCGTGAGCAAGGCAGACCCTGCGCCCCCACATCTTGTAACCAAAGCGGGAGGCCGAAGTCACTAAGCAGGTCACTCAAACAAAGAGTCTGGGACGAGGGTGTTTCTGGGGAGAGCAGTGTCAGGGCAGGGTCTGGAGGTGCAGCAGTGCAGGCAACATGGTCCTGGCCACAGCACAGGGGTGTGACAGGTCCCTGCTGCCAAGCGAGTGAGAAGTTGCTCTGAGAAGTCAACCATGAGCTCCTCTAACTAGAGGAGACACCATCGTGTCCATCCAGAGCCTTTCTCCCTCTAGACACCATCGCATCCATCCGGAGCCTCCCTCTCTCTAGACACCATCGTGTCCATCCAGATCCTCCCTCCCTCTAGACACCATCGCATCCATCCAGAGCCTCCCTCCCTCTAGACACCATCACGTCCATCCAGATCCTCCCTCCCTCTAGACACCATCGTGTCCATCCAGAGCCTCCCTCCCTCTAGACACCATCACATCCATCCAGAGCCTCCCTCCCTCTAGACACCATCACGTCCATCCAGATCCTCCCTCCCTCTAGACACCATCGTGTCCATCCAGAGCCTCCCTCCCTCTAGACACCATTGCTTCCATCCAGAGCCTCCCTCCCTCTAGACACCATCGCATCCATCCAGAGCCTCCCTCCCTCTAGACACCATGGCATCCATCTGGAGCCTCCCTCCCTCTGGGGATGGTTTTCGACTCTCCTCTTTCATCTCCCCGACATGGGAAGGTACGGTGGGGAGAAATGATCTTAGAAATTCTGTGTTGGCCTGAAATGCACGAGGAGGAAGCTGCAGAGGTGATGAGGCCCTGTGGTTGGCGGGAACCTGCGCAGAACCAGAGCTCACCCGCGGGCGGGGAGGGGACCTGCCGGGGATTCGGAGTGGAAAGTCACTTTCCCTCTGGGCTCAGTTGGCTTGTGTATCTTTTATAAGCTCTTAAGGAAATAAGCATATCAAAAGCAGAGCTTGAAGATATTAAAAATTAAAAACCCTGCTTAAATTACAATTCGATTTTGGTAGTGAACTCAGTCTGGCCAGATTGCTGAAGGGACACTGGGTGACACAGATGGCCCTGCTTCAGGGGCACAGGCTCGCCTTGTTCCGGCTTTTCTGCAGATCCATACTGATTTAGAAATGATGCTTTCAAATTACCTTCAATAACCTTATTACCAAGCCAGCTGTGTGTACGAACACTTATCAATGCGTCCCTGTGCATTAAGACAAAATGTATGTCATACAAACAGTCTAAATATATATTACTAAGACGGGAAAAAACAAAGCCTCTAGTTAAATTGCTTTGCTGTAATCAAAGATTAATCACTGCAAATGTGTGTGTGTGTGTGTGTGTGAGATAATGTGTGTGTGAGAGAATGTGTGTGTGAGGGAGAGAGAATGTGTGTGTGTGTGTGGTGGGAGAGTGTGTGTGGGGGTGTGTGTGGGAGAGTGTGTGTGTGGGAGAGTGTGTGTGGAAGAGTGTGTGTGTGCAGAAGTGTGTGTGGGACTCTGTGTGCATGTGTGTGTGGAGAGTGCGTGTGGGAGTGTGTGTGGGGGAGTGTGTGTGTGTGAGTGTGTGTGGGAGAGTGTGTGTGTGTGCGTGTGTGGGGGTGTGTGTGTGGGGAGTGTGTGTGTGTGTGTGGGAGTGTGTGTGTGGGAGAGTGTGTGTGTGGGAGTGTGTGTGCGTGTGTGGGTGTGTGTGTGTGGGGGGGAGAGTGTGTGTGTGCGCGCACACACGCACGCCCTCTTTTTCTCAAGGGTTCAATTCTGGCTTTGGACAAACCTACCCATCCCTTACCAAGTCATGCTCTCTGGCCGGTGTGCCCACTGCCATTCTAATAGTGAAATTAATTTTTCCAGATTTCTGAGACTTGGAAGAGCTAAAAAGAGGTCAAGGAGGTCTTTTTTTGTTTGTTAAATTTTGAGATGGGGTGTTGCTCTGCTGCCCAGGCTGGAGTGCAGTGGCGTGATCTCAGCTCACTGCAACCTCCACCTCCTAGGGTCCAATGATCCTTCCGCCTCAGCCTCCAAAGTAGCTGGGACTATAGACTATAGATTATAGATGCACACCACTACGCCTGGCTAATTTTTGTATTTTTTGTAGAGATGGGGTTTCCCCATGTTGTCCAGGCTGGTCTCAAACTCCCGGCCTCAAGTGATCCTCCCGCTGCGGCCTCCCAAAGTGCTGGGATTATAGGCGTGAGCCACTGTGCCCAGGCAGGAGGTCTTAAATGTTGTTTTCTTTCCGAGTCTTCCAGGCCTGCAGCCCAGAAATGCTCCTTTCCTGCAGGCACATGGTGGACAGCAGGCTTGGGGGTGCCCATCTGTGTGGAGGATGCTGCGTCTGCCCCGAGAGCAGCCTGTCCTCCTCCCTCCATGATGCTGCCTGTTGGCCCAGTGTGCGGGTAATGTCTGGGCTGCAATGGGATATTCCTCAGAGAATCCATGGCTGATCATGGCCCGTGGAACACGCCGGTGTGGTGGGGTGCCTCCTGTCTTCCACTCAATGCCCAGGTGAGTGAACTCACTTGGCCCTACAAAGACCCGGGCAGAACCAAGTTGAGATTTTCGTCTTCCACGATGGTATTAGAAAAACCATTAAGGTACATTATTTTACACGTCCTCCTAATCTCTCCATACTGCTTTACTTAATTTGTGATGAAATTGTTGAGAAAGGGTACTTAATGTAGGACAGTCAGTAAAAGTAATTTATCATCTTCCCGCTTCGGTGCTCACGTTATCAGCGAACTCATTTCTGCATTCATCATGCAATCAGCCTATTATTTGCATATTAATCAGGCAGTGGACCGTGAAAGAGCGGCATCCCAGCCAAATGCTGCACTATCTCAGGAGAAACACTCAGTAATTATCATACATCAGTGTTATGATGTGATAATTGATTATAACATCTTTCTGCTGCCCCTGGGGAGTCCCTGCACTAACCCAGCTCCAGGCACTCTGGACAGATTTTTCTTTGCTTGCAAAAAAAAAAAAAAAAAAAAAAAAAAAAAGTTGGAGTAACCATTGCCATGCTCTTAGAATGCTATTTCTGGGGAGCATTGACTGTCTTTTCCACATTCACGAGGTGTTTTTAAGCCACATGGAACAAAATTGACCTTAACTCTGGAATGAGAAGGCCTGATGGCGAGGAAGGAGTGTCCCTCTGGGGCCCGGGTGTCCTCTCTCCTCAGCCTCCTGGGTTCAGAGGTGCTGCTAAGGCATCCATAAAAGTTTCCTTATCAAATAGAATGTTCCAACTACCGCCTAATTGCAAAGCTGGTATAAAGGTAGTTTGGCTGCTTTATTTAGGTGCCAAATGACAGACTAATTTTGGCCGTCAAGGAAAGGACAGACCCAACATCTGCCAATTCAGACTCGGGCTATATTTAGGAATCCGGTTCCAAAGGGAAGAAGTAAACGCAAAATCTAGAGGAGGCCCCGATGGAAGCCTCCTGCCTGGCTCCCAATCTATCCAGGGCAATGCCATTAAGAAACTCCCCTCCTTATCCTCACCGGGAGCGGGGCAGGTCCCTCGGGCCAGTCCGCATGGGGCTGGGGCCTGGGTGTCGGCATGGCTCCGGGGGGCCGTGACAGCTGAAAGGCAGGGCTGCCCTGTAGCAGGCAGAGGACCTCAAGCCAGTGTGTATACGTTCACTGAATTTAGACCAGAAGAGGTTTCAAAGGAGCATGGACACTCCATGCAGCCTAGGCCAGGTGGATTACACATTTTCCAACAGCCAAACCTAGTAAATGTGGCTTCCATGCTGTCACTGATTTGCTGATTCAACTCCTGGGCTCAGGCAATCCTCCTGCCTCAGCCTCCTGAGTAGCTGGGACTACAGGCGCACACCACCATGCTCGGCTAAATTTTAAATTTTCTGTAGAGATGGGGTCTTGCTATGTTGCTCAGGCTGGTCTCAAATTCCTGGACTCAAGCGATCCTTGAGTCTTAGCCTCCCAAAGTGTTGGGATTACAGGCGTCAGCCACCACGCCTGGCCACCACCTTCTTCTTGATTGGGGCAAATCACCTTTTATCTCTGAGCCTTGGTTTACTCCATCCGTAAGAGAAGGGAACCATTTCCACTTATTATTATTATTATTATTTTTGAGATGAAGTTTTGCTCTTGTTGCCCAGGCTGGAGTGCAGTGGCGTGATCTCGCCTCAGTGCAACCACCTCTGGGTTCGAGTTAATTCTCCTGCCTCAGCCTCCCGAGTAGCTGGGAATACAGGCATCCGCCACCACACCCAGCTAATTTTTTTGTATTTTTAGTAGAAACAGGGTTTTGCCATGTTGGCCAGGCCGGTCTTGAACTCCTGACCTCAGGTGATCCACCCGCCTTGGCCTCCCAAAGTGCTGGGATTACAGGTGTGAGCCACTGAGCCCGGCCTCACTTACTGATTAAGGATTACGGACATCAGCTCTGTGAGTGGCACAGAGACCACACCAGCATGTGGACTCCCTTGTTTTATTCCCACCCCCCTTTCTGCAATCACCTGAGGGTTTCTAGGCATTTAAGCTTCTTCATTCCTTCCCTAGAATTCAACCACTGAAAACTGAAGTCCTCATTTGCTCCTATGACCTACTTTTGCCTCTTGTACTGAATGCCCAATGTGCTGTAAATTCTGTTTTCTATGGAAAGCCTGAAGGGGAGAGAACGGGATGTGTCTACAAGCTGGACTGGGCCTGTCGGGCCTTTTCAGAAGGGGAAACCAGGGAGCACCAGGATGGAGGGTCCAGGGAAAGCGACGGGAAGAACGAGAGTTATGTGAGCCCTCAGCCTCGCCGGCTGTGTCTAGCCTAGTTGGCCTGGTTCCATACTAGCTTGGCCCCAAATGGCCTAAGCAATGACCTAGGCCCTATAGTCTTACTCTGGAAGCTCAAGGTTTTGTGTCCACTTTAAGGAATTGGTCAATGAACAGGCAACTTCCAAGGATGGAATAGCATTTTGTAGAAGTCGAGACTTTGGAAAGGCACATATAGATCACCTCTCACAGGACTGCGGCACCAGGAGTACCCTGCACCATCTGCAAGGGACAATCTCCACCAAAGGAGGTGGGAAGATGCGACTAGATTCTGTTTTAAAAGCAGACATCTGGCTGGGTGTGGTGGTGCACACCTGTAACCCCAGCACTTTGGGAGGCCAAGATGGGTGGATCACCAGAGGTCAGGAGTTCGAGGCCAGCCTGAGCAACATGGTGAAACCCCGTCTCTACTAAATACAAAAAATTAGTCAGGTGTGGTGGTGCACACCTGTGATCCCAGCTACTTGGAGGCTGAGGCAGGAGAACTGCTTGAACTCGGAAGGCGGAGGCTGCAGTGAGCCGAGATTGTGCCACTGCACTCCAGCCTGGGTGACAGAGCGAGACTCCCTCTCACACATGTACACACAAAAAGGGAAAATTCTCCATGTGCTGATGGAGGAAGGTCTCCACGGTGTGTTACTAAGTGAGAAAAGCAAGGCACACGGCCTTTTTGAGGCCTGCACGCCCCCCATCTGCGTGGAATAAATATTTAGGTGCATGACTGTCCTGAAGGACACATGACAAACTGGGGATGGTGGTGGGGTGGGGTGTGGGGGTGGGGGTGGTGTGTGACAGGAAGATGAGGGAGGGATGGTGACCGATTTCTTAAAAAGACTGTAAGTTTGAATGCTTGCATTTTGTAACTATGGTGCATTTTACTTCTTGGAAAAAATCCTGCAAATCATAATAAAAACAAAAAAGTCAAATAAATCGGTGACTCTGGGCTATGACTTCCCTCTCTTTGGGTGAGGCACAGGGACAAATTCTGCTCTAGGAACAGAGACTTTGGGGGGCCGAGTTCTGGCAAAGCAGCCTTCCCCAAGGGTGTGTGACGAGTGGTGCTGGAAGGTGGGACTGCAGGGTGCTGGGGCGGTGCTGGCAGCCTGCGTAGGCTGCCTTGCTCACTTGATGACAGCGACGTTTGTTGCTTTGAAACAAAACCTAAAGTGGGCTGTGGTACTCAGCACTGGCTGCCCCTGACATCTGTGCAGGATCTGTGTGTGCAGGGTCCCCCAGGCAGGGCTGTCCTAGGAACAAAAGACCCTTCAAATACCCATGTTCTCCTGCATAAATGTCACAGGGTGCTGGTTCCAGCAACATGTGGCCAGCCCCCATCTTGAATCCCACAAGCATCTGGAGGCGCTTGGGGAACTGAACAAGCAGGTCACGCACAGTGACAAAGGGGCTTTCCGGCAAGGTCCCTGAGTGATCCCTATACATCACACATCAAGGAACTTTTGAGAAGCGCATGTGCCCTTCCTCCTGTGGCTCTTGGGGCGGCCCCCCAGCCTCATCTCATCAGCCGGGACTTCCCGTGCTGCTCCCGCGCGGCCTGCCTCACCTGCCTCTGGAAGGGTTCACAGTGGCACAGCCAGTCCCTTTGCATCTTAGCTCAGCCGAGATCAGGTTGAGTTTTTTTTTTTTTTTTTTTTTTTTTAGATGGAGTTTCACTCTTGTCACCCTGCTGGAGTGCAATAGTGCAATCTCGGCCCACTGCAACCTGGGTCTCTCGGGTTCAAGCAATTCTCCTGCCTCAGCCTCCCAAGGAGCTGGATTACAGGTGTGCACCACCACGCCTGGCTAATTTTTGTATTTTTACTAGAGACGGGGTTTCCCCATGTTGGCCAGGCTGGTCTCGAACTCCTGACGTCAGGTGATGCACCTGCCTCGGCCTCTCAAAGTGCTGGGATTACAGGTGTGAGCCACTGCGCCCAGCCGAAAAGCTGATTCTTTAATGTCTCCAATTGAAGAGGTATTCTTTTTTTGCGGGCGGAGAGGGTCTCGCTTTGTCACCCAGGCTGCAGTGCAGTGATGCTATCATTGCTCACTGCAGCCTCCACCTCCTGGGTTCAAGTGATACTCTTGCCTCAGCCTCCTGAGTAGCAGGGATCACAGGTGCAAGCCACCATGCCTGACTTATTTTTATATTTTTAGTAGAGACCGAGTTTCACCATGTTGGCCAGGCTGGTCTCAAACTTCTGACCTCAAGTGATCCACCCACCTCGGCCTCCCAAAGGGCTGGGATTACAGGTGTGAGCCACCGCGCCTGGCCCCTGCCTGCTTTAGACAGTGCTGTGGAATGCCCAGGGGTGCAATCAGCCTCTCCTGTCCCTATGAACATGCTATCCACATGCCCCCGACACTGACTGTTAGCCATGAATGTGGGAGAGCCGACTGACTGCTTATCAAGGACACTGCTTTAGAATCTTACTGCAGAGTTCAAAGCTCACGAGCCCTGGACACGTGTTCCTGGCTGTCTGGTGGGAACCAGCTAAGAGCCATGACCATGATACGCATGCACATTCAAAAGGAACGTGGACCTGTCCGCGATAGGGGCTGCAGCCAAGGGGAATCTCCTGGTTGTACAAGGTCATGGACAGCCCACGGCCCCGTGGGCTTCACGTCAAAGAGGGGCACACATTGGACCACCCACATTAGAGACAGACCATAGCAGCTGTCTTCTCAAAGAGGCAACTGATACTCTGTTGGCTGACTGGGAACAGCAACAGGCAGCAGAGAAGGCTTGGAACCCATCATTCCTAACACGCCAGGAAAGAGCTGGGTATTTCACGATTCAGCCAAGGGCAGGGGACCATCCTTCCACCTGGATAGCCATAATACACCTGAAGCCAGTGTGAATGCAGACGTAACAGCTTGTTAGCCACAGCAATGAAACGCTCCCACATTAAAAAGTTACAAAGTGGCCGGGTATGGTGGCTCACATCGGTAATCCCAGCACTTTGGGAGGCCAGGAGTTTGAGACCAGCCCTGGCAACAGAGACCAGGTTACTTGGGTATTTGGAAATAAAGAATAAAAAAGGCCGGGTGTGGTGACTTACACCTGTAATCCTAGCACTTTGGGAGGCCAAGGTGGGAGGATCACCCGAGGTCAGGAGTTGGAGACTAGCCTGGCCAACATGGTGAAACCCCATCTCTATTAAAAATACAAAAATTACCTGGGTGTGGTGGCAGGCACCTGTAATCCCAGCTACTTGGGAGGCTGAGGAAGGAGAATTACTTGAACCCCGGAGGTGTAGGTTGCAGTGAGTCGAGATCGCGCCACTGCACTCCAGCCCAGGTGACAGAACGAGACTCCATCTCAAAAAACAAAAACAAAAACGAATAAAAAAGAGAGACCCACTTCTACAAAAAATAAAAAAATTAGCTGAGTGTGGTGGAAAGTGTCTATAAGTCCCAGCTACTCAGGAGGCTGAGGAGAGAGGATTGTTTGAGCCTGAGAGATTGAGGCTGTATTGAGCTGTGATTGTGTCACTGCACTCCAGCCTGGGCAACAGAGTGAGTCCCCGTCTGTCTATAAAAAATAAATAAAATAAATAGAATAAGATACAATAAATTGCTAAATGATAAGAAGGCCACACTCTGAGCAAACAAGCCTTAATGAGCCTCTACCTTCTCCTCTATGAACATTTGGTATGGTTAAGTAGTGTGAGGTCCAGAAATGAGGGATGAAGCCTGGAATGACTGACAGACAAAAGGGGCTTGCAGAATCAGTCCCCAAGGACCACCTGCAACTCCATCTTGAAATGAAGTTTTCCAAATGAGATCAAAGATGACCCTGGTTATAACTACACCCCCCTTTATATCCCAAGGTGCTGGGCATTTTGCAAGAAGCAAACAAAAAAAAATATTTGTAGAAAGTTAAGACGTACCAGGAAATCTATGAACAGGTAACTGATCTGAAGATTTGTCTCTTAAAAATCCTTTTTCTTAAAAAAAAAGTTACTCATGACTGGCATGGAACCTACCGCTCACCTTACGCCTTTTCAAGGCCTCAACAGTGTCTAAGAAAAAGTGGTGGGTCACTAGTGACGCTGCTGCTTAAAAATGGCATCAAATTTCCTTAATGCCCAAGCCCGTCACCCCCATGCTCGGATTCTTAGAGGAACATTCAGAACCAGTTGTATCCACCAAGAGGAAAAAGTGATGATGTGAATGAAATGTCAGTTTCTCTCTCCTTTTTGGCAAATTGGCGTCTAAGTCATTAAGGAAAACGGAAGGACAGACAAGGCAACAGAGCCCGGCAGGAAAAGGCTGACGGGAGCTCTCAGTGAGGAAAAGAAAATAGACTCCTGGGCCAGCAGCTTGCTGTTCAGATGGGCGAGGCCACTCTAGCGCAGGGCACCTGATCACCATGGTAACCGAGCACAGAGCACAGAGCCATCCGCCCCCACGGACTCCGCTGTAAGCCCGATTCCCTTACTGCAGGGCTGTGGCTGGCTGAGCAAGTTGTCCAAAGTCCCTGCCTACCTGGGAAGGAAAACCAACCGCCAGTCCATCTTCGAGGCCCAGAATCTCAAGCACTGAGCATTTCTCACTGACATTCAGGAAGAAGCCAAGCCGGGCTTGCAATGACCTTTCTGCAGACATTGGTTCTACCACGGCGAGCTACTTGAGGCAAGCAATGGAGGGAGCATCTTCTGGGTCTGGGGGCCTCTTGAAAGGATTCTGGGGTAGCCATGGGAAGAACAGGGAATCGGAATCCTGTAGCAATCTTAGGACAGAGGCTCGCTCTCCTGCTTCAGGGGCAGCACTGCTGGAAGCTTCCACAGAGACACAGTCAAGGAAGATTCTAGTCTCTCATGTCACTAATCCCAAGGATTTACTAAAAACCACTGTTAGCAACTCTATTTTTCTAAATTAAATTCCATATACTAGGTGGGGCACGGTGGCTCATGCCTATAATCCCAGCACTTTAGGAAGCTAAGGCGGGTGGATCACCTGAGGTTGGGAGTTCAAGACCAACCTGGCCAACAGGGCGAAACCCCGTCTCTACTAAAAATACAACTAGCTGGGTGTGCTGGCGCATGCCTGTAGTTTCAGCTACTTGGGAGGCTGAGGCAGGAGAATCGCCTGAACCCAGGAGGCGGAGGTTGCAGTGAGCTGAGATTGTGCCACTGCACTCCAGCCTAGGCGACAGAGTGAGACTCCATCACACAGACACACACACACACACACACTCCATATACTGTGAACATAGCTTTTTTTCTTTTCTCTTTTGTTTTTTTTTGAGACAGGGTCTCCGTCTGTCACCCAGCTTGGAGTGCAGTGGCGTGATCTTGGCTTACTGCAGCCTCGACCTCCTGGGCTCAAGCAATCCTCCCGCCTCAGTCCCCCAAGTAGCTGGAACTACAGGTGCATGCCATCACACCTGGCTAATTTTTGCATTTTTTGTAGAGATGGGGTTTCACCATGTTGCCCAGGCTGGTCTCGAACTCCTAAGTTCAGGTGATCTGTCTGCCTTGGCTTCCCAAAGTGCTTGGATTACAGATGTGAGCCTCTGTGTGAAACTCCCTTGAAAAGTAACCTCTGATAGTAAAGATTCAGACGAGGAAAACCATATGATAATCTCTTTTCTTTCTGGCAAAGCCCTCCTAGTCTTCCTGGTCCAGAGAAATATTTTCACTTGGCCATCATTATGCTATACAATTTTTTAAAATTTTCCTGGCCAGGTGCAGTGGCTCACACCTGTAATCCCAGCACTTTGGGAGGCCAAGGTGGGGGGATCACCTGAGATCAGGAGTTCGAGACCGGCCTGGCCAACATGTTGAAACTCTGTCACTACCGAAACTACAAAAATTAGCCGGGCGTGGTGATGGGTACCTGTATTCCCAGCTACTCAGGAGGCTGAGGCAGGAGAATCACTTGAACCTGGGGGGGTGGAGGTTACAGTGAGCTGAGATTGTGCCACTGCACTCCAGCCTGGGTGACACAGCGAGACTCTGTCTCAAAAAAAAAAAAATATTTTTTCCTGCAAATAAGAAATCTTTTTCCATTTTTCTCCCTAGTCACCACGATTTTTGCTTCTGCTGGTGGCTTTCCTATGACTTCAAGATTTTGGGTAAGTGATTTGTGCTCAACCTCCCCTCTTGCTGGAATGACATGGAAGGCGGGTGGGGGAGACACACCCATCTGCTGCCTCTTCACAAAAACCACTGGCAACTTCTACACTCTGTTCCGTTTCATCCAGGGGCTCATCGCCTTTTTCTCTCTCCTGCTTCCAATCTGCGAGATTGCCCAGGAGTCTTAACTAACTTTATTCTATAAAGTCAATTGATATTTTACAAATATCATTTACATTCCTCTTAGGAGCCTAGTGTGTTTTTCCTAGGTTTGAAATGTGACTGTTGTACAAACGTTCCAGCACAGTGGCGATGATCCGTTACAATACAAAGTAAAACGTCATTCTTCAAGGATTTGTTCCGTCACATAGAAGTTGCTTCTGGCATCGATCATTAGCAGGCCTGGCACCAGGGGAGACTTCCTGTTTTATGTAGGACGAGGGTTTTTTTTGTTTTTGAGATGGAGTCTCGCTCTGTTGCCCAGGCTAGAGTGCAGTGGTACGATCTCAGCTCACTGCAACCTCCGCCTCCTGGGTTCAAGCAATTCTCCTGCCTCAGCCTCCTGACTAGCTGGGATTACAGGCTCCTACCACCACACTCAGCTAATTTTTTTGTATCTTTAGTAGAGACGGGGTTTCACCACGTTGGCCAGGCTGGTCTTAAACTCCTGACCTCAGGTGATGCACCCACCTCGGCCTCCCAAAGTGTTGGGATTACAGGCGTGAGCCACCGCACCTGGTCTAACAAGGGGTTTTGATCTAGAATACATTAGTCACTTTCTGCCAAGTTCAGTCCTGCCTCAATGGAATCAAATACTCTCGTGAGTTTCAAGAAGGCCAACTTCCCGTTAGAGCAGGGGGTCAAGGCTAACTTTCCAAGCAGACGTCCGTAAAACTCCAGCACAAACAGCTATGTCCATTATTTCCCCTGAAGTATTCTGAACTCGAGCCAGTGCTGGATTAGTTCTTGGTACTTTCTAATTAAATTGGCCAAGCCAGAATGAGTGATCCCTTCTTCCAATGGGCACCCGCTCCACCTAGATGTCCAGCCAAGAAGACCCACGGCGCGGGTGAGATGCAGCCTCTCGACCCCCACGTTGGTCAGAGTCAAATCAGAACACGGAAAACACGCAGAACTCTCAACTGGGGACTTGGATGCCACCGAGGTGCCCCGGCTGCATCTGTATGAGGGTTTGGTCTCTTGTAGAAGCAGCAGCCACTGCCACACAGCTGTTCCCCGTGCTACACATGTTCCCCCTCGTGGAGCTTGCGGCAAGCTGGCGGGCTTCGTGCTCCTGTTAGCTTTGTTTGTGTTTTCAATGAATCAATGGGATATGGAGACGAATCAACATGTTTAGAAAAATACAGAAAGGGAAAAAGAGGACCAGCTCACAGTGCTGGCTGTTCCTAAAAGCTGGCTGTGAAAAGCTCAGCTCCAAGTGTGGGATTGGCGCACGAGAAGGGAGGCGGGGGGGCGCAGACGAGAGCCTGGGAGCCGTGGCCATGGGTCAGCCTCGGTGGGCTGTGTCCAGGCACCATGTGGCAAAGAGAACAAGTGTGGTTGGAGACCTCGAGGCTGTGAAATGCAGACAGGAAGGAGCCCGAGTTTCTCAGCCTGCAGCCACCACTCTCCGCCACCACCTGCTCCCAGGCTCAGATCTCAGTCCCCAGCTCTCCATTCGTTCACACCTGAGCTGTCTTCAGGGGCTTCCTGGCCATTTCCTTTCTGCTACCCTACCTTTCCCACTGCTCAAGCTCAAAGCTCCCCATTTTCTTGCTCAGAGGCTGCCTGGATGTCTTCCGGTTAGATAAGAAGTCCCCCGACATGACCCCACCAGGAGAGGGACGTGTGCCCGTGCTTTATCCCTTCCTATCAGACGGTAAGCCCCCTGAGTGGGGAATCTGTCTCCGACTTAGACCCCAGCCCTGAACACAAGGCTCTGGGCCGACAAAGGATGACAGTGGGCGTGCAAATCTTGGCAGAGTCCCTCCATGCACTGTCAGCTCGCTCTCCATTAGAAACTGACACAGAGAGGGACCCCGTTTGCAGATAGGATGCCATATTTCAGCTCCCCAAATCCAGAATGTGCGGTCCCTCGGAGTCTCGCCGGGACAGACCACAGCACGGGACAACAGAAAAGGCAGTGAGACATTTCATGCAAAAGCAACAGAAACTGGCTGCTTACCTGAGCTCACACAGCCCTGCTGCAGCGGGTCCTGGAGCGATGTCACGGAGTGGAGGACTAAAGTAGAAAAAGGTTATAATTAAAGGAAGGAACGCGGCCCAGGGCTTAAAGCTTCCTAACTGAATGTGGCAAGGCCCGGGGAGGCTTCCCATTCCTCCTGGGGAGGGGCGGGCATGGGGACCCACGGGCCGGGGAGGCGCTGCTGTTGCAAGGCCAGGCCCCCGGGCCGGGAGCAGGTGAAAGGTTTCGCCTGTGACATCTTCCACTTTTGTACCTTTGGCTGACTTTCTTTCCTGACTCCCTGATTCAGCTACTTGACTTTTACCTGTATTTATGTATAAACAGCATTTTTTAAATTGGTAACTCATTTTCTGCTGCTTATAAAATTAGACAGGCATGATCTCTCCTAAACACTGAAGTCAGTCCCACGGCAACAGGTTGTGGAGGAAGGGGACGGTTCTGTCCCCCAGCACCAGCCCACGGTGGGGAGTGTGGTTGGCCACCTCCTGGGGCGGAGTTCCCTCCTCCCTCTCTGCATAGCCCAGGTGGGGCTGCTGTGACCAGGTCCTTGCTATGGGGGGGCAGCCCCTCTCCTGTGGCAGGACCCCCATTACCTGGCCCTTGCTGCTGGCCCTGGACGGGTAGAACACCCTGGCCTAGCTCGCCGTTCAGCCAGAGCTGCATCCGGATGAAGGGTTCTCGGCCTTTCTGCGTCAGCTTGCTCCATGGCTTCGGTCGGGACAGCATGTCGCTGACGCTGCCCTGGGACAGGCCCAGCACCTGGAGTGGCACCGAACACACAGGCCATCAGTGCCTGGCTATTAGCATGACACCACAGATGCTGCTGCAATGCACACCCACCACGCAGAGGGCGCGTCTAGGGCTGACTTCTGAGCACAGAACCACGGCCTGGTGGCGGTGACAGCTTGTGGGCAGGGAATATGCATTTAAAGATCAACGGTGGCTGAGACCCCGGCACAGGGGGACTTTCGGGTGAGCCATGGTTACAGCCACAGCTCTCAGCTCCCAGGGAGGGAAGAGGGTCTCATCCCAGGGTCTTGATCCTGCCAAGATGGCAGGGCTGTCACCCTGACACCCCGCGGAGGAGGTGTGTACAAGCACCTTGCTCTTCACTTGGTGGCACCGGGAAAGGCTAAGGTTCCAGGGACAAGATCCCTCCAGAGGTGGGGCAGTGGGTGCCGGTGGGACTGGCGAAGCTGGTGTCCTCTGCAAACGCTGAGCCAGGCCAGCATTTAGAAAGGTCTGCTTGTTCTGACCACATCCTGATCAAAGGTGGGGGCCCAGAGGTGAGCTGGTGGGACCTGGGGAGCCGGCCTGGGAGTGACATTCCGCCGCAGATGATTGCCGAGTTGCGTGTACACACCCGAGTTTTCTGACGCTCCCATATGGCCATACATATGT